>NC_000010.11:33357106-33661388 GCF_000001405.40 Homo sapiens | reverse complement strand
TTAAAGCACTTAGCATCTTACCCAACACTTCAGAACTGCTCCATCAATAGTAGCTATTCTATATCATTATTGCTATTACTATTTATTCCCATCATTTCTCATTTTTGCTGTTGAAAATACCACTCTAATATAAATATCTTTCTATGTAAATCTTTGCCCATATTGCTGATCTCGAGTGTAAATTTCTAAAATTTCTAAAAGTGGTAAACTGAGTCCAAGGATAGAAACATGTTAGAGGCATTTGGTAACATTGCCAGATTATTTCCCATCGTGATTGTACCAACATCTCTCCCCACGGTCCTTGAAAGGGAACACGTGGAGAATAGCCTTGGTGACACCAGGTCATGCCATTTAAATCCTTTCCATCATCAGCACGTATTTACTGTGTGCTTGGTACGGTTCTGTACACTTGAGATCCAGCCACGAGCAACAACAAAAAAGATTTCCTGTCTTCAAGGCACTTCACAGGCAAAAATAAATAAATGAATATGCACTGTAACATCGTGCAATGGTTAAGACCTGTGCAGAGAAGAGAGCAGGGGAGGGGCTGGAGGGCAGGGGGATGCTATTTTGGATGGGATGCTCTCTATTCAGTTGAGACAGGAAATTGACACCTGAGCTGGAGCAGAATGACAGGAAGCCTCGTAGAGACCCAAGGAAACAGCGTTCCAGGCAGCAGGAAGAACGAATATAAGGGGCTTAAGATCAGCTCACTCCATAATGTCAAGGGACTAGCAGTGGGGTTAGAGTGAGCGGAGAGAGACAGCAAGGAGGTGAGCAGGCTCTTGGAACAGCAGCCAGGGGGTGGCAGGTGATAGCGGGCCTGATTCTTAGTGGGGAAGGAGGCCCTGGAAGGTCCTAATCAGGAGAGAGACTCCGCGTGTCTGGGGTTTCATCAGGATCACTCAGGCTGCTACGTGCGGGTGAGACCACAGGCGGCAAGCGTAGAAGCAAAATCAGTTAAGCATCTACTTGTTGCTAATTTGATAGACAAGAAAAATCATTCTCCTTTTAATCTGGTTTTTGATTACTTGTGAGGCTGAGTCTTTAGTGTGCTCACGGGGAATTTACAATTATTGTTCTATGTGCAGTGGACTGAATTTGGCCCTCTCAGAGGACAACAGCTGCTCTGCCATCAATGGGGCAGAGACCTAACAGAGACCTGGAGAGGAGAGGGCAGGGCCTATACTAAGTTTCATTGAGCTTCTAGTCTATGGAGTCTGTGTTTTGGAGGCATTTGGGGGGAGTTTTGAAGTTCTCTTTCTGGTTTTGTTCACTGTTTTTTAACAGCCTACGTTTAAAATATGTCCTTTATTAAGATGTGATTGCACCAATTGGGAGATGGGATGGGTTCAGATTTTTTTTTTCCACACTGAAAATTCTGGCTGGATAAATATTACATTGGGATTTACTCTTTTATTATACTTTTAATCATTCTGTGAATGCATTTTCAAGAACTGCTGGCATCTTAGGAATGGAGAATCATTTGGCATCATGTTTTTTAAATGCAAAAAACGACTAGATAAATGGAATCTTTAAAATAACTAAACGAAAAAGTGTGCATTTGTTATGCAACATCACACAATTGTTCCATTGGCACACCTTCCTAATGACTTCTTTATGCAAACGTGATCACCTTTGTGCCGTTTTTTCTACTTCTGCTGTTTCCAGTACATTTATTTCAATGAAGACTGCTTCGAAAACCTTCAAAGAAATTGGGGAGACTGGCCTTTTTCCCTCATGCATCAGGATGTGCATTTACATGAAGAACTTGCCTAAACTACCACCGGTGAATTCAGAAAGAGGCACCCTCCTTGCTTAAAGTATGCAATTTATACGCCTGCAAAAATGCCAAGCATATGCAATCCATTTTGGTATTTCAAATTCTTACAGAGATAGTTAATTACATGCATAGAACCAGGGCTTAAATTGAATCTGGTCTCAGGAAGAGCTTAACTTTGGGGCCCATGTATAGATTTAGTAAATTTGTAGAGGGTAAGAACACTCTGCTGGCTGATCTCCACAGTAGGGGATGAACATTTTTTTCCAATCTGGATTCTGTTTTTTGTTGCCTTTGTGATGGAAAATTTAAGAAAGGCACAATGACTTGATTAAAGGTGTCATTCAGGGATGCCTCATCTTTTCACATGTTTTATTTTCTTTGCAGCTCATGCAGAGCCACAGAATAAAGCCTTGCACATCACAAACCTTTGGTTTTTATTCACTCATTTCACCATTTTCACTGACATCTTACACGAACAAAGATAACAGCCTTCATGAAGTTGGACATGGTGTTTTTGTAGTTATACTGTGTTCTTTTTTCACAATCTGCATTAAGGAAGTGCATGGTGTCTGAAAAGAGAGACCACCCATCTCTGAATGTGCTCTGTGGATCCAGGCCTCTACAAGAAACCCAGACACGTAGAAAGTCAACCTATTATCACTGACTCACAGGAGCTAATTGCTTTAGTGCAGAAGATCTCAAACTTTTTTTCATTCCTGACACCATTTACCTGAGCAACATATTCCCATTAATAACACCTCTCGCTTCTAGAAGGCAATATGACATAGAGGTGAGGAGTCAGTTTCCTGACAGCCATGGAAGATAAAAGTGCTGAGAACTGTTCAAACCTTCAAACCCTGCTGAAGTGGATACTGTCCAGCAGGCAGCATTTCCACAAATAGCTAAGGAGATTTATGTGTGTGTGTGTGTGTATTCCTATAACATTCATATTTATTCATATTTTATGATTTAACATATTTATAATATAGATGAAATTGTAGCTAATATTTATATTTAAAAAGTTAAAGAACATTTATTTATTGCCTATGTTTCTTTGTCACAGTTGTCTTTATTGAGTGGTTTAGATAAAGCATCTACCTTTATCAGAGATTGAAAAGCATTTAACTTTTCCTATAAAAGATGGCTTCTGGAATTCTAATATTCTTGTGTAATGCAAATTATTTCCATTAATTATGTTTTTAACGGCTGTACACCCTCTTACTTGAGCAATCAGTTGATTTTGGAAATGGAATAGTAAACAAAGATTTCATTTCTGAATTTTGTAGGAGTGTTTTCTTGCCGGTTGTTGGTGGATTTTCATTTCTTGTAAGACCTTTAGGCTTGGAGTAATGGTTTTGAGTGAGTGTGGAGTTTATACAAATGCTCCCTGCTTGTGAGTCTTGAGAAACGCAAAAATAATATCAATAATCTAAACCAGGGTTGGCAAACTATGGCCTCAGCACAAATTTGGGCTGCCAGCAGTTTTTGTAAATAAAGTTTTATTGGAACACAGCCATACTCTTTCATTCATATAACTGTATGACCCTCAAAGGCTAGCGTATTCTCTGCTGGTTCATTAAGAGAGACATTTGCTGACATCTCATCTAAACTGTACTGAGTAAAATAAAGCTAAAGGTTAACCAAATTAAATAAATAGATACATAAACAGATCACATTCATTTTGGGACCTGAAATAGAAATAGAGTTAAAAAAAATTTAGTTTTCGTAACATTCAGACATTTGTCCATCAATTATTGGGTGACTGCTCTCTTTCTATCGTATGCTTCATGGATTTAAGAACTGTGCTTCTCTAGGTCAGCCCTGACAGCTCTGTCTCATTTCCTTTAGGAGGCCTTGGGGGAAGCTGTGCAGCCAAGTGAGTGTGCAGGACTCACTGGGCCCAGTGTACACGAGACATGTCAGCAGGAGCCAAGAACATGATCACTGTGAGTTCTCTGCTGGAGGCAAAACCGTGAGGTCCTTCTCATTTCTAAGTCAAAAATCTAAATTATCTTCCAACATGGCACCTTCTCTGTTTTCTGGAAACTGCCACCTTCCACTTGCAGCCCAAAGAACTTGCTCTGTTTTGCAAAATTGGAAGACAAGTATTCTTCACCAGTAGAGCCAGGAGTTCAGTGCCCCATGCTCTGTTCTCCCATAGGAACAATCTCTCCAGATTATAATGGACTTTGATGGACGATGAGAGAAGCCTGGCACTGTGACAAGTCCTGGAGTTAAAAGCACTGGGACAAAAGCCAGGAGACCTAAGTTCTCATCTCCACTCTATCCCTGGTTAGCTGCGTGATTCTGGGCAGGTCACTTTGAACTTGTGTTTGCTCATCTATGACTGTTTCTCCTCTGGAGTAGCAATGCTTATCCTATCTAGTTCACACAAATTGTTGAGACAATAAAATGGGATGAAAAATCACCATTTTTTAGTGTAATGACTGGAACTCCCTTAGTATTTAGAACAGGCATCAACCAAATCTGATTTGAGGCGCCATGTTGAGAAACTTTGACACAAGTCAAGGCAGGTTTGAGAGACTGGACAGGTGGGGATATCAGAAGAATGAATTGAGGTACACAGTGCAAGGGATCAGGGAAGCTAGATAAGATGCAGGCTGGCCCCTCTAGAAATGCCATCCAATCTCAGCCAGGCATGGTGGCTCACGCTTACAATCCCAGCACTTTGGGAGGCCGAGGTGCGTGGATCGCCTGAGGTCAGGAGTTCGAGACCAGCCTGGCCAATATGGTGAAAACCCGTTTCTACTAAAAAAAAAAAAAAAGAAAGAAAAAAAATTAAAAAAATTAGCTGGGCGTCATGGTGGGTGCCTATAATCCCAGCTACATGGGAGGCTGAGGCAGGAAAATCACTTGAACCTGGGAGGCGGCACTTGCAGTGAGCCGAGATAGTGCCATTGCACTTCAGCCTGGGCAACAAGAGTGAAACTCTGTCTCAAGAAAAAAAAAAAAAAGCCACCCAATCTCATGCAGAGAGAGCACCAGCAAAGGCAGGTGGACCCCCTCCAGGGTGTCAGTATTCAGAGTCTGGAAGGGAGAAGAGTTGGTTTCCTAATAAGTGGACTGACTCCCATCAGTAGCAGGGGCTCTAGAGTATAGAACTCTACCTTCTGTGAGAGGATGTGGCTAAGTGTCCAGGCCAAAGGCTAGCAAAGGATGCTAATAGAGACTTGAAGCCCCAGGCAATGAGACCAAGGATAGTTTAACATGGCGGGAGGCAGGGGAGAGAGGAAAATGCTGCAATTTGTAGGATCTCAAACCAAATCCAGATTCTATCTCCTGCTGAGCTCAGGCAGCTGATATGTTCTTGCTTTGGTCAGGACTGGCTGGGGTTGTCTGGGCTGAGAGGCCCTCCCGCAAACCCCCTCACCCAAATGCAATCCGGCTGACCATTGTGTGGGGATTCTCCAGCATTTTGAACCTTTTCTTTGGTCAGAAATACTTGAATGACTCAGAGAGTTTCCCAATAAAAGATGAATTGCCAGGAGATAACGCATTAAACTATGAACTGACATTCTTACTTTAATATAAATGTACTTCATTGGGTTATCTCCTTCCACCACTAGAGCTCCAAGGAAATGAAATGGAGAAGAGGGAGCTTATAAAACACTAATGACAAACTTTGCCTATTCTCATATTGTGACTTGTCCTTGTAGGAAAGGCCACCAGGAGCAGGCGTGTGAGTTGGGTCCTGTTGAAGCCTTCAGTGGGTGGGTAGGGATGGGGCAGGCACAGTGCAGAGAAAGAGGTGCTTCCCAGAGGGGTGGCTAATTGCAATTCCTCTGCCCAGAGAAGACATCTTTTTCTAAGCCACACAAAGGCATCCTAAGTGTTTGAAAATGCCAGGGCAGCAAAATTGCCACAGGCCCTATTGAATAGTTCAGGCTAGCTGCTTTCCAGACTGCAAGGTCTAAAGAATGCAGAGGAAGCCTTGCAGAGCTATGGTGCCTGTGCAGAGACCTGGGAGGTGAGAGGGAGACGGTTTCTCTTTTGCTGCCTGGAGTTCTTGAGGAAAGGAGGCCGAGGCTGTCAGCAGGTCAGATCAGTCAGGAAGCGGTCAACCACTTTCAAAGACTCTTATTTTCAGTGAAAGTTTCCAAGTGATAATAACATCTCTCAGTATCGAAACTTTGAGAATGAATTTTCAGCTCCCCAGTGATGGATAAAACACCATCGGAAAGTGTGACAGTCCCCCTGCACATCCGGCTCAGTCAGAGGGAAATGGATGATACTCACAGAGAAGAAAAATTGCAAGGCAGGCAACCCAGGATGTATTGCAGTCATAACCCAGGAAAACCTTCCACCACATTTCTGCTATCTACAAACAAATGTGCCGGGCTAATTTTCTGCTGAAAGACAGCGTGCCTGTACTAAACTGGCTTCATTAACTCAATTGGAAAAAATGATTTTGCAATTTGCATGGGGCTTAAGAGTGTAATTAATACAATTCATAAAAGGCCAGTGCCACTTTGCAGACATTAGCCCCATGGGGGATTGTGCAGTGGCATGCTTTGGAGAGAGTTCTTATGTCTGCAATTCCAGCAGCCAACTTTGCCCTGCCTTCTTGGCGGGACATCCTCATCTTTATTTCAATAAAACTAGACTCGCATTGCCTTTCTCTTTAGGGATTTCTCACCAGTGCCCTCTCCCCCATCATTCAGCTGCCCAGTAGTAGTTGATTTCATTTGGATGAAAAGCAAAGAATGCTTGAAGATGAGGGATTAAGGATGGAGGCAGGAAGAAATAATGTCCCCATGTACCTCACTTTCCACCCAATTTCTTGTTGTGTGTGTTGATGTCTTAAGAGGTTGGTTGAGTGCTGAAGACCTAGGTTTCTCTTACCCCTAGAAGACAGTTAACAGGCCTGGCTTTTTATAAATCTGTGTCCAAGCAAGGATTGCCTGTAATGTGGGGAGAGGGAAAAGGGTGGTGAGATGGAGACGCTGGGCTTTGAGAATGAAAGGAGAGAGATGTGGGCCTATGGTGGGCACCTGTATGTGAGAAGAGGGGAGGTTTGTGTTGATAGAACCTGTTTGTCCAGAAGTCTCATCTTGGTGAGAGGCAAATATGTCTATTTTATTTTACTGTATTTTATGTATTTATTTTTTGAGATGGAGTCTCCAACTGTAGCCCAGGCTGGAGTGCAGTGGCATGAACTCGGCTCACTGCAACCTCCACCTCCCAGGTTAACACAATTCTCCTGCCTCAGCCTCCCGAGTAGCTGGGACTACAAGTGCGTGCCACCAAACCTGGCTAATTTTTTGTATTTTTAGTAGAAACAGGGTTTCATTATATTGGTCAGACTGGTCGCCAACCTCATGATCTGCCCACCTTGGCCTCCCAAAGTGCTAGGATTACAGGCATGAGTCACCGAGCCCAGCCTATTTTTTTTTTTTAGACAAAGGGTTTAGCTCTGTTGCCCAGGCTGGAGTGCGGTGGCATGATCATAACTCACTGTAACCTCTACTTCCAGGGCTCAAGTGATCCTCTCATCTCAGCCGCCTGAGTAATTGGGACCACAGGTGTGTGCCAGCACACCCAGCTAATTAAAAAAAAAAAAGTTTCTGTATAGATGGGGTCTCATTATGTTGCCCAGGCTGGTCTGGAACTCCTGGCCTCAAATGATTCCCCACCCCAGCCTCCCAAATGCTGGGATTGTAAGCATGAGCCAACATACTTGGCCTGTCTTTATTTATTTTTTAAAATACTTTGTCTTCAACCATGTTCTGCCAAAAATCCCTTTCCTGTCCCTTAAATTTGAGGCAGATACCACGTTTGCTACATACTTTCAGATATTAAAAGCTCACCCAGTTACTCATCCATAGCCATTAAGGAAATGCAAGTCAAAACCACAATGAGATATGACTTCACACTCATTGTTAAAGAAAAAAAATATTCTGAAGCTTGTTAAAATAGCAAGAAGATTTTATTTAGGACGATTGCAATAGGTGTCAAGGCTATCACAATAGGGGAGAGAGCTCAGGCTCAAGGTAGCAAAGGCAGCTGGAGGCTTCTAGCCAATGAGCAGAGTGAGGGGTCAGTGGGTAGAAAACTAAAACAGGTGACATCACGGATAGGAAGACTTGCTGAACTGACTTAGGATTCTTGCTGAAGGCAGGTTGGGGACTTCTACATCAAAGGTGGGGGATGAGGAACTGGCTGAGATATTAAGAGTGGGGGGATTCTTGCTAAACTGAATTAGCAAGATTCTTGCTACCATTGGACTAGACAGGCGAAAGACAGGGCTAAGGACAAGGCCCAGTGAAAAAGAGGGCTTACAGCAGCCTAATTAATGTCTGATCAAAGAGGGAGTATTTGTCCCCATAAGGATGACGATTATTTAAAAAAAAAAAAAAAAAGAAAAGAAGTGTTGAGGAGGAATGAAGAGAAATTGAAACCTTTGTGCATTGCTGATAAGAATGTAAAATGGTACAGCCAATATGGAAAACAGTTTGACAATTCGTCAAAAAGTTAAACAGAGAATTACCATAGGATTTAGCAATTCCGCTCCTAGGCAGATACCTAAAATAAAATGAAAGCAGGGACTCAAACAGACACTAGTTGATATAGTTTGGCTATTTGTCCCCCTCAAATCCCATGTTAAAGTGTAATCCCCAATGTTGGGGGTGAGGCCTGGTAGGAGATGATTGGATCATAGGGATGAATTTCCCATGAATGGTTTAGCACCATCCTCTTGGTGCTGTCCTCACAATTGTGAGTGAGTTCCCCTGAGATCTGGTTGTTTTAGAGTGTGTGGTGTGCCCCCTCACTCTCTCCCTCTTGTTTCGTCTCTCACCATGTGACTTGCAGGCTCCTGCAGACCATTAAACCCATTAAACCTCTTTTCCTTATAAATTACCCAGTCTCAGGTATTTGTTATAGCAATGCAAGAATGGTCTAACACATTGGTACACCAATGTCCAAAGCAGCATTATTCACCAAAAGGTGGAAACAATCCCAATGTCCATCAACAATTTGAACGGATAAACACAATGTTGTATATACATGCAATGGAGTATTGTGTAGCCTTAAAAACAGTTGAATTCTGGCACATGCTCCAACACGGATGAACCTTGAAAATAGGCTAAATAAAATAAGCCAGGTTCAAAAGGACAAATACTGTATAATTCCAGTTATATAAGGTACCTGTTATAGGCAAATTTATCCAGACAGAAATAGAGGTTACCAGGGCCTGGGGAGAGGAGGGAATAGGGAGTTAGTGTTTAATGAGTACAGAGTTTCAGCTTGGGATGAAGAAAATGTTTCGGTGATGGCTGCACAACCATATTAATATATGCGATGACACTGAAGTGTATATCTAAAAATGGCTAAAATGGTAATTTTATGTTATGTATGTTTACCACAATAAAACAAGTTTTAAAAAATCCTATCCAGTCTAATATGTCAATCTCAGACTCAATGTAAATCTCGGTTCTTCCCTTTCCCTTCGTTCAAGCTTGGCAGGGCTATCTGGGGACTTGGAAGAGAAGGGGCAGGGTCTGCCCTTTGCTTCCTCCTTCCATTCCAGTACCAAGACTACCATAAACAATGCACCCACACCTTCTTTCTTCCCTCTCAAAGGGTGGGAGGTTGAGATGGGGGAAGAGGGGACAGTGGGATATGACACCATCTTTCATGACTGCTGGCACAGTGAGCAGGGAATTCTGTGGATTCTCTCTGGTTCATCAGCTTCCATTGGAAGCAGGGGTCCTTCTATGAAATAGAGGTCTCCATTGTACGTGGTTTTAGTATTATGAAATTTTGGTAGGGGCAGGGCTCAATTTTACTCTCTGTGGTGAAGACCCTCCATACAGACGGGTGCCTGTGTCTCTCTTCACCTGATAGCAGGCTGTGGCCTCAGCCTCCCCACTTGCATCCTAGCCAGCCCACACTTCTGCCTCTGCCTTCTCTTATTGCATGATCCTTCATGTGGATCTATGGGAATCTCAAAGGTTCTCCTTCTCCAAACACCTCGGAGAACCAGGGTAGGGTTTTCCCTCTTCTCTTCCACAGCCCACTACCCCACAAGTCCTTCTTAAACCCTTTTGTCAGTCTACAGCAGAAGGCCAACCACCTTTGAAAATCTCCAGATGTTCCAAATCTCTCTATAGGTTCACTTGCAGCTCTCTCAAGGAATCTTTCATCCAACTCCTCCCCAGATACCTGGCATGGGTCTTGGGTTTAATAGCTTAGCAAAAATCCAGACAGGAAAGAAGATGCCTGTCTCCCCTTGCAGGCAACCCTAATTTCTAAAAGTGATTCTCTTAACAAGGAACAAATGACTGGATTTTTAAGACTATGAAACACAATGTCTCTTGACACTTACTGGTGGGCTTTACTCTTCAATTCCTGTGTAACAAAACAAGAAATGAAAAATCCCACTCAGAAGCCTGCTACATGCCACTCTACTTGATTGTAGCATCCAGAGGTGTTTTGTCTGAGTACCAGCGAGAACTGGCAGAACTGCCCAGAAAATGTCCATTTGCTTGTAATTAGTAGAGAAGACCCAAACATTTCATTCACCCTGAGTATATTGGAGAAATTCCTCTTTGTTCTACATGCATGTTTTCCTTCAAAATTCACAACAACCCTATTAGTGGGCATTTATTTCATGCAATAGAAGAGGAACATGAAACTTGAAGGAGTTACAAAATATACTTAAGATCACTCAAATTAATTATTGGTGGAGCTGAGATGCACATCTGATTCTGAGTGACTTCTGAGACCATATACTTAACCACTATGCTTGTTTAACTAAAAATCTACAGGTTCTATGAGATATAACTGAGGGTGTTTGTGCTTTCTAGAATAAGGACTTGGGAAGATCTGACTCTACACCCCAAGTCAGGAGCATACAGTCCTCTGGTCCCTGAAACTGGGAAGAAGATTTTTTAAAGATGTCACAGATTCAGAATCCTTGCAACTGGTATTCTTGACTAATAAAGACAAGATACTGGTTGCTTAATTGAGGTGTGGAAAAGAGGAATAAACACTTGAACACAAAGCTAAAATTATTGAGTTTTTTTCTGAAGAGTCACTAAAGAGACTGATATGGTTTGGATCTGTGTCTCCAGAAAATCTCATGTTGAATTATAATCCCCAATATTAGAGGTGGGGCCTGGTGGGAGGTGATTGGATCATGGGGTGGTTTCTCATGGTTTAACACCATAGGTCCTTGGTGTTGTCATTCCAACAGTGAGTTCTCATGAGATCTGATTGTTTAAAAGTATGTGGTACCTCCGCCACCCACTTCCTCCTGCTCCAGTCATGTGAAATGCCTGTTCCCGTTTTGCCTTCTGCCATAATTGAAAGTTTCCTGAGGCCTCCCCAGAAGCAGATGCTGCCATGCTTCCTGCACAGCCTGAGTAACCAAGATTCAATTAAACCTCTTTTCTTTATAAATCACCCAGTCTCAGGTATTTCTTTATAGCAGTGAGAGAATTGACTTACAGAGACTGAAATAAAATTTGGCTTTCGTCCACCAGTGAGTACATGGTGGGGTGAGGTAAGGGACCTGGAAAACTTTGGGAGAGTGAGGATACTGAGATGCCTTGAGGGGGACCAGCAATGGCAAGCATTACAGTAATGCTATGGGATTTTCTCCTCTTCTCAAAGCCAAGAAAAACCTAAGAGGCCACAACTGGGCCTATTGGAAAGGAGAAGTGACCTCTTTAATACTTTGAGTGATCTGTGTTTTCAGACCAGTGTTCCTGTGCACAGTGGTCTTTAGGAGGGGTGCAGACTCCTTTGGGGAGGTATTTCGGAAGCGGCAACTGGGACTAGGTTGAGTCAACCTGGTTAGAATGAAGACCCTTTGCTTCTCAGACTGTCCAAGAGGGATCATCGGTCAGGTCAGAATTTCCCTGAACTAGAGAAGGAATCCCTTACTCTCCACCCTGGAAAAGACTCATTGAAAGAGCAGATGCTTGGAGTGTCTTGGAGGTAGGGATGGTGAACCATACTGAGACGGGTTTTGAGGGTTTGGTGATGTTTAATATTTAGAGTACTTGGCCTTCTGAAGGGATCTGAGCAGCTCTTTTCAACTGGGAGTTGGGGTAAACAAGATTGACAAGTCTGATAAGATGGCAACTAACTAAACAAGCAACTGGCCAGGTGCGGTGGCTCACTCCTATAATCCCAGCACTCTGGGAGGCTGAGGTGGGAGGATCATTTGAGTCCAGGAGTTCGAGACCAGCCTGGGCAACATGGTGAAACCCTGTCTCTACAAAAAATGCAAAAAATTAGCTGGGTGTAGTGGCATGTGCCTGTAGTTCCACCTACTGGGGAGGCTGACGTAGGAGGATCACTTGAACACAGGAGGTCGAGGCTGCAGTTAGCCATGATTTTGCCACTGCAGCCTGAGTGGCAGAGCAAGACCGTCTCTCAAAAAAATGAAAACAAACAAACAAACATGCAAAAACAAGCAACAAACAAAAGAAAGCACAATGACTGGTCTGTTAGACCAGAATTGGTGCAGAATGTAGAAGATGATCTCCATCCCCCTGCTGTATATCCACAGCAAATCCCTGGAACCAGCGAATGCTACCTCATTTGGAAAAAAGGTTCTTTGCAGATGTGATTAAGTTTAAGTACTTGAGATAAGAAGATAACTCTGGACTATCTGGGTGGCCCCTAAATGCCATCACAAGTACCCTTATAGTAAGCATCTTTATAAGCAAGAAGGAGAGAGACAGAAGACAAGGCTTTGTGACAGCAGAGCCAAGAGATGCAGCTGCAAGCCAAGGGATGCCAGCAGGCACTGGAGCTGTAGCAGGCAAGGCTCTGATTGTCCCCTCCAGCCTCTGGAGGGAGCACATCCCTAAGATCACCTTGATTTTGGACATCTGCCTTCCAAACCTGTAAGAGAATAATTTCCCGTTGTTTTAAGCACCCTGTTTGTGGTCATTAGTTTTGGCAGCTGGAGGAGATAAATGCAACAGAACAATGCACCAGACCAAGCCTCAGCAGGCGAGGATCAGGGAAGGCTGCCAGAAGTGGTGCTCATCCTGAAATTTCAGGATAAACTGAATATATTCATGAGAAGAGGAAGAAAAAGAAATATTCGATGCATAAGGAAGTGTGAAAACCTGGAGCCCACAGACAGCACAGTGTCAACTCCAAAACAAGGAGTGAGTGGCAAAAAGTCATGTGGACAGGCAGATGTGTCATGTTAAAGGAAGCATACACTTTGAGGACAACAGGAAACTACTACAGGATCTTAGTCAATGTCCAGATCAGGTAAAGTTGCCTGACGCTCTCTCTGGGAGCCCTCATCACAGTAGTTGAAAGAGATAAACGTACGGCTGGCCAAGATGATGAGGCAGGAGAATTGACAGGATTTTGATGGGGAAGAGTTGGGGAAAGGAAAGACTGAAGATTGATGCCTGGGTTTCTGGATTGGAGACAGGATGGCCAATGAGGCTCATGGCTTTAGATAAGGAATAATAGAGGAGGAACAGGGGGTTTCTACTGGAAGGGGACTTGGAAGCAAAATTATTGTCCCAGGCAAGACCAATCTCATGTATGGATAGTTGGGGCAAAATTTTGTGTTATTGTTAAAGCAGACTAAATATGGCCTGAGACGGACTCCATACTTCCATATTTGAGTCCTTATGAATGAACTGTAACCTAGCTTAATAGGCAGACAAGATTGAAAACCTAATTTAGGAGTATGGGCCTGTAATGATAGCTAAGTCTTGGCCAATCCCAGCAGCCATACTTCAACCACTCACAGACTGCTAATTGTTCAAACTGTGTTCAAATAAGGCAAATGCCAACCTGTAACCAATCCAGCTGTTTTTATACCTCACTTCTGATTTCTGTACATCATTTCCCTTTTTTGTCTGTAAATCTTCTTCCATCACGTGGCTGCGTGGAAGTCTCTGTGAATCTGCTATGATTCCGGAGGGCTGCCTGATTCACAAATTGTTCATTGCTCAACTAAACTCCTTTAAATTTAATTTGGCTGCAGTTTTTCTTTTAACATTATATACATATAATAAGGGGACACTACCTCTTGTACGGTTTTTATAATGGTGGTTATAATTAGCAGAACATGGAAATTGATTGAAAATAGGATTACAAAGCTGAAATCCACCATGTTAAAAATTCAGTATATTTCTGGTAAATACAAACAAGAAGGGAAAAAAGTGTAAGCATGAATGTATGTCCTGACAATCACAAAATCGTCTTTTATTTTACTTTTTCTTTCCAAATTTTATTTTAGATTCAAGGGGTACATGTGCAAGTGTGTTACATGGGTAAATTGTGTGTTGTGTCGCAGGGGTTTGGTGTACAGATAATTTTGTCATGAATAATCAGCATAATATTCTACAGGTGGTTTTTCAATCCTCACCGTCCTCCCACCCTTCACCCTCAAGTGGGCTGTGGTGTCTGTTGTTCCCCTCTTAGTGTCCATGTGTTCTCAATGTTTAGCTCCCACTTATAAGTGAGACCATAAGGTATTTGGTTTTCTGTCCTTGCATTAATTTGCTTAGGATCATAGCCTTCAGCTGCATCCATATTGCTGCAAAAGACAGGATCTCATTCTTTTTTACGGCCATGTAGTAGTAGTAGTAGTATTCCATGGTGTATACGTATCACATTTTCTTTTCTTTCTTTCTTTCTTTTTTTTTTTTTTTTGAGAGGGTCTCCCTCTGTTGTCCAGGCTGGAGAGCAGTGGTGCGTTCTCAGCTCACTGCAACCTCTGCCTCCCAGGTTCATGCAATTCTCTTGCCTCAGCCTCCCAAGTAGCTGGGATTACAGGTGTGTGCCACCATGCCCAGCTAATTTTTTGTGCATTTTTTTTAGTAGAGACAGCGTTTCACCATATTGGTCAAGCTGGTCTGGAACTTCCTACCTCAGGTGATCTACCCACCTCAGTCTCCCAAAGTGCTGGGATTACAGGCGTGAGCCACCACCCCCGGCCCCACATTTTCCTTATCTAGCCCACCATTGATGGATACTTAGGTTGATTCCATGTCTTTGCTACTCTGAATAGTGCTGTGGCAAAACCTTTCATGGCCTCCGGAATCTCCTTCCTTGGTCCTGCCACAGTTCCAGCAGTTTCCATATTGTTTATTATTTGGAATTACAGCACCAAAGTTCCTGTTAAAATGTAACTGCTACTTTGGGAAGAGACCTGATTCCTCATGACAGGCATTAAATACCTTAGTTTAGGCTAGTTTATCTGCTTGGCCCTCCAGCACGGGGAGCCCTTGGGAATAGAAGGAAAGCAGATAATGTTTCCTGAGGTCAGTATTGGCTGTTACCTGGGGAAGGCAGGTGAGAAAACATTAGGAGGCTCGAGGGGACACCATGAAGAAATGATTGGGGGAACTCTGAGAAGAAATGAGAGTAGTAAGCTTGAAGGAAAATCATCAATGCTTAGTTCTTTTCTCACTCAGCATATGCAAAAGGTGAGGTTTTGGAGCTCAGTATTATCAGTGCAGAGATTAGGGGAAGGACCACACCCAAAGTTTAAATTGACAGCTGGCAGAATCTCTGTAACATAAGAGGGAAGACAAGAGGTCATGGATGCAGTGTGGGCTTTACCTCTAAGAACTACATATTGTTCTTGTTCAGAGATAAAGGGCTTCTTGGCAGGGTAGTTTCCCTATTTCTTAAATGT
Organism: Homo sapiens; assembly: GCF_000001405.40. Classification (NCBI taxonomy): domain Eukaryota; kingdom Metazoa; phylum Chordata; class Mammalia; order Primates; family Hominidae; genus Homo; species Homo sapiens. The sequence goes on along the minus strand of NC_000010.11, from coordinate 33,645,954 downwards.
TTCTGTATATACTCTTATATTTTAAAAGGACTTCTTTTTTCTGCCTTAAAATTAACAATTGCTATGAGTTGAAAGAAAAAGAAAAGTAACTCTGAAGACTCTGATAATCTGTTAACCAGAACCAGGATTTAACACCAGATTGTGAAGCTCCTGGAGCCTGAAGGAAACAGAAACTTCAGCCTGATTTTATTTTTGTGGCTGAGTTCCTGTTAATTAGACACACATTAAATCATGACTGTTTAGTCATCTTCCTTTTTCTAGCACCTTCTAGAACTTACCTAGAACAAATCAGCACGATAGAGTGCTCCTGGTGTTTCTAATGCCATGCTTCACATCCTTGTAACTTCAGCTCTGACTGCAGCCACCTCTGGGTAGACAGTCTAGTATGGGTGTACTAGACTTCCAGAGAAACAGAACCAATAGGACATACTTGTATGTGCAAACATGCACATGTGCACACACAAAGACACACACAGTTGATCCTCTGTATCTTCCGAAGGCTCTGCGTTCATTGATTCAACCAACCAGGGATCAAAAATATTGTTTAAAAAATTACATCTCTTCTGAACATGTTCAGATTTTTTTCTTGGGATTATTCAGTAAACAATGCAGTATAACAACAACTTACATAGCGTGTACATGGTATTAAATATTGCAAGCAATCTAGAGATGATTTAAAGCAGAGATGTACAATCTTTTGGCTTCCCTGGGCCACATTGAAAGAAGAATTGTCTTGGGCCTCACATAAAATGCACTAACATGAACAATATCTGATGAGCTAAAAAAGAAATTACAAAAAAAAATCTCATGTTTTAAGAAAGTTTACGAATTTGTGTTGGGCTGCATTCAAAGCTGTCCTGGGACACATGCGGCCCTGGGTTACACAAGCTTGATTTAAAGTATACTGAAGGATGTGCCTAGGCTATATGCTAATACTACACCATTTTGTATGACACACTTGGTCATCTGTGGATTTTTGTATTTGTAGGGGGGTGGGGTCCTAGAATCAATCCTCCATGAATACCAGGAAACTACTGTGCGTGTGTATATGTATGTGTGTGTGTGTGTGTGTTTATGTATTTATATATATTTATTTATTTATTATAAATATTATATATATTATATCTAAAGAGATTTATAAATATCCATGATGTACTCAATGTTTAGCTCCCATATATATATATAGAGAGAGAGAGAGAGAGAGGGAGAGAGAGAGGGAGAAAGAGAGAGAGAGAGAGAGAGAAATTTACTCTAAACTGTTGGCTCACAGGATTACAGTTACAGAGGCTGAGAAATCCCACAGTCTTCCCTTTGCAGACTGGAAACCCAAGAAAGGTGTAGTTTGAAGAACTGAGGGCCACAGAGGGAGTGGTATAGATCCAAGCACAGTCTGAAGGCTTGAGAACCAGCATTGTTCCAGCTCAGTCAGTCAGGTAGAGAATGAGCAAATCCAACCTTTGTCTGCCTCGTCCTCTCTCCAGACCCTCTATGGATTGAGGATGCCCATCCACATTGGGGAGGGCCATCTGCTCTCCTCATTCCACCAATTCAAACACTAACCTTGTCCAGAAACACTCCCACAGACACACCAAGAAATAATGTTTCACCAGCTCTCTGATGGAAGCACATGAAATTAACCAGCACAATGGGCTTTCACTCACTTTCTGCTATCAACCTTTGCCTCAAGAACAGGCTTCCATCTTCATTTGGTCTCCAGGCTCCTCTGACACTGGAGGAGATCAGTCTGCCTGCTGCACATGCACAACCTGGAGTTAACACCCCTAGGGGTCTCCCTCAACCCCAGGCGCACTGGTGGATACATGCTCCTGCCTCCCACCCTTCTGGCGGACAGTTCTGAGAGGGGAGTTCCCAGTGATTTTCCTCTACCTCCATTGCCTACAGAGATGACCTCAACAGCACACTCTTATATTGGCATTTTCTACTTTCCTGTCTTATTCCTCTTACATGTTTGCTCCTAATCCTTGGAGTGGCTTCCCAAATCAAGTACCTGAACAAAGTCTTTGTCTCAGGCTTGCTGTTCAGGGAAACTCAAGATAAATTATGCTATGAATTCATCTTCAGCAAAACTAGGTTCTAGTTTCCCCATCAAAGACAAATCATTTAATCACATATCCCTTGTTTTCACTTCTGCAAAATGAAGACATTAGGCTGATGCCTTTGATCCTCATTCTTTCATGTATTCACTTACCCACTCGTTTTTCTTGCATGCGTTTAGATATTGTTTCATTTGCTCGTTCATTTTCATTCTTCATTTATTTATCTATCAACTCCATCTCTCTGTAATTCACTCATTTTTATTTATTCATTCATTCATCCATTTGTTCATTCATTTACTTATTTCTATTGTTATATATTTTTCATGCATTTCATCACTTATCCATTGATTTTCAGTCACTAATTCTTTTATTCATCTACTCATTTTTCATCCACTCATTAATTTTTTATTGATTCATTCATTTTCTTTCATTCATTTAGTAGTGTTTCATTCATTTATTGTTTATGCTTTAATTTGGCTTATAGTCATTTCAAAAAAATCTTCCTACCTTTCTTTTTTACTTCTTAACTCCTTTTAGTCCTCTCTCTCCTCTCTTTCTTCAATGACTGGTTACTAAGAATCTACTAAAATACCAGCCAGCAATATATCATTACTTGAAATAACACTGCTTAGTGAGTAATCCCTTCTGTGAATCAGAGATACATTTCAAGAGATCTGTGAGGGTGAAAAACAGTGTGGGCCCCACACACAGTAAAAGGAGAAATATGTATATATATATATATCCCCAATTCAGGCAGCAGCACATATTTCTAATAGATATCCACTCTGTTTAATCATTTTTGTTATTTATGAAAGCCATAAGAAGTCTTATTTTAGCCACTGAAGAAATAAAATAATTTCTGGTGATTCCTGGCTATGTAAGAGTTACTAAACAGCTTTATGGGAGTGTAATCTCATATCATTTAAGTGTTTATAAATCCAAAAACCAGATAAGTACTAAACTGAAAATGCAAAACAAAATGTGATTAAAACATGTTTTCTCCCAGGAGAAAAATCTCATTATCGAAAGAATCTATTAAATAACCTTTCTGCAAAAAGTGTGACTCCTTGAATATTTTTATGGGTATATGTTTGTTATTAAACATATGTGTATATATACACACAAACACACACACATATAAGTGTGTACTTTTATTTTTAGTTTTATGTGTACTTACATATAAATACATATATCAACATGTTTAATTACAAATATATACCCATAAACATTTTATATACATTATATATATATAAAATATAGTGACAAAATAAAAATGTTTAAAACTGAGCATTACAATCAGGAGGTTCACATCATTATGGTTGTTCTTTATTCAAGTTAGGGAATTGGTAAATTAGCAATGGAGGGTTTGAAATAATCTGTCAACATACAATCACCAAATTGTGTTTACACTCACACAGACACAATCCACAAACTTTACGGAATGAGGTACAATGTGTGTGCGTGATTTTCCAAATTTTTACAACTGAAATTGTAAAAATCTTATTTGTCATCAATATTGTATAATATACATATAGAAAATGACATAAAGAGCATCATGTATTTCTAACGAAGACCCACTCTGTTTAATCATTTTTTTGGTTATTTATGAAGGCCAGAAGAAGTCTTATTTTAGCCATTGAAGAAATAAAATAATTTCTATCCAGATGATTCCTAGCTTAATCAATAATTATAAAGTAAACACCCTTGTAACTAGCACCCAGTTCAAAAAAGAAAATGTTGCCGATATCCCTGGATGCCCCCAGGTCCTCCTTCTAGTCACAGTTCTCTCCTGCTTCTATGGTAATTATCTCCTTCACTTCCTTTATGCTGTTACAATCAGAGTATGTATCACTAAACATCATAGTTTAGTTTTCACCTGTCTTAAAATTTGCTATAAATGGAATTATACAACATTTATTCCTTTCTTTGTGGCTCCCAAACTCGACATTACATTTGTGAGATCTATCTGGGCTTTTATGTGTACTTGTATACTGTTCATTTTAATTCTTGTATAATATTTCATTGTATTAATTTACCGCCATTATTTATCCATTCACCTGTCTAGACTTTTGAGCTTTTTCCAGTATTTGGTTATAATAAAGAATGTTCCTGTGAATATTTCTATATACATAGTCAGGAGGACAAATACATTTCTCTAGGATATTCTTGAGGGTAGAATGGCTTGGTCACAGGGTGTATCATCAACTTTAGTAAACAATACCAAACTGTTTTCCAAAGTAATTTTACACCCCTACCGGCAGTATATAAAAGTTCTCCTTTGCTTCATATCCTCATCAACATTTGCTATTGTCAGTCTTAATTTTAGCCACTTGGGGGTGAGAGGTGTTATTTCATTGTACAGTCAGCCCTCTGTACCTGTGGATTCTGTAACCCTGGATTCAACTAACTGCAGATGAAAAATGTTCAAAGATAAAGTTGAATCTGTTTTGAACATATACAGACTGTTTTTTCTTGTCATTATTCCCTAAACAATACAGCATATCAAGTATTCACATAGCATTTACATTGCATTAGATATTATAAGCAATCTACAGATGATTTAAAGTATATGGTGGATGTTTGTAGGTTATAGGTAAACACTACACTATTTTATTTTATTTATTTTATTTTGTTTATTTTTGAGACAGAGTTTCACTCTGTCGCCCAGGCTGGAGTGCAGTGGTGCGATCTTGGCTTACCGTGACCTCTGCCTCTCAGGTTCAAGTGATTCTTGCACATCAGCCTACCGAGTAGCTGGGACCACAGGCATCGAGCCCGGCTAATTTTTTGGGGTCTCACTATGTTGGCCAGGCTGGTCTCCAACTCCTAGACACAAGTGATCCATCCACCTTGGCCTCCCAAAGTGCTGGGATTACAGGTGTGAGTCACTGTGCCTGGCCATCTATTATACATTATTTTATATCTGGGTCTTGAGCATGTGCAGATTTTGGTATCCATGGGAGGTCCTAGAACAAATCCCCTTTGGATACCAAGGGAAGACTGTAATTTTAGTTTGCATTTCCCTGGTGACTAATGAGATTGGAGTGCCTTCTATCATTTTATTCACCATTTGAGTATCCTTTCTGATGAAGTATTCTTCAGGTAGTCTTGGCTACGTTTTTTCTTCCTTTTTTTTTTTTCTTGAGACAGGATGTCGCTCTGTTACCCAGGCTGGAGTGTAAGTAGCATGATCTCGGCTCACTACAGCTTCAACCTCTGGGGCTCAAGCGATCCTCCCATGTCATCCTTTGGAGCAGCTGTGACCACAGGCTTGTGCCACCACTTCTGGCTAATTTTTGTATTTTTTGTAGCAATGGGGTTTTACCATGTTGTCCAGGCTGGTCTCAAACTCTTGGGCTCAAGCAGTGCTCCTGCCTTGGCCTCCTAAAGTGCTGGGATCACAGGCGCGAGTCACCACACTCAGCTTGGCTACTTTTCTATTGGGCTTTTGTCTCTTTGATTTTAACTTTTGATGTTTAAAAATATATATTCTGACTATATAAGATATATTTTGTTGCTTATATATGTTTCTTTCACAATAGTATCAAAAATTATCCAAAACACAGGAATCTGTCTGACAAAAAATGTACAGTGCTTCTGTGTAAAAAACCATAATGCAGAATTGGAAAGAATTAAAGAAGTCCTAAATAAGAGAGATACGAGGCATTCATGTGTTGGAAAAGTAACACTGCAAAGACGTAAATTCTTTCCCAAATTGTTCTATAGATGCAATACAATCCCAGCTAAAATATCAATAGTTTTCTTTCTAATAGAATTTGGCAAAGTGATTATAAAATGTATGTGGAGAAGTAGAAGGCAAAAAGTAGCTAAGATACTCTTGAAGAGGCAAGAGGAGGACCAGGAAGAAAAGGAGGAGATAGAGAACAGAGGATTTGCCCTACCGGATATCAAAACTCATTGGAAACTATTGCAATAAGGCATGGTGGTGTCAGTGCAGGGATAAACAGATCAGTGGGGCAAAACTGCAAATCCAAAACAGACCCACAGGGAGACTCAATGTGACCCAGTAGAACTATAAAGAAAGAACCATCATCTTAATAAACAGAGTTGGAAAAAATCGATGTATATATTGGAAAAAATCAGTTCCAAGTGGATTCTTGATCTAAGTTTAAATGCCAAAATGGTAGAGTTTTCAGAAGATAATATGGGAGGAAATTTTCATGACCATGAGGTATGGAACTATTTTTTGAAAAGGAGAGAAGAAGGACTAACTATAAATAAAAAGATGAACAAATTGGACTATGCTAAAATTAGTAGTGTATTCATCAAAGGATAACTTAGAGTGTGAAAAGCAAAGTCACAAAATGGAAAAAAACTTTAACTATTTTAATTGTAAATCTTCCTAGAATCCATGACACATTTTCCTGTTTTTTTAAAATAAAAAAGTAAAAATATAGAAGCATAATATAAAGTAATAAAGTATAATTTTTTTAAAGTAGCCTTCTATGAAAGGGGAACTCATTGAGCAATTCATTTACTTTTCAGACACAAAAGAAACCTCTAAGCATTTTTTGGAAGTGCTTTCCTCCTTGGAAGATTCTAGAAGCTGCAAGTCATACTTTAATCCACGTTTCCTTCCTTTCCTAAGTTTACCTTTTTATCCTTTCCTACAGAAAGTTGCAGAGGACTTTCAAGTCATTCGGCAGCCTTGAACCTCCTTAGAGAGCCGCTGACATGCACACAGCGTTTGGCTTTCAACAAACAACCTGCCAGATTTTCCTGGCCTTCTCTTCTCATTAAGGTTGCAAGGTCTGGGTTTGGTTAGTCAGAAGAAGGGGAATTTCCTGACTATTCATTTGATCATGTGATTTTTATGAAAGCTAGTACACCTGATAGCTCATGAGACATCTAGGTCCCTGTTTTCACAAATTGGTGATTGGGCAAGATACCTTCACTACAATTTGGTTTTTAGAAAACCAAGCTGCAAAGCCACCATCTTTTCTTTCTGCACATCTGCACATGATAAATTATTTCTATTCCCTTTAATCCATTTTTTATTATTCTTCAAAAGTTTCTCATGCTTTTTCTCCCCAGTGTTGCTGAAAATAAAACCCTGCCAAAACCCAGTTCTGTTGTCGGGAGGCCAGTATCACGTAGGATCATCATTTCTGTAAGTTAATAAATTAGTATGTTAGCAAGGGGTGATTTGAAATTAGATAATAGCTCGAACTTAAAAAATACATGTATTCATGAAGTCCATTAACTCAAAAAAAAAATTTATCGCCACCAATATCTTCACTCATTTTGTGCTTCTGGGCTTTAGTGCTGCTGACTGCGAGGGGTTCAGTGGAGGGGCTTGAATGTCTGGTTTTCTGCTTGTGCCAACCATGAGTATATCAGCAACAGGCCCATTTAGGTTCCTCAGATAACTTTCCACCTGGAGCTAGCAGATTCTTATTTCATTTCCATGCTGGTGGTTATTATAGTAAAGGCTGCAGTAATTCTCTGCTCTCCTGAAGCCAGCTTTTTATTCTCAAGTACCCTGAGGAATTAAATGGCTGTGTGTAATTTTTCCTCATTATGGAGAAAGTTCTCAAATTGCATTACAAATAAATAATACTGAATGCTAATACCAAACCCTTCTCCAGTCACTCTCCAAGCCTTAATTAATTAGATCACACAACCCCTCTGTCACCTTGTGTCTTAGTCCATTTGGGCTGCTATAACAAAATACATCAACTGGGTGATGTATAAACAACAGATATTTATTTCCTGAAGTTTTGGAGGCTGAGAAGTACAAGATCAGAACACCAGCAGATTTAGTGTTGGGTGAGGGTATGTTCCTTATAGATGATGTCTTCTGCCTGTGTCCTCAAGTGGTGGAAGGGACAAACTCCCTTGGGTCTCTATTATAAGGACTCCAATCACATCCAGGAGGGTTCCACCCTCATGATTCAATCACCTCCAGACAGAGCCCGCCTTTTAATACTATTGAGACTGGATTATTCCCATGACCTTGACCCCTTTCATGGGTGGGAACTGGAGTGGCTCATTTCACTCAGCCCACTGCTGGCCACTCCTTGAGAGAGGGAGTGCGTGAGCAAGCAAGTGCAGGAACTGGAGCAAATGAACGTTGGAACCAGCTGGTCACTCCTCTCTGGCTGGAGCACGCTCTGTGCAGGCCCCACAGCAATGTCCAAGCTCCTGCCCTCTCAGCACTCAGGTTTTGTTTTGTATTTTTGTTTTATTTTTTATTTCTTTTTGCTCTTGTTGTCCAGGCTGGAGTGCAATGGCATGATCTTGGCTCACAGCAACCTCTGCCTCCCGGTTCAAGCAATTCTCCTGCCTCAGCCTCCTGAGTAGCTGGGATTACAGGCATGCACAACCATGCCTGGCTAATTTTTTGCATTTTTTTGTAGAGATGGGGTTTCACCATGTTGGCCAGGCTGGTCTTGAACTCCTGACCTCAGGTGATTCACCTGCCTCAGCGTCCCAAAGTGCTGGGATTACAGGTGTGAGCCACCCAGGTTCTTGTCCTGTGTCCAGGAAGAATCAGGTCACATGAACAAATTGAAGGGTAGTGTACATGGAGGATTTTATTGGGCAATGGAAGTGGAAACGGCTCTCAGTGGAATGGGGAGTTGGAAAGGGGATGGTGCAGGAAGAAGGTGATTTTTCCCTGAAACTGCCCCATCTGAAGTTAATCACATCTTTCTGTAGTCTCCAATGGTCAGTTGCTTCTCTGCTTGCCACTCAGCTGCTTGTATCCCCAGTGTTCAACTGCTTGTATTGCTCTGCCAGCTGAAGTCTTTTTATGGGCATAGGATAGGGGCAGGGCAGGTCAAAAAAGCAACATTTGGGCAGAAAAACGGGGTCAGCTGTTTTCATCTAGGGCTGCAGTTCCAGGCTTAAGGGTGGGGTTTAGCCGGCAGCCCAGCCATTCTGTATCACTATCCCATGGGGTGTTAGGTTTCAACATATGAAATGGGCTGGGGGACACAAACACTCAGACCATAGCACCTTGGTCAATGCACCACCCTCATTTTAGTGAGTCGTTTGTGATTATTGAAAAGTTGAGGATGGTTCATTTGGGTGGAATGAGATCAATAATGCAATGTATTTTCAATGTGGTTAGAGAAGTGAAATGTTCCGCTTTTTGATATAAAAGCTTAGATGCTAAAATATTTGGGAGAACTTAATTCTTCACCAGGGACCACTGCTGACATGGTATAAGACATCTGATTAAGCAGAGTGATTGGCGGGTTTGTCTGTGCTCTAACGTGGGAACACCCACTTCCAGTAAAATGAGCTACAGTAGTTTCCAGAGCAGAGATGCCATTTTTCCCCCTAGAAAATCAGTCTGTCCTTATGTCTAGAGTGACATTCTCTGGATTCCATACAACAATCATCCTCAAACTTTAGTGTGCAAATAAATTTTCTGGAAAACTTTCTATAAATCTAGATTCTGAGACTCCACCCATAGAGATTCTATTGAGGGAGTCCAGGTTTGTGCTCGGGAATTTGCATACTTTTTCAACCAATTTCCAAGTAAATCTAATACAAATGATCCCAGAGATGTTGCTAAAACTAAGCAAACGTGACTGGAGCTTGGGGAGTTTTTTGGCAGAGATCTCCAGTCTTCCGTCTTTCTGATGAAGAACTAGAGCATTTATCCTATTGTACATCTGATTTTGATCAGCACTGCCTACCAGCAGGTCTGTTCAAATGAATTAACTACAAAATGTTCCCTCAGGTCGCCTAAGCAAATTGATCTGCTAGATGGAGTTGTTTAGTACTTTGGAAAAAGTCTGCCATAAACAGCAATTTCGGTTTAACAGAAACAACATTAGGTTATCCTTTGTCCTCAATTCACTAAGCATAAAGATTTAGGCTTAGACCTGACAACATGTCAGCTGGCTAGTTGATGATAGCCATGGATAGTCGTAGCTCCAGATGCTATGCTTGCAGCTTGCAGTCTGGCTGGTGACATAGGAGATGCATATTTGAAAAAGGCATAAGGGACATTTCAAAAAAAAATGTAAATGCAAAAGAGTGCATGTCCCACAAAACGTACAAACAGATTTTGGTCTGAAACACTCCTGACTTTCCTTCAGCAGAGACTCACGTGGAAAGCCATAATGGAACAAAATGGCAGATCAAATCTGAGTTATTCTTGTTGGCACTACTGTGGCATGCATACAGTGGTCCCCCCTTATCCGCAGGGGATAATTCCAAGACCCCCACTGGAGGCCTGAAACCACAGAGAGTACCAAACCTACATAGACTGTGCTTTTTTCTAAGCATGCATACCTGTGGCAAAGTTTAATTTATAAATTAGGTGCAGTAAGAGATTAGTAATAATAACTAGTAATAAAATAAAACAATTATAACAATATACTGTAATAACAGTTAATGAATGTGGCCCCCCCCTCCCTCTCTCTAATTATCTTACTCTACTGGACTCACCAATTTTTGAATGGTAGTTGACTATAAGTAACTGAAACTACAGAAAGCAAAACCTCGAATAAGGGGGGACCACTGTACTTACTGTACATACCCAGACTAAACGTTTCCAGCAAATTTGAATGTGAAAACATCCAAAGTGATGCTAGCGTGTAGATGTATCATTAAATGTGTGTTTGTGGGCTGGGGATAGGGGCCTTGCCTGTTCTTTCTGTGTATCATAAACAAGCCTTGCTTAATTCATGTTGAATATATTTTTTTTCTGTAAACAGAGATTATATTCTAAAGCTTGCTTGTTTTGTTGGTTTGAGTAGCATTATTAGTTTTAAAAGAGAACCAGTGAGTATAAAAAGTAGCCTGGTCAATATGTATATACACCAAATATCTAAGTCTCTTTCATGGAGATATATGAGATTGATATTGTTTTGTTTATTCTTCTGTATACATTTATTAGAATCCACTACTTCAGCATTCAAAAATGTTTTCTACATGATGTGTTACACAGCAATCAACCCCTAACTTTTTGAAAAATCCAAGTTGACTCGGTAAATTACAATAAATTCTATTTTGCAGAATAAAATTGTTCAGTTGATCAGTTAGAAACTGTTTTTTTATTTCTTATTTTTGCAATTTCTTGAAATGTTCCAATGCATTCAATCAATAAACTGTAGAATCACTTTAACTATCAATCTTAGAATTATCTCTCAGGTCCTCCTTACTTCTCTGAATCTAGACTATTTTTTTTAAAGCCTCCAAGAAAGGTAAGCTTGGATTATGTCATAAGTAAAGAAAGCCCTAGCTATTGTAGCAGAGAGGAGCTTTGAGTGAACAAGAATTGCCTCCTACTGCCACACTCATCTCGTGGGTCTTTCTTCCATGATGCACACAACATCACCACTGTGGGGAAAGGAATCCTTCACCACGGAAGATCTTCCTGTCCCATGTTTTTCCAGGCCTCCACCAACTCTGGACCCATCTCCTTGGCTGAACAGGCACTTACCATTCCCCAAACACTCCTGGGTGCTTCTTCACATTTCTAGCCATGGTTCATGACTCCCTTCACCTAAATATCTTCCTCCTTTCTCACCTCACATGCTGACTTGTCATTCAAATATGGTGCAAAAGTCATGAACTTGACAAAGCTATCATCAAGCCTTGCTATGGTCTTTTTTTCCTGGGTCTCACTCTGCCCAGACTGTCCCAGCAACTGTGACAGTTTGTACAGAGATGCATCTCTTATCTTGGCATCCCACTAGATCATAAGTCCCTTTAAAGAAAAGATGACTGGGGCCAGGCGCGGTGGCTCATGCCCATAATCTCAGCACTTTGGGAGGCGGAGGCTGGTGGATCACCTGAGGTCAGGAATTTGAGACCAGCCTCGCTAAAGTGGTGAAACCCCATCTCTACTAAAAATACAAAAGTTAGCTGGTCACGGTGGTGGGCACCTGTAATCCCAGCTACTCAGGAGGCTGAGGGGGGAGAATCGCTTGAACCCTGTAGGTGGAGGTTGAAGTCAGCTGAGATGACGCCATTGTAATCCAGCCTGGGGGACAAGAGTGAAACTCCATCTAAAAAACAAAAAACAAACAAACAAACAAAAAACAACAACAAAAAAAGAAAAGACAATTGGAGTCATCTTTTTATCTCCAGCACCAAGCATTTTCTGGTGCTTAATAGATGAGGGCTATACATTTGATGAATACATGAATGAATGAATTGGAGGTGAGGTATATGTATGCAAGGTCATGTATGTCTCCTACAGACCAGAAGGAAAAACATCATGCAATTTAATCATCTTGGATTATTTTTTATGAACATCGATTGTGTACCAGGATAGAAAGCTCTACCTTCAGTTACACTGTGTACTGGCCTAGTGGGATTGCACAGTAGGCTCCTATTAAAGGTAGCCAAATTAAGGTGGGAAGACAGGACCATATCAAACTACTAGCCACCTTTGCCACAGACTATAAAGCCAAGTGCCATACAGTACTTCCTACGGTTTTTCTATATTTTGAATTTCTGTACCGTTGTGTTTTGCACGTAGTAAATGCTTAGTACATATTGTTGTAGGACAAATGAATAAATAAATGAATACATAAAAAGAATTGATTCCATTTTTAAAACTTGGGCACTCATTATTTTGATAACATTTGAATTAAATTAAGATTCCTCATTTATTTGTATCTTTCAAAGGACCTACTCAATGTATAGTCTTCGGGTTCCTTTTTTTTGTTTGTGTTTTGAGACAGAGTCTTGCTCTGATGCCCAGGCTGGAGCGCAGCGGCACAATCTCGGCTCACTGCAAGCTCCGCCTCCCGGGGTCACGCCATTCTCCTGCCTCAGCCTCCTGAGTAGCTGGGACTACAGGCACCCACCAACAGGCCCGGGGTTTCTTAATTGATGGTGCTGATGGTGATATGAGAGCTTCCTCTATTGGCTCACCCCAAATGTTTCTTGGTATTTCCCATTTTCATCCCCCTGGGAATACTCTAATGGTGGAAGCTATTTTTTTCATTTTACTTTTAATGTTAGGCAGAAAGCAGAGATGTGAGTTTAATAGCACATTATTTATTCCTGCACCTCAGGGGGAGGAGAATAGAAGGGAATGTGTTTATGAATGTAATATAGTGTGGATTAAGGTATGGAGAGCTTTTTATCATGGATAGTCTCATTACAGATGTTGCCAGCACCTGCTGAGGATAAACTGCATTAGAAAAATGTCTCCTCAACCCACCCCATTTGGGGCTTCTTTTTGCTTTACTATTCTAAGCCCTGTCTCTCAAGGGTTTCTCCTTCAGAGTTAAGCTTTGCTCTTTGTTGAAACTTGGCAAACAAAATTTCAGCTTGGGAACAGTCTCTTCTCTCTGCAGCCACATCTCCCCCACCCTCTGTTTATTAATTTCTTCCCAGAACTGCCCAACTGCATTTAATTGGGTACACATTTTGCAAAACAAAAAATATGGCAATTAAACCTTAATCCTCCTCCTTTATTTTAGGCTGCTTCTAACTACACAAATGTTTTGATGACTTCCTCCACTAATCCTTCAAAAGAGAAAGAAACTTTCAGCTAAGTGGTGATGTCCCAGATACTTGAGCGTAAATTCTTCTTTGCAAGTTCAGAGTTGAGAGATGGTCAAATCCTATCCTTGGTGTCATGCAAAAGTCTTTGTCTTTCTTTCTTTTTTTTAGGGATGAAAATCCAGATTGAAGTGGTTAAGCAGCTTCCAAGAATGTTCAGACCCTGCTTCCAAGTACAGTTCTGCTGCCCAGAGTCCACACACTACACATGCAAGCCCAGGCAGTGGGCCAGGAGGTCTTCTTGTCTTGCCTGGGTCTCTACAGCATCCACTCTTAGGGATCTGATGGTGCAGCGTTGCCTCCCCTGAGGGCATGTTACGGGGAGCTGCCATAGTGCACAGCCTCTGGCTGAAATTCCATCATCTGGAAGGTATTGCAGCAGAGTTAGTGCCTCCCCAACACACCTCAGTGCATCTATGCCCCCGGGCTGCCTGTCTCCCCTTGTCTGAGTTCCTCTCCTGAGCAGTTGGCTCCCTCACTCCAGCGGTGACCACTACTCTCAGCCACTGTGAAATTCTTTGTGGACTCAGTGAAGGATCTCTAAGTGGTGTGAACCCGATGCCTTCCCCAGACTGCAGTGCCCTGGGAGGATCACACTGGGACCTTCTCCTCCTCCCCACCTTGATCTTCGTGGTGCCGTTCTTCACTCAGTCTTCATCTACAGTGTGAATCAGCTGATGAACCTAGATTAAAATAAACATGATGGAACTCGGGAAGCAGAGGTTGCAGTTTCTAGGGAAGACATGTTAAATAGGAACTCAAAAACAGAAGTGATGTCTTGGGCAGCCATGAGAAGGTGGATCGCCACATCCAACCTCTAGAAGCAAGCTTTTAGGGTAAAAGAGGTGCAGCTGGCCATGTCTCAGGATTTCCTATGAAACTCATGACCACTGGGGAGGTTAGATAAGCATCTTTGAGAGGGGTTTTCCATGCTACAGGCATTGTTTCTTTATGACGGCTTATCTAGGCTGTGGGTGATGTTTAAAGACCTTGCTGGAGAACACACTGGTTTGCAGGAGTCAAACATTGGTCATCATGGAGATGGTTTCCCTCCAAGATGGCATCACTGTTGCCATGCCACAGGTTATTTTCTTATACAATGAACCCTTTGCTCTTTCCCTTCTTTCCTTCCTTTCTTCCTGCTTCACTGGAATAGGCATCTTGATCTTGGCTCCTTCAGCTTCCCAAGAATTTCATTCCATTGTCTATATTTCAACCACTTCTTTTTTCTTCTCTGTGTTGATAAATATTTTCTCCATTGCCCTCATTGCTTTCTCTTTCCTTCCCTGACTAACCACAGTTCTTGAAAACAGTCTCTGTTCACTGCCTCCACGCTGTCACTGACCATTCAATATTCAGCTAACTGGCCCTCCGGCTTTTCCAGCACCCCATGACTCCACTGAAATATGTTCTCAACAAAGTCATCAGTAATATTTGAGTTGCTAAACACAGTAGTATTTTATGTAATGTCTTTAAGTCATGACTGGATGTCTCCTGTGCTCTTTTAAATCTATTCTGTCTTCTGCACCATGCTTTGTGTGCAGGGAAGCTGAACTCCACCAGTTGCATCAGTGGTGTCTTTGTCCTCTGGCTGCCAGTGAGTTTGGCCAATGGAAAGTCCTAGAGATGATAGGAAGAGAAAGAAGCATCAGAGATGGGCAGTTATTTTCCTTCCAATGGACATACTAAGGGTAGGCTGCCTGCTACTCTTGTCAGAAGTCACAGCTCCTGTTAGGCTGTCCTTTCTAATCAGTTATCTCTCTCTCACTCTCTCTCTCTCTTCCTCCCTCTCCTTCCCACCATCCCTCATTTTCTCAGGGTTCCAGTATTTCCTTCCCTTCCTTCTTTCTTTCTTTCTTTCTTTCTTTCTTTCTTTCTTTCTTTCTTTCTTTCTTTCTTTCTTTCTTTCTTTCTTTCTTCTTTCTCTCTCTCTTTCTTTCTTTCTTTCTTTCTTTCTTTTTTTCTTTCTTTCTTTTTTTCTTTCTTTCTTTCAGACAGGGCTTACTCTGTTGCCCAGGCTGGAGTGCAGTGGCAGGATCTCACTGTAGCCTCCACTTCCTGGGTTCAAGCGATCCTCCCACATCAGCCTCCCAAGTAGCTGGGATTACAAGCGTGCAGCACCACAGTCAGCTAATTTTTCTGTTTCCAGTAAAGATGGGGTTTCACCATGTTGCCCAGGCTGGTCTTGAACTTCTGACCTCAGGTGATCCTCCTGCCTTGGCCTACCAAAGTGCTGGAATTACAGGAGTGAACCACTGCTTCCGGCCCCAGCATATACTTTCTCCTCTCAGCCATCCAGGCCAACAGGTGCTAACCTCACTCTCTACCCTCCACTGTTACCTGCCACCATGTAGCCCATTATTATCTTTAACACTCTGGATTGCAGGAGTCAAATAGCCTACACCTGACCATACCTTTGTAAATAGTCCCTTTACTAAACTGTCTTCAAATTTCTCAATTTTGGGGATGCCATCTCTTTCCTGCTGGGACCATAACCTATGGAAGGTAATTTAACACTGCCAGCCTCTCAATCTCTCCCTGGTCTTATGATACAGTCTCTTGTTCTCCTAATTCTCCAGTTCTGCCTGTCAGTGCTCTGGGACAGCGGTAAAGTGAGAGCTTAAAGAAGTGCGCTCCAGAGTCAGGCTGCAGGGATGGCTCTGCCACTGACCAGCTACGCAACCTTGAGGCATTCACCAAACCTCTCTATACCTCAGTCTCTTCATCTATAAATAACGGATACAATGCTTCCCTATCTCAGAGTGTTGTGATGAAGATGAAATGGATTAAAGCAAGCCTGTCCAACCCCCGGCTTGTGGGCCACATGTGTCCCAGGATGGCTTTGAATGCAGCCCATCACAAATTCATAAACTTTCTTAAAACATTATGAGATTTTTTAGAGATATTCCTTTTTGTTTTTTGCTCATCAGCTATTGTCAGTGCTAATGTATTTTATGTGAGGCTCAAGACAATTCTTCTTCTCCCAATGTGCCCCAGGGAAGCCAAAAGATTGGACACTCCTGGGTTAAAACATGGGATGCCCTTAGAATAGTGCCTGGCACACAGTATAGAAGCCATAAATGCTGGGCAATGTCATTATTGATTGGTTGTGTCCTCATCATTGTTGATTCTCTCCTCTCTTCCACCCATCTCCTAATTGTTGATGCTCCCCAAGTTTCTACCTGTAGCCACTCTTCTGCTCACTATTTTAAAGGATCACTGGAATGATCTGAAGCTATTATTATGATAGTTAATATGTATTGCACTCTTTCTAGGTAACAGGCATTATACTATATGCCAAGTTTATGCATAAGCCTTATATAGGCAGTGTGTTCGGCATGTATCTCTCTGAGCCTCAGTTTCCTCCTCTATAACATGGGAATAACACTAGTACCTAGCTGATAAAGGCTTTTTTTTTTTAATGAATTTGATAACTCAATACAAAAAACCCTGTCAGAAAGGTACTAGTATGGCCAGGCACTGTGGCTCACGCCTGTAATCCCAGCACTTTGGGAGGCCATGCTGGGCGGATCACTTGAGGTCAGGAGTTCCAGACCAGCCTGGGCAACATAGTGAAACCCCATCTCTACTAAAAATACAGAAATTAGCCAGATGTGGTGGTGCACGCCTGTAATCCCCTGTAATCCCAGCTACTCAGGAGGCTGGGGCAGGAGAATTGCTTGAACCCAGGAGGTGGAGGTTGCAGTGAGTTGAGATTGTGCTACTGTGCTCCAGCCTGGGTGACAGAGCGAGACTCTGTCTCAAAAAAAAAAACAAACAAAAAAAGAAAGGCAGTAGTATTTTCCCCAAGTTATATAGAAGAGGCGATAATGCACTTGGAGGTAAAGTCACTTCCCAAAGTCACAGAACAGGACAAAGCCAGCATTCAAGTCTTTCCCGGCTTACTCCAGGCTCACATCAGCACAAAGGAATAACTTAGTAGAGTCTGCTTCCCAAAGGCAGGAAAAACACCACGGCATAGTAAATATGTGAGCGTATAAAGCCAGCCCCACGATTTCTTCAATATGCTAATAAAATCATTTTCACAGTCCTATTTGTTGAGTGCCTGAGCATCAACCAGACATATCTGCTCTGTCCACACAGGCAGGAAATCAAACTGGGCAGCATTTGACAGACAGCAAGACTGTTTTATCCTTTTCAAAACCCAGTGAAACGAGAAAAAAAAAATCAGCGGATATTCCTCAAGCATCTCTCTCCCCTTTGGGCAGGAGGTTCACACTAACTTCAAAGGGAGTGTCTGCTGAACTGGAGTTAAGGAAAACGGTACCCAGAAGAATTGGGGTTGAAGAGTATAAAGAATGACAAGGCATGGATTCTGGGAAATTGGCTTGAATAATCTGCAGTGCTTTCTAGCAATATACATGATTAAGTTTTCCGTGTAAAGTGTGATTTTCTTTTATCTCACAAGTGTCTCTTTAAACAATGTTTTTAATTAGGACTCGTTTTATTTTACTTCTTTATTAGGGAAGCTTCACACTTAGCCTGACGTTAGAATGTTCTTAGAAATAAACAGTTTCCATAAAAGCAAAATTTCTTCATAAGATCATTACTATTATGTTGTGTGGGAAATGGAATAGCACCTCTGGGAATTTAATGCTGTCAAGAGTCGATTTCAGTAATACGTGAGGTTCTCCAGCAAGATCCACACTGTCTCTGTTCTCTGATGCTTCTCAGGAAACTGGAGGGGAGAATCAACCCCTTGCCACTGATTAAAATCAAAGGCATTTTCTTACATGAATAAATAAATTATCTCTTAAAAACACAGCCCCTTTTTAACATCGGAATCCCCTGGTGCTTCTTGGTTGAACCCTGTAGAAAAAATTCACCATCACAGCATAGGGAGCAACTGCTGTAGAGTGAAAACCACTCCCGTTCTTTAAAATGTGATTTCAGCTTTTCTTTTTCTTCTTGCTTTCATTTGAGGATTGGGAAGAATGAGGAAAGAATCTGTCAAGATGAGACACTTTCTCTAGTGCACAGAATTTCAAATCTATCTGGTGCGTGTAGAATTTCTCACCTCACAGCATTGCTGAAGACTGGCCTTCAAGAAACCCATGACTGGAAGGATGGCCCAGCATGGCTGGGGCCCCTGCTGGTCCTCAGGCAGCCCCCTTCCCCACCTCCTTCAATGACTCATGTGTAATATAACATCTTAGTGTGAATGTAAGCATTTTAATATGAAAAGGATTGATTTTGCCACTGACATGGGATTCTAATGATTGGAAACAATATATTGATTTTTTTTTTTTTAATTAAAGCCATCTTCCCACTCATAATGGAAGGTCTTGCCCTTTGTGAAATTTATATCCATAGTCCTTGGGTGATGCCTGCAATTACAGCTCCCAGTGGCTAACACTACATTTGGGAAGGAGAAAGGACTAATAGGAGAGAAATTATTCTCTCTGTCTTCTTGGTAACGGGCTTTTAGTGTTGGTCAAAGGTGGCTGATGGAAGGGTGGATAAATGTTGAAGTGTGCCCCACAGCACAGGCCCAGACGGACAAATTCCCCAGGGCTTCAAGGCTGCTCCTAATTCATGTTCTCAGAATTCCCTTTATCCTTGTCTTGCTCCTTAAAGCATCCGGAAGAGGCCAATAAAGACACTACACTTTGAGAAAATGGTTTAATTTAGTCCCATTTGGTCAGTGTCTCTTCCCATCACTGATGTCATTCCAGTACTATGATTGGGATCTTGTCCTCAGGTCCTACAGCTCAGAGGTCAGTTCTACCCAGCTTGGCTTAAAGCAAATCATGAAATAGGTAACTGGTGAAGATTTGTTTGGGTTTCCATGTTATTCCGCCACCCTTCTCATCACCACCTCATACATGCACACGATTCAGAGGAGCTCTTTGAGACCCTCCCAGGACATTCAAGATGATCTGAGTCTGGGCCTTTGTCTTGAGAGAGTCCAGTGAAGACACTGAGATCAGAGATGTTGAGTCACACATCCAAAGCCAGGCCAGGGCTGGTTCTCTTATCCCCAGTGCCATGTTCTCTTTCCTATACCATATTCCTTCAAGTCCCAAATACAACAGGTTTTTTCCAAATTCTCTTGGTGACTTACATTTCAGTCTGTGGTAGTCTTTCATGTGGATCCTAGCATGGACCTCGACTCCCTCCTTCATCTCTAGTTTATTCCTTCCATCATCTGGTTTCACTTCCCTCTCTCCTCCCCACCCTCCCATCACCTGCAGATTCAGCACCCAGGATTCCTCCTTCTGATCCCACCACCTCCTCAGTGTCCCACCGAGATTTCCTCTCCTCCTCACACCCTCTTGCTCCTCTCTGTTTCCTTCTACCTCTATCCACACTTAGCTGTAAATGACATATAAGGAAGGGCATATGGAGTTAGGAGACTGGGTTCTGATCCTGACTCTGACACATACTAGCTGCTATGGACTAAACTGTGTCCCTCCGCAAACTCTGTATGTTGAAGCCTAAACCCCCAATGTGACTTTATTTGGGTATAGGCCATTTAGGAAGGTAATTATGGTTAAATTACCTTCCATAAGGGTGAGACCCTAATTTATAGAACTGGTGAATTTATAAAAAGAGGAAGAGACACCAGAGATCTCTCTCTCCATCTTTCTTTCTCAATGTACACAAATAGAAGAAAAGTCATAACAGGAAGGTGGCTTTCTGCAGCCCAAAGAGAGAGCCCTCATCTGACACTAACCCTGCTGGCGCATTGATCTGGGACTTCCAGTCTTCAGAACTGCAAGAAAATAAGTTTCTGTTGTTTAAGCCACAGAAGCTACAGAATTTTGTTGAGGCAGCCTGGGCTGCCTTCTTTTTTTTACTTTTTTGAGTATTAGATTTTTCATCAGCAAAAAGGAATCAAATGTGCTTGTCTCATAGGTTGTTGTGGAGATTGGCTAAAATAATATTTGTGAAAATGTATGTAAACTAAGAAAGAAACCAAACATAAAAAATTATTTTGCATAGTCCCCTTCAGCCTTGCCAACCAATTTGAGAGTTCTAGGCCAGCACAAATAGCTCATAGTTGTGGATCAGTGTTTATTCCTCCTGAGTGACATATCTGCCTCCTGGCAGTATCTTTTCAAGGTAAATAAATGCCCAGTGGATGACTCTAGTGGAGGCATTGTAGGCACCAATATAGACTTGAGGAGAAGACTGCTTCACATGCAACCTTTCTAACCTCTCTAGAAAGCCCCACCTGCAAGCACTCTCTCTCTGCCATGCTTAAGGCAAGCATTTGACTTAAGGGAAACAAAAAGGGGAAAAGTCATAATATGGTTTGGATGTTTGTCTCCTCCAAATATCATGTTGAAATTTGATCCCGTGTTGGAGGTGGGCCCTGGTGGGAGGTGTTTTTGTCATGGGGCTAGAACCCTCATGAATGGCTTAGTGCCATCCCGACAGTAATGAGTGAGCTCTTGCTCTATTAGTTCCTACAAGAAGTGATTGTGAACAAGATGGGCACCTTCCTCCCCTCTCTCTTACTTCCCACCATGTGATATCTACACACCTGCTCCCCTTCACCTTCTACCATGGGTGGAGCTTCCTAAAGCTTTCACCAGAAGCAGACGCTGGCACCATGCTTCTTGTGTGGCCTGTAGAACCATGAGCCAAATAAGCCTCTGTTTCTTATAAATGACCCAGCCTCAGGTATTCCTTTACAGCAACACAAAAGGACCAAGACAAGGCCTTAACCTGAAATTCATAATCCAGAAAACAGGAGGGCTTCCTTAAAATAGAGGTGTAGCCACTGTAAAGAGCAAAGGCAGGGGCTCAGCCACACAACCCTCCAGATCTGGGGCCGGGTGTCTTCTTCATCTCCAAGCTTAGCAACTGCAGGGGGCTGACAATGGAGTTTCTCAGTCTGATTTGTTGCCTCAAATACAGACTCCGAGCTAGCCAAGAACATGACTGAGCCACCAACAGGCCCTTAGAATATCAGAAATATATCTGAGAATTAATCACTTGTCAGGTATTCATTCCTTGGAGTGGCTGGGTTTGTTATTTTGTGTCTTTACATAGTTTGGTATGAGATATGGGTAGAGAGAGCACTGGGTCTTTGGCAAAAACCAAGGATACACCAAGCTGCTGATTCCCTTTCATGTAAGGCAGGCTCCAAACCTCTGCATGAAGAGAGGGGAAGGAAAAGCAGTGAGTAAAGTGAGCAAGCTGCTCTCTCTGGCTCTTCAGCAGCTCAGGCCAACTCTGGAAGCTTCCTGGAAATGAGCTCCCCAATCCCTCACTCATGGGACACACTGGGTGGACAGTTGAGCCAATGAGGGTCTTCAGACATTGAGTTTATTAAATTCACAGGTTAATTTGTGATGGTGGCAAACATACCATTTAGGACCACTCGGCAGGTAGTAGACATCTTCTAGGAGGCAGACTCTGTCTATCCCTTTTGTCCACTGTTCACACTGTCCTCCCATAAATTCATTTTATGTCCAGTGTACAAATTCACTAGCAAACCTCACCCCAGTTCCACTCCTTGTGGCTACAAAAGCATCAAAACCCTATGGTTTCTTCCTCTTTACTATTCCTGTATCTCTGAGTGTCTTGCTGACTGAGACATGTATTTTTTGCTGACAGAAATATGTTTGCCTAATTTTACTTATTCAATACATTCTATTTCTACTAGCAAAGCACGTGAACCACAAACGGAACTCTAAGGACACAGACAGAATCTCTTTAAGGCACACTTTCCATTCATATTATTTTACCAATTGTATTTCCCTACTTTGGAAAATTTTCCTTCAGATCTTCAGATTAACAGTCTCATCCCCGCATACCACACCACCTGTGCCTTTATGTACTTCTTATCTGTTTATGAAAAAGCTCACTTCAGTGTTTTATCTACATTCTTCCCTCTTCTCAACAGTTGCCATCATTGCAAATGGTGGGTTCATACTCTCACCCAGAGTTACAATGTCCGTGTGTTTTCTCACTGTTATTGAGTGATCTCTTAAAATGCTAAGAAATCATCTCTGGATTTCCAGACACAGAACAATTGAAGATATCTGTTCACAATGGCCAATGGGGCATTTTATTAAGAGGTGAAATGTGTCTCCTCTGTAATCTACCTAAGGCAGTTCATCTTGGGAGCAGACATGGTGAAGGGGTCGGGGAGACAACTGGCAACCTAGCAGGAACCTAATAACGGGGTGAAATGGTTCTCTGCCTTCCATCTTCCCCAACCACGTGGAAGACCCGTGGCACCCATTGCAGGTGAGTCATGTGACCTGAATATCAGCAAGATTGGTTTAAAATGCAATTTTATAGTAAGACTTGTTTTACATCAGAATGTAGTGAATTTGGATTCATTTTCAAAGAGGAGTCTTAGGATTATTCTGGGTTTTAAACTGATAGGCAAATCCCCCATGAGAGTTTGAAGTTTCCTTGAACCATTGCCAGATCTCACACAAGATAGAGTGGTAATAGACTCACAGAAAGCAGTGGCTAATGTTTCTTACAAGTATTAAAAAGACAACTCACGTTATCACTTTCTTTCAATGCACAGTGATGCTTTGTGCAGTGCTTGGGTTCTACTCATCTGTACGTGGCTTGACATGCACCCACTTTTTGATGTAATAATTATAGGCAAATATGGAAAAACCAGACAGTTGTTCCAGAATTGAGGGTAATTTTTTAAAAACTTGGTTACTGTTTTGAAAATTGTATGTAATGAGAAATTTGGATTCTGATCCATCTTCATTCAAAAAAGTGCTCATGCAAAGACACAATGTATAGTTTGCAAAGGGTTAAAATTGAAATGTGATTTGAGTACTATAGGAGTCCAGCAAAGGGGCGAAGGCCCGTAATCATGTGATGGAGACTGTTTTTGTACCTTCTGATCATGGTGACCTCGATGGAAAGTTAGACACTTCTGAAGGCCATCTTTTCATGTCTACTCTGTCCTTGCTAAAGTCAGACAGGGGATAAGTATCTTTGGATGTCTAATTCAAACTTGTACCAGTGAGTATTCTCTGCATATCTGAAAACGTTGTATGGCAGTGGTCTAAAGCAGTCACTTGGGTGAGTGACTTCACCCATGGGTGGTGACATACATATCAGGCCAAACATGAAAAACTTGGAGTAGGGTGCTTTGAAAGGGATATCCCTTTGCTTAGGTTTTCAAACGACTGAGGCCATATCTTGGTTAAATTCATGACTCTCTTCCTAATAGCACCTTGAGTTTATGCATTGGAAATGGTGCTACTAGGAGTCAGTGTTTCATCATCTCTGATTGTGGGAAAAACTCATTTCTCTGTCAATGGACTAAAAGAGGCAAACAAAAAATGGCAGTTGAAGGAGAAAAATGGTTCCGTGTTTGGGGCATGTTTTCTGAGGCTTTCAGAACACATTGAAACATATTATGTAACCTCTGCCAGGGCCTTGTCCTCCTAGTATAGGGAGGAGATTTCAATGAATAATGCACTGATGGTTTGAAGTACTGGGTTCTAATCCTTGCATTAGATATGAGGTACTCAGTTTCCCAATCAAAAAATGTCAAACTTGAATTAGATTGTTACAGTTCAAATAGATAGATAGATAGATAGATAGATAGATAGATAGATAGATAGATAGACTTTTCTATCATTGATGAGAATGAAGGAGGCATGCTTTGAAATTTGCTCGATCTTTCTGAACTACCCAATCCACGAAGAATCTCTTGCTTAGAAATATTGAAGGGAGAGAGTGGCTGAGTCTTTTATTTTGGCTGAAACAAGCCTTGAAAGAGAAGGATACTTGGGAAAAGGAACAACACCATGGGATCTGGGGCTTTATTTCTGTGTTGAGCGTTTTTGTATTCTAGTCATTCTAAAATTAGCTTTCTCTCAAAAGGTGGTTTCTTAAAGAAGGCATCTTATTTGAATGTGGGATGACACTGGATAACAATTTAGTGATCAAAATTTGGCAGCAGTTCCTCTTCAGCTTCTGGCGGGCTGATATTCAAGTGAGAGCCACCCCCATCTGCTGTGCTGAGTAACAGGAACACAGGCAAGAAACTAGTAAAAACCTCCCCACGTAGGCAAAACTACTATGGGCTCACCTACCCTCTATATCTATGGAGAATGTAGCTACAGAGTTCCAAAAAGAGGAAGAATGGCAAGTTCCTGGCATGTGTGTCACTTCAACTGGCACCTCTTCTGCAAAAAGTTTCCAAGAATCTTAGAAAGCAATGGACTTGGAAACTCCATTTTCTCACTTCTCTTTTCAGTGTGATCAGTAAATTCAAATATGTAAAAGCGACACGTTTGGAGGGATGTCATACTCATGCAACCAGTGTAGTCTAGGCTAATGTTGTTCACAGCTCAGAAGTAGACACTATTCTTGCCTGGTAGAGTTATGATCTAAGCTGACAAGACAGAATCCCAGAGATATGTAAGAAAATAGTCTTCCATGTGGCTCCAGGGAGCTTCTTTTCAAGCCAGGATTAATGCGCTAAATGTAAAATGAATTAGCAACCTTGTTCTTTCTTGCTTGTGAGCTGGTTTCACAGTCCTATTTCAGCCTCACCTCTATTGTTTTTGCAATTCCCTTCTGAGCTCTGCTTTGGGACTTCTGTTTTCTAGATTTTTGACTATCTATATTAATGCCCAGTCTTTACTTCCAGGCTAGCCTATGGAAGGCTTGAGGAAGATTGCTCTTTTACCTTCTATCACACCTTAAATAAAGTAGGGCACTGCTAGCAAGCACATGCAATACAGGCTTAAATAACAACTAACTTAGTAGTAGTTAACTTAATTACTTAATCAGCAAAGCCTGCCTTACCCTGTTATCTTTCTCTAGGCCAGTTGTTCTAAGATGTCAGCCTCCAGAATAGGGCCATTTAAATCAGACTTTCCACTGATCTTCAGTGAAATGAGAAAAATAAGGACAATGAAGATAGCTTTTCATAATACCAAATTTATTCAAATTAAAGAACTAATGTTTATTCTAAACTCAGGTCTTGCTTCGACTTCGGTATTGAGATGGCCTTTTCCTAAATTAAAATACTCAAGGCAGTAGATGGTAATTACCTGTTTGTTATTTTAATATTCTTAGTTGACAACATAAACATTTTAGCAAGCCTATGTTTCACTCC
Organism: Homo sapiens; assembly: GCF_000001405.40. Lineage (NCBI taxonomy): Eukaryota > Metazoa > Chordata > Mammalia > Primates > Hominidae > Homo > Homo sapiens. Next base: position 33,620,310 of record NC_000010.11, on the reverse strand, counting down.
TACCTTCCTTATTTCTTCTTAAATATTATTAGTCCACTGAAACCGTTTGGCTATGTCCCCATCCAAATCTCACTTTGAATTATCATAATCCCCACGTGCCAAGTGTGAAGCCAGGTGGAGATAATTGAATCGTGGGGGCAATTTCTCCCATACTGGGCTCATGATAGTGAATAAGTCTCATGAGATCTGATGGCTTTATAAACGGGAGTTCCCCTGCACAAGCCCTCTTGTCTGCTGCCATGTAAGACAAGACTATGCTCCTCATTCACCTTCTGCCATGATTGTGAGGCCTCCCTAGCCATGTGGAGCTGTGAGTCAATTAAACCTCTTTCCTTTATAAATTACCCAGTCTCAGGTATGTCTCACACTGTCTCAGCAGCGTGAGAACAGACTAATACATCCAAATAACTCAGAAGTCTAGGAATTGTCACTTCAGAGGGCAGGACTCTTGGTTTTTGTTTGTGTTTTTAAAGCCATGTATTATAATAGGTAACTTGGGTTGATTTTTTCAGTAATGGTCCACATTGCTGCTGCCTGATTTCTTCCTTCTGAGCATTAGCTGAACTTTACAAGAAGAAATCCACAAGCATCTACACTTTTGGGTGAACCCCTCTGGATAGTGAGTCTGGGCTGGGCCATGTGATTTGCTTGAACGAATGGGACAGCAACAAATCTGACACAAGCAGATATCTGAAAAGAGCTTGCAGGTTGGGTTTGCCCTCTGTGTCAGCCCACTTTCACACTGCTATGAAGATACCACTTGAGACTCAGGTAATTTATAAGGGAAAGAGGTTTAATTGACTCACAGTTCTGCATGGCTGGGGAGGCCTCAGGAAACTTACAATCATGGCAGAAAGGGAAGCAGACACCCTCTTCACAAGGCAGCAGGAGAGGGAAGAGTGAGAAGCAAACGGAGAAGAGCTCCTTAAAAAACCGTCAGATCTCATGAGAACTCACTCAATATCATGAGAACAGCATGGGGAAAACTGTCCCCGTGATCCAATCATCTCCCACCGGGCTTCTCCCTCAACATGTGGGGGTTATGGGGACTACAATTTGAGATGAGATTTGGGTGGGGACACAGAGCCAAACCATATTACTCTCCAAGTATTCCTGGAACACTGCCTCTGTCATGCCAAGGAGCCCTGGCCGGCCTGATAGATGATGAGAAGAGCATGGCCCAGTCACCCACTTGCACCAGCCAACAGCCAGCTAAGCACCAGCCATGTGAGTGTGGCCATTGGGACCAGCCAGCATCCTGCCAGTTTACCAGATCAGCACAGACACAGGACCAAGCCCAGCAGAGACCCTGAGGGCCCATGCAAGAACTGCCCAGGAGAATAATGAGCTAAACGAGTGGTTGTTGCTTTGAATGACCATATTTTGGGGTGATTTGTTACACAGCTGTAGATAACCAATACAGTGACATAAATTCTGGTCTCCAAAATATTGTGAAGAATGTGTAAGGTTATCTAACATCCATCACAAATGGTTATGGTATAACAAAATCCATTCACTCAAGGTGAATTTGAACTCACGTGTTCTTTAAGGCTTGCCCCCATGCCCTCTTAAAAGTGTTTCCAGAGCAGGAAACTAGTACAAGGCCTGGTTTATAGGAGCCTCTCAATCACCATCTTTTGAACCAATCTAATTAACCTGTGATCAGTGTTGGCCTTGTGGCTGGAATGGCCCGCTGACTGTGACTTGAAGGTTGTAGGGAAAGCTTCCTCTCTCCACACATCCCCTTGATTAATACTTAAAATTTCCACATCAGCAATTTGTTTTCTGTACTGAAGTTGTGTTTCTCATGGGGCCTTTTAAAAAATGCAAACCTTCCTGGCTTAGTTAGCACACTGTCATCCCTTTCCTGCCAATGGACTTATCAGATGTCCTGGTCACCAAGGGGTCAAAGTTGGGGTAAGAGAAACAGCAAAAAGGAGAAGTAATGCTGAAAGGGGTGAAAAGGGCCCCTGCGACCACACAGGGTGCTGAACATGCTTCCCAGGGTTGCTGAATCAGCTCTGCTTCCCAAGAGCCCACCTAAAGGCTGAATTGCCCACTCGAAGGAGAGGAGAAATGGAATCTGCCTGCTCTGTGGATTCTTGCCTTGGGGGCGTATGTGGGTGGGTGTAGGGTAAGATTCTTCACCTCCAAGTATTAGCATTTCTCTTGGAAAGCCTTATGTTCTCCCCTGTACCCCCAAACCAGCATTTTGTAGATAACTTCAGAGGGTGCACATTGGGCCTCTGCTCTTGGCGACATTTTCTATGGTCACACCCCGGATGCCTCTCTCCCCTTTTTTCTTAAAGACTCTTTGGATGTGAATTGGCTTTGCCAACATACAAAACCACAGTGATGAAAGCCACAGAGGGGACAGGGCGGCGGGATGCATGGCTTGCTGCTGCCAGATTCTGTCTTTCTGGGCATTATCCGAGTTTAATGAGTTGAAACTCACAAGTATAATTAGCAGGAGGCTTAAGATACTACTCTCTGTACGTAATTGAATTTAATTTACAGCTTGAACAATTGCATTTACATGTTCAACCAAATGTTTGTCTTTGTTGGTTCTAAAAGTCTCCATCTACATTTATCTAGGAAGCCTTAGCAAGGCCAAGGGTCACTTGTAAGAGTGAGGGTGTTTGAGTATATCTGTACTTGGATTGGAAAGTGAGTCTGTGAAATGTAATCCTTGGAAATTGCCTAATAGACTTCAGGCTTTCTGGCATGAGACATGTTATCAGCTTTCTAAATGTATAGTCTTAAGCCTTAAAAGAGTGCTGTTCTGTTGCTTAATTCAGCAACCCAAAGCTTCCTACGTTGAAAAGTACTTAGCATAATTAAACTACTGACTGTTCTTGAAGAGGGAAGGTGGGTTTTGTTTTAAGATTACAGGTGGCATTTCCAAGCGGCTCTGAGTCAGGGCCATCTTGATAGTATAGGCTATCTTGCATTCTGCCATCCTTGAATTGCAGGCATAGCAAACTAAAAGTGCTTGTAAGAGACAGTGTAATTCCATACACATGTTCCCTAGGGTACCCCCAGACACAGAAGAAAGTATCTCTTCCCTCCCTCCCCAACCCCCTTCTTTAGTGAGCTAAAGCAGAGGCTGAACAACACAGTGTTTGCAAAGCTGAACTCTTCCTTCATGGGCATTTGGAGCAAACACTCTAAAGACCTATGATCTCATCCTCAAACCTCACAGGCATCCTAGAGGAACTGCAAGGCTTGGCCCAGTGCAATTGCTGTCATCCGACTTCAGCTGAGACTTCTCTGCTATTCAGCTTCTTTTGTATCAGGGTTTCTCAAAATAGAATAATGTATAGATATAACCTCTTCCCAGGAAATAATCCACAGATTACAGTGCTGAATTACAATGTTACTTAAATTTATACAAACATAAAAACACCTATAGCTTCAAAAAAACTAAATGCATTCACAAATAACATGGAAACAAGCCTATAAAGCCAGTTACATTCAAATTAGTACCATTAATTTAAAGAGATGCCTGATTTTGTTTTGCAGAAACTCACCTATGCATTGGTAAGGGCCACTGCCACACGTGTTCTGGTCAGTCGGCCCTATCTTGGCTAACAGAGGAGCATGCGGTGGCTCAGTTCTTGCCTCACTTTTCTGTGTCAGAATCAAAGTGAATTTTTAGGTCTATAGCACAGTGAGCCATTGGTCTTTCAGAACGTCAGTGTCCATTTGTGTATAAGATCTGCCTTTGTTTTCTTGCACTAACCTGTGGCAGTTAATGTCATGATGCTTTGGGAGAGAGGGAGCTGGGGAAAGAGAGAACAGTAGTGGGAGAAGCTGTCGGTTGCACAGGCAAGGGGACCATGCCCAGATAGTAGCCCTGCCTTTGTGAATGAGCTCTAGGTTCCAGAGTCTGGGGGTTCTGTGCCATTGTAACCATCCAATGGGTTCTTCTTGGCCCCTGCCTAGATGAAGCTGGTTTATCAAGGGAGAGAATTGCAGTAAAGAGTTTTATACATGTAGAGCCGGCTAAACAGGAGATCAGAATTTTATTTGCACTCAAATCAGCCTCCCTGAAAATTCAGAGGTTAGGGTTTTTTCAAAGATAGTTTGGGGGAAGAGGAGGGGTGGCTAGGCAATGGGCACTTGCTGCTGATTGGTTGGGGTGCAGTCATAAGGGTGCAGGAAATGGTCCTCATATGTGCCGGATCACTTCTGCGTGGGGCCACAGGGGCAGTTGGTGGGTCCAGGTGAAGTCATCATTGTCAGACATGCAAAAAACCTAAAAAGACATCGCAAAAGGCCAAATTTGGGTTCTACAATAGTGATGTTATCTGCAGGAGAAATTGGGGGAAATTGCATATCTTTGAGGACTAAGCTCTGATGTTTTTATCTTGCCCAAATTCCTGTCTAAGGGATCTGGGGAGTCATGCCCTACAAAACATAAATCCTCATGAGATGGGTTTTACTTAACCCTATGTATCATGACTTATTTTCCAAATGGTCTCTGGCATAACATTACAAGGCAAGGAAGAAAATCAAACTATTTTTACCCCAAAACATGTTTATTTGCCATATCTTGAAATGGCCCTGCAAGCCATCCTTTCTGGGGGAAAATTTGCATTTGTACAGAATCTCTATTAACGTAGCTAGATCTTTTTCTTCCAGGCCCTCCCAATCCCAAAAAGATTACCTAAGAATCTAACACCTTTTATAGACCTGAATAGGAAACATTTGTCATCTATTGTCTCTAAGGGCAGCCACTATAAGACTTCAAAGGAACCTTGGTCTCCAGTCTTTTATCTTAACCTGATCATTTCCTTTCTATCAATCCCAGGTCTTTAGACAAACTCAACCAATTGTCAACCAGAAAATGTTTAAATTTACCTGTAGCGTGGAAGCATCCGCCCCCACAACATCAAGTAGTCCCGCCTTTCTGAAACAAACCAATGTATTCCTTAAAGGTATTTGATTGATGTCTCATGCTTCCCTAAAATGTACAAAACCAAGCTGCGCCTCAACCAACTTGGGCACACATTCTCAGGACCTCCTGAGGTCTGTGTCAGGGGCCATGGTCACTCATATATGGTTCAGAATAAATCTCTTAAAATATTGTACAGAGTTTGACTCTTTTCATCAACATTTTGTAACCTCTGGAATAATGGTTGGCAATTGTTTATGTGTACACCTTAACAGAATTTAGACTCCTTTCATCCTCCTAGCCTGGTGGCCTCTTACTAGCTTTACAAAGGCAGCTTAGTTTGGGGAAAGGGCTATTATCATTTAAACTATTAACTAAATGTCCCCCAAAGTTAGCCTGGCCCAGGCCCAGGAATGATTAAGGACAGTTTGAAGGCTAAAGGCAAGAAGGGGATTCATTAGATCAGATGTCTTTCACTGCCATAATTTTCTCACTGTTATAAGTTTTGCAAAGACAGTCTCACCATCTTCAGAAGGAGTTGTGTGGATAGAGAGTGTGGTGGCAGACATGCTTCCTCTTGGTCAGGTGAACGGTTACCAGCACACACCTAAAACCAGCCCATTATCTCGACAGAGGTTGGTCTATGCCCCGTGAGAGCAGGAGGTAGATGACAGTATCAGGAGCAGCTTCTCTTTACAGCAGAAGACACCAGGCTTCCCTTCTGAGAATTCCTGTTGTCTGTGACCTTCTTAAAAAGATGGCGCTCATTGGCCCATGCTTCATAGACCTGAGCCTTGAGAGATGGAGTAGTCCTCATCCTTCTGGAGGCCCAATGCCACTTCCAAATCTATACCAGTCCTTGCTCCTGCTCTTTGGAAGGTCATGCCCCATTTTGGCCAACATTCACTTGCTCTCTCTATTGCTGTCACTCACCCATACCCTGGTCAGGGTCTCTCATTCATACACTTGGAAATCAGCTTCATTGTCCTCATTGACACCTCTAATCCTGTTGACATTTTTTCTGATTTCTTTGAGTTGCAAGTTCAGCCTCTGGACTTTGCTGTTCTTTGACTGACTTCCCCAGCATCGATGGCTTTTCACTAGCTCTTCACTTCAGCCCTCTACTCAGGTGGCTGCTACGTTCACCTTGCCATCACTTAGAACTCTTCCACCTCTGAAAGCTTAACTTTCACATCTTACTCTCTGGCCACACATTTCCCCCTTTCATCTCATCACTGTTCTTTGACCTCATCCAAATATCTCTGACTGCTCTAATTTATTCCATCCTATCACTGTATCCTAACTTTACATCCTTACAGCCTAGACTTCATCATCTATTGCTTTATCGGCTCATTTGCCAAACTCCTCAGTTCCTTTGATCTGTTGTCCTTCTGTTACACGTGCCCCGTAAAAACCTAACTCCAGATCAGCTGTTTGATTTCTGTGTTTTCTTACATTGCAAGCATCTCTGACTGGTGAGACTGAGATTGGACTCAAAGTTGCTCTGTAATTATTTTGTATTTGTCTTTTTTATTCCCCACAGAGGTTAACTTCAAACATCATTTATTCTCAAATCTTCTAACCCTGCATGCTTTCTAATGTGTTTAGCAGGGAACTAAATTTCTATTTATAAATGAAGTCCATTCTATAGAAACCACCTCCATTGTAATCCCAGCACTTTGGGAGGCCGAGGCGGGCGGATCACCTGAGATCAGGAGTTCAAGACCAGCCTGACCAACATGATGAAACCCCGTCTCTACTAAAAAAATACAAAATAGCTGGGCATGGTGGCGCATGCCTATAATCCCAGCTACTCAGGAGGCTGAGGCAGGAGAATTGCTTGAACCTGGTAGGTGGAGGTTGCAGTGAGCTGAGAGCGCACCACTGCACTCCAGCCTGGGTGACAGAGAGAGACTTTGACTCAAAAAAAAAAAAAAAAGAAAGAAAGAAACCACCTTCATTGTCTGCTCCCTAAAACAGCTACACAGGCATTCATTCTTGCTTCCTGATTAAATAGAAGACAAGAATTTCGGGACTCACTCTGAATTCTTTCTTGCGTGAGGTCCAAGAACCCTCTCTTGGGGTCCGGACTGGGGCCTCTTTCCTGTAACATATTCACTGAAAGAGTTTTTCACTCACATTGTGTTCACTTAATCAATCACCTCCCACTCGCTCCTTAATCCATGGCCTGCTAGCTGCTGTACCCATCTTTGCACCTAACCACCTCTCTAACCTTGTCTACCTGTCACGAAATCCAATGCAAGCTTTCTTCTTTATCTTATATCCTCTCTGTAACAACTGACATTGTAGAGCACTCCCAGCTAGTCAACACTTAAACTTAGCTTCCGTTACACTGCACTCTGTTGGTTTTCTTCCTACCCCTTTGCCTGTTGTTTGTTGATCTAAACTTCATCTCTGTTTCTTTAACTTTAGAGGTTCTTGAGATTCTCTCTTGGGCACTCTTCTCTTCTTACTTTTTGCATCCTTACTGAGAAGTCTCAATAATTACCATGGCTTCAAATTGTTGAAGAGCTATAGAAACAACATGGATAAATTTGAATTCCAGACAGGGGATGCCATTCAGAGGTGAATAATCATCCCCTGTGGTTTCATCACTGGGAACATTTTCAGACTCTGGGCCTGAACTGAGGGTTATATTGAGTAACTAACTCAGAGGCATGCTACTAAAGGAAAGTGAAACTAACAAGGCTTTCAATGATTGTGAAAGGCTGAAATGACATGTCGGAGTCTTAAGGAGACCCAAAAGTGCGGCCTGTTTTTCTCATAGAATATTTATTGAACTTTGGGATGGCGTGTGTGTGGTGAATTAAAGATGGTCATAAATTCTTTCACATTTCTTCTATTGAGAGTTGGGATTTATGTCCCTCACCCTTGAATCTAGGCAGGCTCAGTGACTGCTTTGACAAATAAAATACTACAGAAGTGATGCTGAAACAAATTCTAAGCCTAGGCTTTAAAAGATTGGCATCTTCCATTTCCTGCCTCTTAGAACCCAAAAGTCATGCTGTGAGAATATCCAAACAGCTACATGGACCTGCCCATGTGGAGAGGAAACTTAGCCAATAACTTCAGCTAAGCTCCCAGCCAACAGCCAGTACCAACTTGCCAGACATGTGAGTAAGCCATCATAGAACTGGATTCTTACCACTCCAGCCAAAGCTCCACAGCAAAGAAGTGAAGCATCCACATCAAACCTTTCCCAAATTGCAGATTCGTGATCAAAATAAATGGCTATTATTGCTTTAAGCAACTGAGTTTCAGGGTGGTTTGTTAGACAGCACTAGATAACTGAAAAGCATAGAAGACTTTAAAAATGTCAAATTCTTCTCAAAGGCTCAGTAAAATCTTCCATAATCTTAGGAGGCTCAGGAAAAAGAGTTCTACCAGAGGGAGTTAGCCTGATTCAAACATCCAACTTGCCTCCACTTCAAGAAATTTCCTAGATTTCAGAGCTGGTGGGGAGAGTTGAAGAGGTGGGTTATTGCAGGGGGTAGCAAGAGGCAAAAGAGCTAAGTCCAAAACTTCTGAAGTACAGAATTGAATTCCCTGCAGTGTCCCAAGGATGAGAAGACAAAAATCCATCAGGCAATTGAGAAAAATGCCCAGAAGGGCCACTCACCCTATCCCCCAAAATAAGGGTTGTACAAAGGATGAAGTTTGTCATACCAAGACTCCTAACAAGTCTTGTTTTGGCTCAATCTATGAATCGGTTGAGGTGATTAGACAATTGCCTTACCTACCTAACAGGAAAGCAAGAGAAAATTGTTACTGGTGAAAAATATCATCTGGACATTTTATGACTTTTTTTTGGACACTGTCTAGCATATTATCAAAACTTACCAGACTACTGAATATGCAAGAATATGCAATCTATATTCAGGCAAAAATATAAAGCAATAGAAGCAGACCCACAGAAAATAAGACATGGGCATAGAGACAAGAGCTTCAAAGTCATTTTGGTTATTATGTTAAAGAGAACATAGGAAAGATGTGCAAAAATGGGTAAAAATAAAGTATTTCAACAGAGAACTGTAATCCATAAAAGAGAATCAGATGAATGGTCTAGAGATATTAAACACAGTGTTCAAAATTAACATATCATTTATGGCCTTAAAATCAGACCAGAAACATTTAAAGGCAAAATTAATGAACTCAAAGATAGATCAATAAGAAATAAAGTGAAGCACAGAGAAAAAGGAAAAAGAATGAAGAAAACAGATAAAGTATAAAATAAAATGAAAGACAGACAAAGATCTAACATGTCTGAATGGAATTCCAGGAGGAGATAGAGAACAGGTTCAAAAAATATTTGAAGTGATAATTGCTGAGATTGTCTAGGATGATTAAAGACACAAACCAACAGAGTCACAAAACTCAGTGGGCCCTTGATAGAATAAATACAAAGAAACCACCCCTGGGCACATCACACTAAAACTTCTAAATACAAAAAAAAAAAACAAAACCAACAAAAAAAACAAACAAAAAATCTTTAGAGATTAGCCTGAGAAAGAAGAAATATTATTTTCAAAGTAGGAGCTTAAAATAAGACTGATGGTTGACTTCAACAGAAACTGTAAAAGCCAGAAGACAATAGAATGGCACATTGAAAGTGCTGAAAGTAAACAAAACAAACAAACAAACCAAAAACACAGTTAAAATTCTATGAGAAAATGAGATAAAATAAAGATCAAAATTGAAGGCAAAAACAAAGGCATATTCAGACAATCAAAGGCTGAGAACCTTTTTCTCCAGACGACTAAAACTATAAGGAACATTTTCAAAAGATCTTTGAGCTGAAGGAAAATAATTTAAGATAGAAGCACAGAACTGGAAGAAGAATGAAAAACACTAGAAACTGTGAATATGGGAGTAAATAGCAAATAATATTGATGGTTTATAAGAAAATTAAGAATATCTTGTTGGTTAATGACAAGTAAAGTAAATGGAGATGAATTGTACAATTCTTGCATTATTTGAGACATAACACAAATATTAATTTTTAATAAGGTGGATTGTAATTAGTTAAGGCTGCAGATTATACAATAATATTACACTAAATAATTAAAAAGAAAGGGGAAAACTTTAAAAATATATTTGATTAACCTAAAAGAATGAACAAAAGAATGAATAAAAGAATTAAAACAGAGGGTACAAATTGTGGAGAAATACAATTGATTCATCCCCAGAAAATTCACACTTAAGCCATTAAATCAAACCCTTCGATTAAACCATTGAATACCTGTCAAATGAACTTGGTGGTCTACTCAGTTGTACCCACAGGGTGAAAACTGGTAGATGCTCATTTGAATTTACTGGGTGAGGACCAGGAAATATGAACTGCACTGACTTTAGCTGCACCTCAATAAGCTGCATGCACAGCACCCTACCCTGCCTAGTTGGATCTCCCAAGACTGCCTGAAATAGACCTCCTCTAGCATCTTTTAAAAATCCCACTCTGAGGGTCTTTTTCTAGAAATATTTGTCCCCCAGACTGTATGCTCTCTCTGTCTTTCCCTCAATCAGTCTTCAGAGACCTCTGTTGCTGCTGGACTCCATTCTTTTCTCAAGGAAACACCTTTGCTTTGCATAGACCTAAGTAAATAATAGACATTTAGATTACCATGACTGCTCTCTTTGGTATGGTATGTATTGACATTTAACACCTTAAAAGGGGGAGGGAGGAGCACACCCAGCATGCAGTCAGAGTGATATCACAACACAAACTCTTTTTAAAAAGGTAAACTGAAGTCCAACTATATCAGTAATTATATTAAAGATTGCCAAACAGAATAAGAAAAGCAACTATGTGCTCTTTGTAACACAACACTTTACAGACAGTCCCTCTACTTCCACTGGTTTGCTTTACGACTTTTTGACTTCAGGATGGTGCAAAAGTGAGGTACATTTGGTAGAAACCTTACTTCAATTTAGAATTTCAATTTTTTTCTGGGCTAGCAGTAGGTGATAAGATGCTCTCTTGCGATGCTGGGCAGGTAGCAAGCCACAGCTCCCAGTTAGCCGTGCAATCACAAAGGGTAAATAATGAATACTTTACAGTGTACTGTGTTTCCAGGATTTTTTTTTGATATTGTGTTTTATATTTTTGCATCCCTTTGTTACAAGAAAGAGGTCCCGATCCAGACTGCAAGAGAGGGTTCTTGGATCTCATGGAAGAAAGAATTCAGAGCGAGTCTATAGAGTAAAGTGAAAGCAAGTTTATTAAGAAAGTAAAGGAATAAAAGAATGGCTACTCCATAGACAGAGCAGTGCTGAGGGCTGCTGGTTGCCCATTTTTATGGTTATTTCTTGATAACAGGCTATACAAGGCTTGGATTTTTTTATGCCTCCCCTTTTTAGACCATAACTTCCTGATATTGCCATGTGATTTGTAAACACTTGTGGCACTGGTGGAAGTGTAGCAGTGAGCCTGACCAGAGGTCACTCTCGTGGCCATCTTGGTTTTGATGGGTTTTAGCCAGCTTCTTTACTGCAAACTGTTTTATCAGCAAGGTCTTTATGACCTGTATCTTGTGCTGACCTCCTGTCTTATCCTGTGACTTACAATGCCTTAACTGTCTGGAATTGCAGTCCAGTAGGTCTCAGCCTTATTTTACCCAGCTCCTATTTAAGATGGAGTTGCTCTGGTTCACATACCTCTGACACCTTCATGTCTACAAAATGCCCATCTGTGTATAGTATTCACCACAGTAGGCTGTGTGTTACACAATTTTGCCCCATTTTACATTTACCTACTCTAGACCAAAGTAAGTGTTTGGAGCCCATCTAAGATAGGCTAAGTTAAACTATGATGTTTGTTAGGTTAGATGTACTCATTGCATTTTCAACATGGAATATTTTCAACCTATGATGAATTTATTGAGAGGTAACCCCATTGTAAGTTGAAGGGCATGTATAAATATAAAGACATAGAAAGGTTAAAAGTAAAAAAAGATGGGTAAAAAATATACTGTACTGATATCAACCAAAAGAACCTATACCTATATTCATATCAGAACCTTGTACCTATACTCATATCGATAAGGCATAAGACAAGATATTTTATTTGAGGTACTGATTAAAAGATAATTCAAGAGGAAAATAGAACAATTCTTTTCTCCCCAAAAACAAAATTCCAAAACATATAAAGCTAATAGTGATAGAATTATTTTTTAAGTAGACCAATTCTCAATCATGGTGTTGAAGATTTTAACACTCTATTTTTTTTTCTGTAACTGATCAAACAAGCAGAGATCATATGCTTGGCCACAAAGAAAGCTCTTTGAAATATCTCAGAATTGATATCATACAGATTATATGTCTTAGACCTCAGAAAAAATGAATTAAAAATAAATAAGAGATATGGTAAAGATCATCAAATGTTTAGAAAATAAGTAAAACATTTCTAAATAACTCATGGGCAATGAAGAAATCATGATGGAAATTAGAGAGTATTTTGAACTGAATGCTAATGAGCTAATAAAACATGAAAACTTGCAGGATGCAGCTAAAGAGGTGCTCAGAGAAGATTTTTGAGTTCTAAATTCACTTGTTGGAAATAAAGAAAGCTTAAAAATCTAAACTTCTATACCAACAAGCTAGAAAAAGACTCGTGTATTATACCCAAAGAAAATAGATATGAGTAGAAGCCTTAAAAATAGTTCTTTGAAAACATTAATAAAATAACAAATTGCTAGTAAGGCCAATTTAGAAGATGGCTGGAAAACCCCACAAATTAGTAATATTAAGACAGAAAAGAGGGACAAAAATACATTTTCTAGAGACATTAGGAATAATATAGGGATATTATGAATAATTTTATGACAAAGCTTTAAAAAATTAGGTAGAACACACTATTCCTAAGAAAATGCATCAAAAGTGACAGAAGAAGAAATGTAAAAAAACAGAATAGTCTCATATCGAGTCTGTAATTAAAAACCTTCACACAAAGAAAACTCCAGGTCAGGTTGTTTCACTGATAAAATTTTACAAATATTTAGAAAAGAAGCCATACCAAATTTAAACAAACATATCCAGAGAATAGAAAAAAAAAACCGAATACTGCTGATATGGTTTAGAGCTGTGTCTCTATCCAAACCTCATGTAGAATTGTAATCCCCACATGTCAGGGGAGGGAACTGTTGGGAGGTGATTGGATCATGGAGGTAGATTTCCCGCAAGCTATTCTCACGGTAGCGAGCAAGTTTTCACAAGATCTCATGGTTTAAAAGTGTAGCACTTCCCTTGGTCTCCCTCTCTCTCCTTCTCTACCATGGTAAGATGTGCTTGCTTCCCCTTCCCCTTCCACCGTGATTATAAGTTTCCTCAGGCCTCCTAGCCATGCTTCCTGTTAAGCCTGCAGAATTGTGAGTCAAGTAAACCTCTTTTCTTCATAAATTACTCAGTCTAAGGTACTTCTTTATGACAGTATGAAAACAGACTAATACAACTACCAAACATTTATATTAGGTCAGCATAGCCTCGATATTAAAACCTAACAAGACGCAAAAAACAAAGAGAGAATGAGAGAAGGAAAGAAGGAAGGAAGGAAGGAAGGAAGGAAGAAGGGAGGGAGGAAGGGAGGTAGGGAGGGAGGGAGGGAGATTATAGGCCAATATCCCTCATGACCATAGATGCAAAAATCTTAAACAAAAACATAGTAAATAGAATAAATCAATATACAATATATATTTTAGAATTTTAGTCAATTTGCTATTAGAAATCAAACAACATTGTTTACTACATTAATGGTAAGGATGTCTACTATCATCATTTCAATTCAACATTGCACTAGATATTCTAGTGAGTCCGGAGGGCAGAAAAATAGACACAAAATTTAAAGATTATAAAGAAAGAAGTAAATTATCTTTTATAAAGATGACATGTTTTGTGCATGTAAAAAATCCAAAAGGATCCTTATTCCACTTAAAGACTGAATTTATTATATCCCTGGATATAATGTCAATATGTAAAAATCTGTTTTATTGCTATATATTAACAATGAACCATTTGAAATGGAAAGTAAATGATAGCACTTAAAATAGCACTAACAAACCCCATCAAATAACCAGAAATAAATTCTCCCAAAAAAGATACAAAGCGTCTACACTTTTTAGTTTTTACTACAAAACATTGCTGAGAGACGTTAAAGACCTAAATAGAGAGGTTTACCATCTTTACAAATTGGAAGACTCAGTGTTTTAAAGATGTTATTTCTTCCCAGTTTGATCTAAAGATTCAATGATATCCAAATCAAAGCCCTAGGAAGCTTTTTAATTTTAGTAATTGGCAAGATATTCTAAACTTTATCTGGAAATGCAAAGCACTTAGAATAGCCATGAGAGTCTTGAAGAAAAACAAAGTTGGAGGATTTACACCAGCAAGTTTATGAATTACTACAAAGCTATAGTAATTAAGATATAGTATGATCCAGGGGTGGTGGCTCATCCCTATAATCCCAACATTCTCGGAAATTGAGGTGGGAGGGTTGCTTGAGCCCAGGAATTTGAGACCAGCCTGGGCAACATTGTGAGAACTCGTCTCCACAAAAAATATAAAAAAATTAATTGAATGTGGTGGCACATGCCTGTTGTCCTAGCTAACTCAGGAGGCTGAGGTGGGAGGATTGCTTGAGCCCAGGAGTTTGAGGCTGCCGTGAGCCATGACCATGCCACTGCATTCCAGTCTGGGTGATACAGTGAGACCCTGTCTAAACAAACAAACAAAAAAACACACATGGTATGGACCAAAGGTATATAAATACATCAGTGGAAGGAGGCCCAGAAACATACCACTTTTTATATGGTCACCTGATTAATTTAACACTGCTACAATTCTCTAAATGGAAGAATGGTCTTTTCCAGTAAGCAGTGATAGGTCCATTGGATAGCTGTCCAGGAGAAAAAAATGAAATCTGACCTCTACCCATAACATACACCAAAACAAATTAGAGGTGGATTTATAGACTTATATATAAATGATTAAATAATGAATCTTCTGGAAGAAAACATGAGAGAATATCTTCTTTTTAGAAAAATCACCTTATTGAAATATGATTGACAGGTTGAAAGTTATACTTGTTTAATGTATACGACTTGACAAGTTTGGAGATAAGTATACACTCCTGAAACCATAACCACCATAAAGTTCATAAATATATTCATCAATCCATTAACTCCTGAAGTTCCTGCCCACTCCCTTTATTATTATTTTATGTGTGTGTGTGTGTGTATGTGTGTGGTATGAACACTTAACGTAACATCTACCCTTTCAGTAAAATGTAAGTACAAAATACAGTATTGTTAGTTACAGGCACTATACTGCATAGTAGATCTGTAGAACTTATTTATCCTGTATAACATTGTACCCTTTGGCCATAACCTCCCGATTTCTCCTTCCCCACCCTCCTGGTAGCCAGCATTCGCTCTCTGCTTCTAAAAGTTTGACTATTTTAGATTCCACATATAAATGAATAAATGAGATCATACAGAATTTGTCTTTCTGTGTCTGGCTTATTTCACTTAGCAAATTGTTCCCTAGGTCCATCAATGTTGTTAAAAATGACAAGATTTCCTTCTTTTCAAAGGTTAAATAGTGTGCCATGCATATATACATCATACTTTCTTTATTCATTTGCATGTTAGTGGACATCTAGGTTGTTTCCAAATCTTTGCTGTTATGAATAACGCTGCAGTGAACATGGTGGTGCAGCTATGACTTCAAGATACTGATTTCAATTCTTTTAGATAAATATCTAGAAGTGGGATTGCTGGATCACATGGTGGTTCTACTTTCAATTTTTTTAGGAACCTTTATGGTATTCCTTAATGAGTGTAACAATTTACATTCCCACCAACAGTGTACCAAGGTTCCTTTTCCCCATATTCTCCCAAACACTTGTTATATTTTGCTTTTTCAATAATTAGGACCCTAACAGGTATGAGGTGATAGCTCATTGTGATTTTGATTTATGTATAATAATTCGTGATGTTGAGCACTTTTTCAGTTACCTGTGGGCCATTTGTATGTCTTTTCTTGAGAAATATCTATTCCACTCTTTGCCCATTTTAAAAATATGATGATGATGATGATGATTATTGCTATTGACTAGCAGGAGTTCCCTGTATACTTTGGATTTTTTTTTTTTTTTTTTTTTTTTTTTTTTTTTTTGAGACAGAGCCTCACTCTGTCACCCAGGCTAGTGGCACCGTCTTGGTTAACTGTAACCTCCACCTCCCGGGTTCAAGCAATTCTCCTAGCTCAGCCTCCCAAGTAGCTGGGATTACAGGCACACAACACCACGCCCAGCTAATTTTTGTATTTTTAGTACAGACAGGGTTTCATCATGTTCACCAGGCTGGTCTCAAACTCCTGACCTCAGGTGATCCGCCCTCCTCGGCCTCCCAAAGTGCTGGAATTACAGGCATGAGCCACCCCACCCAGCCTATACTTCGGATATTAACCCCTTATTAGATGTGAGGTTTGCAAACATTTTCTCCCATTCTATAGGCTTCCGTTTAACTTTGTTGCTTGTTCCCTTTGGTATGCAGAAGCTTTTTAGTATCACTTGATCTGCTTCTGGAATTAGTTAATATATTAATTATTAGGATTGAAATCCTGTTACTTTTTACAGATCATGCTTATGCCTTTTAATTTCATTAATCAGAGAATATTTTTCAGATATTACCTTAGAAGTGAGGGTGTGTGTGTCCTGTTAAATTCGGTATAATTTAATTCCTTTGTGTAAGCAGTCTTTCTTTTTTAAAATAGTAGTATAAGCATATTATGTCTTTATTTTAAGCAGTCTTTCTTGGTTTTATTAGTACTAAAAGTATATTATGTATTTATTGTAAAGTCTTTTTTAACCAGATCATTCATATAATTTGGTTGAAAAAATATATTTTACAGTACTCTTGGAAATTAACAGAGCTGTTGGATGTTGGAATGCTTGTTTGAGAAAGCAAGCTTTATGTTTACCCCTGTTGGGGCTCAGAAACTGATACCCCAAAATATGGCACTTTGACATGATGAACTGAAGAAGCTTCAAGGTCTCTCGGACCTTCCTCCTTCTCCTGCCTCTCATTTCTTTGTCTCTCTCAAAGCAAAGGATGAAGTTGTTCTGTGAAGTTCCCTTATCTGCCAGAAGTTTGGACCCATTCAAGAAAAAAACAATCACCTCTGCTCCCTTTCTTAAGTTTTCATGAACTGAACTCATATGGCAGAAAGAAAGACTGAAGTCTGTCAACACACCTGGAGAGACTTTTCTCACAAACCATTATGTCTGCTCTGTGGGCCCAACAGACTTTTTTTCTAGGCCATTATACGTTCTTCAAGCCCATTGAATTCCCCTAAAAATCGTTTACTACTCCTACACACTTCCCTATCTCCCCGTCCTCTAAGAAGGGTATAGAACCATCTGTACTTCATTGCACTTTGTGATTTCCCTCTCTTTGCACATAGATAAATTTGTATGCTTTTTCTTTTATTAATCCGCCCTTTTCAGTTCATTTTCAGTGAACCTTCAGAGGGCAAAGGGAAAGTTTTCCCTTGGCCCCTACAGTCGGTTGTGTGTTTCTAGAAATTCCATTTCTTCTAGGTTATTCAGTTTGTTGTCATATAATCGTTCGTGGTCGTCTTTTATGATCCTTTGCATTTTGTGATATCAGGTGTAATGCCTCCTTTTTCATTTACAATTTTATTTATTTGAGTCTTCTCTATCTCTTTAAGTTAGTTTAGCTAAGAGAGCCAATTCCATGTATCTTTTCAAAAAACCAACTGTTAACTTTATTGATCTTTTCTATTGTTTTTCTAGTCCCCATTTTATTTATTTATGCTCTGATCTTTATTATTTCCTTCCTCCTGTTAACTTCGGACTTAGTTTATTGTTCTTTTTCTACTTCCTTGTAAAGATTTTTATTTGCCACATTTCTTTTCTCTTAATGGAGGCATTTATAGCTATAAGCTTCCCTCTTAGAACTGTTTTTACTGTATCCCATAAATCTTGGTATGCTGTATTTCCATTTTTGTTTACCTCAAGGTATTTTCATATTTCCCTTTTGATTTTTTCTTTGACTAATTAATTAGTTGTTCAAGAGTGTGTTGTTTCTTTTCCACATATTTGTGAATTTTTCAATCTTCATTCTGTTATTGATTTCTACTTTCATACTATTGTGGTTGGAAAGGATACTTGATATGACTTCAATCTTCTTCGATTTGTTAAGACTCATTTTGTGGCCTAACATATGTTCTATTTTGGAGTATATTCTGTGTGCTGTTTAGAAGAATGCGCGCTCTGCTGTTGTTGGATAGAATGTTCTATATATGTCTTTCAGATCCATTTGGTCTAATGCGTTGTTCAAGTCCACTGTTTCCTTATTGATTTTCTTTCTGAATGATCTAGTCATTGTTGAAAGTGTGGTATTAAAGTCCCCAACTATTACCGTGTTGCTGTCTATTTCTCTCTTCAGTTCTGTTAATATTTGTTTTATATATTTAGATGCTCTGAAGTTGGGTACATATGTATTTACAATTCATCATTGTATCCTCTTGATGAACTGGCCCTTTGATCATTATATGATGACTTTATCTCTTTTACAGTTTTTCACTTAAAGTCTAGTTTGCCTGATATATGCATGGCCACCTCTGCTCTCTTTTGGTTACAATTTGCATAGAATGTATTTTTCTATTCCTTTAGCTTTCAGCCTATGTGTATTCTTAAAGCTAAAGTGAATCTTCTGTAGTCAGTATATTGCTGAATTTTGTTTCTTAAATCTCTTCAGTCTTTCTATGTTTTATGATTGGATAATTTAATCTATTTATATTTAAAGTAATTATCAATAGGTAAGGCCTTATCACTGTCATTTTGTTGATTGTTTTCTGCTTGTTTTGTAGTTTGTTCCATTGTTTCTCTGTAGTTCTCCTTTATGATTTAATTTTTTGTTTGTTTGTTTGTTTGTTTGCTACTTTGAGACGGAATCTCACTTTGTCACCAGGCTGGAGTGCGGTGGTGTAATCTCAGTTCACTGCAACCTCTGCCTTCCCGGTTCAAGCGATTCTCCTGCCTCAGCCTCCTGAGTAGCTGGGATTACAGGCTGTTAGAAATGCTTGTTCCCTGGTGCCATAAAGAAATAGGACTTGAACATAAATTTAATTTCCTCAGCAAGGCCATTTGTCTTTCTGCAGAAAGTGTACACTCGCCAGCGGTTTTGCCATGACGAGTACACCAAACAAAGGAGACAGGGTCATTTATAACCTGACACGTCCACCCTACTGCTGTGTCCGATTTCCATTGGCTGGAATGGGACCTCACATTCTGTATTTGTCCCGATTGGCTAGCAACTTAGAATTTTTAAAAAGAGACAAAGGCAGAGGAGAACAAAGGAAGGAGCAAGTAACTTGTGGAATGCTGAGAAAGGTAAAAACACCTTCAAACAATGAGGAAGAACAGGCTGTGACCTAATGCTTTCTTGAACCAGTATAAGCCTGTCAGGGCAAATATTTAGGCTAAATAGTGGGAGCTAAGAACATAAAGTACATTGATTTCTTTATTACGGCTAGCAGATATTGAAGAATGTTAGCACAGATCTTTGAATAAATTTTGCTTCTAGGAGAAGTTACTATTTATTCCTAATTAGATGGGGAGGAAAGTCTCTTTGAAGAGGAACATCTACTTTACTTTTTACACAGGTGCCTGCCACTGTGCCCGGCTAATTATTGTATTTTTAGTAGACATGGGGTTTCACCATCTTGGCCAGGCTGGTCTCAAACTTCCTGACTTCATGATCGACCTGCCTTGGCCTCCCAAAGTGCTGAGATTACAGGCGTGAGTCACAGTGCCTGGCCTGATTTTTTTTTTATAGTGGTATGCTTAGATTCCTTTCTCTTTATCTTTTGTTTTTCTACTAGAGATTTTTGCTTTCTGATTACCATGAGTCTTAAATAACAATCTTGTAAAAGCTTGTTTTAAGCTGATAACCACTTAACTTTGATCACATATAAAAACTACAATTTTACTCCCCCCTTACATTTTATGTCATCGATGTCATAATTTACTCTTTTTATATTGCACATCTATTAAAAGTTATTGTAGTTATATTTATTGTTATACTCATAGAGCTGTGTCTCCTTTGTAGCACTTACCTCGTATACAATTTTATATTCTCTTATGTCATATTTGATTAGACTATGAGTTCCATGTTTCATGAAAGCACAGAATGTGACATTTTTGTTAACTATTAAATTTCCAGCACCAAGCATAGTACTTACTACAGAGTAGTTGCTTAATATATAATTATTGAATCAGTAAATCAATAGTGATTGCATTAGTGTGTAATTGGCTGTTTAATGTCCATTTTATCTCCATAAGGGCAGGAACATCTGTCTTTTTCAACAATGCATTTTTGGGGCATAATGCTAAGTAAATGATCCTCAATATAAATGTGCTGAATGAAAGAATTAATGGATGAATGAATAAAAGTGAATTGTGACTACCTAGGAACTATGGAAAAGATGAAAAGAGAGTTCAGGCAGTTGGCTTAAGGTGAGATGCAGCTTTGGCATTTAACAACCAAAGCCCAGACCATCCCCTGGCAGTGACCCACTCTCTCAGCTTTTACCTGTACTTCAACAGGGCATCCAGTACTTCAGTCTAAAGAAATTCAGTCCATCATTTAGGGCTTCCAAGGAGACCAAGGAAGAGATACATCTGAGAATGGCAGTGATATGGGTTGTCTGTGTCCCCACCCAAATCTCACCCTAAATTGTAATAATCTCTACATGTCAAGGGTGAGGCCAGGTGGAGATCACTGAATCATGGGGTGGTTCCCCCATGCTTTTCTCGTGATAGTGAGTGAGTTCTCACAAGATCTGATGGTCTTATAAGGGGCTGTTCCCCCTTTGCTCAGCACTTCTCCTTCCTGCCGGCTTGTGAAGAAGGTGCCTTACTTTCCCTTCACCTTCTGCTATGATTGTAAGTTTCCTGAGGCCTCCCTAGCCATGCTGAACTGTGAATCAATTAAACATCTTTTTTTTTTTTAATAAATTACCCAGTCTTGGGCAGTTCTTTATACCAGTATAAAAATAGACTAATACAGGTTGGGACCTTTTCATTCTGCCTTCAAGTCATACACTTTCTAGGCAGCCACTTTGTCTACCCAGCCATAGGTTCAGTCTTGACTAGAGAAGGTCTGGTGCGGATCACACTGTAGCTCCTTTCTACACAACATTTGTAACAAGTTCTGTTGTCTGGAAAGGAAAAATAAACAGAGAAACATTGAGGAAGAGTAAAGCAAATATTGATCAAGAGGGAGTTTGGGGGAATGTGAGAAGGGCAACCCCAAATTCATGTCTGGTTACTGTGGGAGAATAAGCTTTAAGATCTCACTGCAAATGGATTTCTGTTTCTATTTTTAAATTTGCTTTTCTTATTATTGCTTTGCTTTATTTTTTAGCAAAAGAGCTCTTTCCTTGTCCTGGTGTAAGAAAGTAAAGGTAGTCCTTTGGGTATAGAGCAGTGTTTCCCAAAGTTTTTGTTTCTGTTGTTTTGTAAACAGACATATGCATTTGGTGTAACTATAATACTCCCCACTTCCTACTATATTCTGGTAGATTCCTTCTACCAGAAGTTTGTGTCTCCCTGGGTAGCTACTTTACATGCTCTATGTGTTGGAATGTTTTTAGGCTTCATATATGGTATTCTTATATTACAAATATTTATTTTCTTCACTTAGCATAGTCCTGCCATCTTCAACTACATAAAGGAAAGCCAAAAGAAAGTTTTCGTGCCTGTGCTCAAGGCACTAGATTACACCGTAAGGAACAACAGGAGCAAGATATAACCTTGAAGGGAAGGTGACATTTCTGTGGACAGTCAGGGCTCCTTAACAAGCCACTCACCACTGCGCCCCATCTAGTGATTCTTCCTCCAAGTGTCTGTATTTTAATATGGTAAGAGGTGACATAGCAGGGCGTGGGGGCTCACACCTGTAATCCCAGCACTTTGGGAGGCCAAGACAGGAGGATTGCTTGAGCCCAGTAGTTCAAGGCTAGCCTGAACAACATGGTGAAACCCTGTCTCTACAAAAAATACAAAAATTAGACAGGCATGGTGGCACATGCCTGTGGTCCCAACTACTAGGGAGGCTGAGATGGAAGGATCATTTGAGCCCAAGAGGTCGAGGATGCAGTGAGCCAAGGTCACACCACTGCACTCCAGCCTGAGAACCAGAGTGAGACCCTATCTGTCTTTAAAAAAAAAAAGTGACATACATTATGAATAGAAGCACATATTTTTCATATGCAAGGTTTTTGCTCTTGTGTTGTTAACCACAGGGGAAAAAAATTGAGGCAGGAATGATACAAAACTAACATATAAGAAGCTCCAGGATTTTTTTTAATAGTTACCATCCTCTTGGGGTCTATACTTCCATTTAAATGAGCGTATCAGATAGTTTTAGTCTCCTGATGGGTTAGAACTCCTTATCGGTCAGCTTTTGTAGAAGAGGAGTAGGAACTTGAAGGAATAACATAGATGATGTTTCCCAAACTGAGGGAAAGACCCGTGGTACAGGTGCTTGATGATTATGGAATGACTGTGTGTGAAATGACACTAGACTACTCAGTGTGCAGCTAGTCATTTCAATTATCTTTCAATCCTTTTAATTAATCAAGGAGAAATTTGCACTTGAGTTCTGAGGTTCCTAACATTGCTGTAATCCTGGCATCCCCTTTAAACAAAGAGAGGTGTATTAGTCAGTTCCCGCACTATTCTAAAGAAATACTTGAAACTGGGTAATTTATAAAGAAAAGAGATTTAATTGGCTCATGGTTCTGCAGGCTGTACAGGAAGCATAGCAGCTTCTGCTTCTGGGGAGGCCCCAGGAAACTTACAATCATGGTGGAAAGTGAAGGGGGAGCAAGCAGTTCACATGGGGGGAGCAGGAGGAGGATAGAGATGGGGGAGGTGCTACACAATCTTAAACAACCAGATCTCATGAGAACTCACTCACTTCCATAAGAACAGCACCAAGGAGATGTTGCTAAACTATTTATGAAAGACCACCCCCATGATCCAATCACCTCCCACCAGGCCTCGCCTCCAACACTGGGGATTACAATTTGACATGAGATTTGGGCGGAGACAAAGATCCAAACCATAAGAAGGGGTGAGTCTTAGGTTTGGGGTCAATTACTGTATTGTTAGTATTCTTTCATTTTTTATATCTATTATTCATGTTACCATGTATTAGTAGCCAGTGGTACTAATTTTCCTGTTAGTCATTTAACCAGAGTAGGATACCCGTTTTGTGCTAGGCTCAGTTCAAGGTACTAGGGATTCAGTGCTTAACAAACACAGCTCTTCCTTTCATGGAATGTATGATAAAGTGATAAAACATTTTCTTTTAAATTACATTTAAGTTTTTAAAAGTAAGCTGTTAATTAAAGCAAAATAATTAAGCAAGTGCTATTACAACAGGTAGTTCACAAATATGACAAAAATAATAAAAGTGGCATTTATATAATTAAAATTGAAGAACTGTAGGTAAGTTATAGAATCAACATTAATTTCTTTCCTTTCTTCTTTAGCTATAAGGACATTTATTCTGTGCCCCCTGATTTTCCAGGCATTGCTTCTGATACCAAAGACAGCCAGAAGAAAGATATATTTGCTATTCTGAAAGCGCTCACAAATAGAGGGGAAAAGGTCAACATTCACCGTCCAGCATGAACACCCCGGAGGCCACTCATTCTTGCTGATGAATGTCCGTGGCAGCTTCCTGGTGGTGGAGACCACAGAGGGGATGTGGGCAGGTGTGGGGGATACGGGGGCAGAGCAGGATGCTCCAGGCATGGGAAGTGGCATGGGGAAGCCACACTAAGGCACACCATCGAGAGCCATGAATGCCATTCCAAGGACATTGAATCTTTTCCTAAAGGTATCAGGACACCACTGTGGGATTGTACAAAGAGGAATAGCATGACCAGTGTGCTCTTAGGAACATGACTCTGGCTGCTTCTTTTTGAAATTTTCATTTTCATAAGACTAAATTGATCAAAGTGTGCTGAAATTGCTGGGAACAAAAACAAGAACAAAATCTCTTTTCCCCACCCTCTCATTACTCTCCAATAGAGTGAAGTTTTCTATCTTCCTTTATCTCCCACTTTTAAATATTTTAAATATTTCCCACTTTTAAAGAGTTTGCCCAGAAACATTTTCCAAAATTAATGAGAATACTGAAAAATCATAGTTGCTTGGGTGCAACTTCAGGTTAGATTAGAGCTATGTTCATCCTTTGTTTGTTTGTTTGTTTGTTTGTTTGTTTGAGGCAAGTTCTTTCTCTGTCACCCAGGCTGGAGTGCAGGGGTGTGATCATAGCTCACTGCAGCCTCAAACTCCTGGGCTCAAATGATCCTCCCACCTCAGCCTCTTGAGTAGCTGAGACTCCAGGCACACTCTACTATACCCGGCTAATTTTTACAATTTTTTTGTAGAGATGAGATCTCGCTATGGTGCCCAGGCTGGTCTCAAAGTCCTTGCCTCGAGCAATCCTCCCACCTCACCCTTCCAAAATGCTGGGATCACAGACATGAGCCACTGCACCCAGGCAATTTTTTTAAAGAGAGAGATGAGGTCTCTCTATATTGCCCAGGCTATATATAGCCCAGTAGCTATTCACAGGCGTGATTATCACACACTGCAGTGTCAAACTCCTGGGCCCAGTAGATCCTCCCATAGGTGGGACTCCAGGCAGACGCCACCGCACCTGGCTCTCCTCACTCTTTGCAAAGACAACTCCTAATCTTGATCTCTTTGGACTGTTGGGACAAGCCTCTGATGGCTGAGGCAGGTTTCACTATTCTCACTCATTCTCTGAATGGGGAAACAGAATGCCCCAAGGGGGTGAAGCCAGGGCTCAACCCAATAGACTCTCATTTTGGTTGTTCCGCCACAGCACAGGGCCAGGAAAGATAAAGGAATGATTTGCCTTCTGGCTTTCTGGGCTTCGCAGGGTCTTTGTTCACAGTAGGTCTTCCACACCATCACATGACAGGGATCTTGGGCACATCCTCTATTTGTCTCCCTTAATGACTGTACTGCATCCTTCCACTCTATGTCCACATTGAATATCACATTTTAAAAAGGCGACTTTTATTTCACTTTTATACTCAAATGATTTTTGACAGTGATTTTTTTTTTCCTTACCCTTTCCAGGAGGGTTCGGCAATCATGGCAAAACTTGCTTCTAATAGACCCGCTTTGGTCGGGGAGTACTTTTCTTTAAGCATCTTTATGTTTTATTACCGACCTGGCATTGTAGGGTAGATGCTCTTTGCTAAATTTTTTCATCTTCATTTCCCCTCCTCTGAGAAGCAGATTATTACTCTACTAAATGCCTTGAGCAAAACTTAATTCATTCTACTGATTCACATCGGTAGAACAAGCACTGATGGGAAGGGCTGTTTGAAATGAAATCAGAACTAAAGCTTACACAGTTTAAAAAAAAAAGAAAGAAGAAAGAGAAAGGAAAAGAAATGGGCTGACATCCGCCTCTCGGTGTGAAGGGATTAAGATGGTTTTAATTATCTCACCTGGCTCTTGTTATTGCACTTATTCTTGCTTCCTCCATCTAGCTAATATGACAGCGTAAGATCTGGTGCTCTCATCTGGATTTCCCCTCTTTAGGAAAGTCGAAGAGCCCCCAGGTTAAAGAGTAACAATCACAGTTCAAAATGCTCAGAAATGTGTGACGGCAAGAGCAGAGGCTTCAGTGACTATGCTCGGTCATGTGCAAATGCTGATAATAACTGGAGACTCAGGGCTGAATATGTTACACTTTTATGAATAAAGTAAATGGGTTTCCAATGTGATCTGGAGGTGAAAAGAAGACGTGGTTATTGAAGGTATTGGTGAAATATCACGGAATGCAATCTCAGACGCGTCTTCCAGTGGGGGCCAGCTGCGTAAACACAAGAGTGAGGTGTTTGAGGGCATGGCTGTTTCTTTCATTCCACTAAAATACATGCATGCACCAACACACAAAAAAATCACTCCTACTTCTTGGCCTTTGTTCTAAGAAGATGACTGGCATCAGTTTCACATTTGCTGTTTTTCTTCTCTCAAGAACTCTGTGTGACCTGATTGAGAGCAGGGAAAGGAGTGTTCAATAGGTCTTTTTTTTTTCTTCAGTTGCTGAATACCTGAAAATTCTCCTGTGATAAAGACCCAGCCAGCATCCTCGAGTGTGGACCACGTTAAGGGAAAGCTTGAAGGAAAAGAGAGTGAGTCATATATTGCAAAGCAGAGCCAATCCAGAGAACTAGAAATTATTATTCTGATCCCAGGAGGCAGAGGAGTAAAGTAAGACCAGGGAAATGGAGACACTTGCATCTGCTTTGGAGCTGGGGTTGGTGGGCAAAGAGAGGAGCGCTTCCGGCCATTAGGGATAAGTCTGCTCAGCAGGAACCAAGCAGACTGCCTGGTGGGAGAAGGCCAGGGTGGACGGGCCTGCTGTCCTGCTCTCAGTCACTTCTGCTGGATGAGAGCTTCTGAGCTGCCGCTTTTGTTCAGGATCAATAAGCACAGTGAGAAAAGGTGATGAGTGAAAGGTGGAAGGGGCATCAGCTTCCCATAGGAGTGAACTAGGGAAGCAGTGATGGGCACTGCATCCCTATCTCAGCCCCAGATATCCAAGAACAGCCTTCTGGATGTTCTTCTTGAGGTGACTTTCCTGAGAGGTAAGCCTCGTGACTTGTGGCTGGGACAGGTCTCAAAAACCTGAGAATGCAGAGCTTCTTGGTGGACTGGTCAAGTGACTGGGGGTGGAAAATAGGATCTCCCGCCTCGAGCCGTCACAGGGCTCTCCACACTGTCAGGGAGCACCCAGAGGGATACAGAGAATCTTCCTCCCTTTGGAAACATCAAAGGGAAATCCAAGAAATTACTTCCATCTGATCCTTATAACTGCATGCCCCACTGACCAGAATAAGCATGGGACAAACACATTAGTACCCACATAAAATTGCTTTTGGAAAAGTCAGATATGATCTACTGAGCCGAATGATCATTACAAGCTGTAATCAGCATACCAAATTTCACAGTAAACGGGACATTGGCTATCCTGAAAGAAAAAAAAAATTCTACTCTGCAAAAATGCTGCCCCAGAATTGACCGAGACAATTCTCCATCTCTTTCTGTGTAGCCTCCAGGACAGTTTGATTTTGTTTTTGGAGGCATTGTTCATCTTCGTGGTCCTGCTAGTCAGGCTGAGCCAAATGAACTGATTTATGGAATCTTGGCAGTAGCCTTGGCTTCCAGCTAAAGCCGGGGATCTGCAGATTTGGCTGGCTGCTGAGGGGCAGTCTGGGTATATCTCTGTTATCAGGGTTTACACAGATAAGCAATGTAAATCAATAAAATGAAAGTAACGTGCCGGGCATGGTGGGTAATGCCTGTAATCCCAGCACTTTGGGAGGCTGAGGCGGGTGGATCACTTGAGGAAAGGAGTTCGAGACCAGCCTGGCCAACATGGTGAAACCCCACCTCTACCAAAAATGCAAAATTCAGCCAGGTGAGGTGGTGCATACCTGTAATCCCAGCTACTTGGGAGTGCTGAGGCAGGAGAATTGTTTGAACCTAGGAGGCAGAGGTTGCAGTGAGCCAAGATCATATCTCTTGCCTGGGCAACTGAGTGACTCTGTCTCAAAAAAAAAAAAAAAAAAAAAAAGCAAATAAAGGGAGTGGTCTTGATCTGGTTACCATTCCAGAGTCAATTTCCAGCAAATGCAAGGCTGCTAAATCCCAATGGTGAAGATCTTATGAATTCTGTGGGCTCTGTCCAGAGGAAAGAAACAAATAGTTTCTAGTAACCTATGGAAACAAGAAAGGGACCTTGTAAAATTAGACTATGAAATTTAAGGACCCTCAATGTGCTTCTGAAAGACAGAGCACTATTTTGCTCTGAATCCTTCATGAAATTACAAAAATATTCAACCAGAGCAAAAGAAACCTCCCCATTTTTCAATACAATCCCCTTGACTATTGAGAGACAGGACTAGCTGGATTTCCTAGGCCGACTAAGAATCCCTAAGCCTAGCTGGGAAGGTGACCGCATCACCTTTAAACACGGGGCTTGCAACTTAGCTCACACTCGACCAATCAGGTAGTAAAGAGAGCTCACTAAAATGCTAATTAGACAAAAACAGGAGGTAAAGAAATAGCCAATCATCTATTGCCTGAAAGCACAGTGGGAGGGACAATGATTGGGATATAAACCCAGGCATTGGAGCCAGCAACAGCTACCCTCTTTGGGTCCCCTCCCTTTGTATGGGAGCTCTGTTTTCACTCTATTAAATCTTGCAACTGCCCACTCTTCTGGTCCCTGTTTGTTACGGCTTGAACTGAGCTTTCGTTCACCGTCCACCACTGCTGTCTGCCGCCATCGCAGACCTGCCACTGACTTCCATCCCTCTGGATCCAGCAGGGTGTCCGCTGTGCTCCTGATCCAGCGAGGCACACATTGCTGGTCCTGATTGAGCTAAAAGCTTTCCATTGTTCCTGCACTGCTAAGTGCGCAGGTTCGTCCTAATTGAGCTGAACACAGTCACTGGGTTCCACGGTTCTCTTCTGTGACCCACAGCTTCTAATAGAGCTATAACACTCACTGCATGGACCAAGATTCCATTCCTTGGAATCCGTGAGGCCAAGAACCCCAGGTCAGAGATCAGGAGGCTTGCCACCATCTTGGAAACGGCCCACCGCCATTGTGGAAGCGGCCCACCACCATCTTGGGAGCTCCAGGAGCAAGGACCATCTGGTAACACTATGATTTCTAAATGTTGACATCTAGGAAGAAAAACAGAGTACCCATAGTAAAAAGTCCAGCAGGGCAAGCTTGACACATTCTGGGCATGCAGGAGTCTGATGGATGTCTAACTCCTGCACTGGCTGAGTTCTAATGAGGCAGGAACCGTTGGTAGACTTATTGAGTAATAGCATATCCCATCTCTGAGGGCACCTCCCAGGACAGAAGCTCCCACCACTGTCCATAGTGACCATCAGCCCAGCTTTGACAGCTCTAGTCATTAGAAAGTCCCTCCTTTTGTTAAGCTCTGATTAGCTAGCTGTGCCCCCCACCCCTTCTCAAAGCAGACATGAATTTTAAAATGTCTTTGCCCTGGAGCAAAAAGAATTCAGAAATAAATACTGGATTTGTCAAATTGAGATAAAAGGTTGATATGTATTCTCGACTGGCAATAGAAACAAATGTGCCCCATATATTCATGCTCATAAAAACATAGCTTCAGCCAATCTGAGCATTACATCAAGTTGAACCATATGAAATTGCCAATTTTGTTAGTCACACATGATTGACAATTGGCTACTTTTACATGATCCAACCTCCAACATGACAGTTAAGAGCACAGACTTTGGAGTCAGCTCTGCCACTTACCAGCCATGATAGTGGGCAAGTTACTAACTATTCTATCTTCATTTCCTCACCTAATAGGATTTATCTCATAGTATTAATCCTATTCTCACAACGCTTGTAAAAAGTGAATGAGTTAATACAAGTAATGCATTTAAAAGCGTTCTTGGCATATAGAAATAATTATTCATTCTCTTTTCATAGGACTTTGCGGACCCCAATTAAATAGTTTACCCTAGAAGAATAGAACCTATTTGGGGTGGGGTGAGTGGCTGCAAGAGGGACGTTTCCCCAGGACATCATGCACAAAAGGG
Organism: Homo sapiens; assembly: GCF_000001405.40. NCBI lineage: Eukaryota > Metazoa > Chordata > Mammalia > Primates > Hominidae > Homo > Homo sapiens. Next base: position 33,590,659 of record NC_000010.11, on the reverse strand, counting down.
GCTTCAAATGTAGTCTTTTGACTTATCTCCAAATGAAGGTAAATATACAGTAGATTTATGAATTATTGATTCATAATAAGTTATTAATTATTAACACTTAAATTTATCACAATATTTAGAGACTTGTTTTGGCATATCTTTCTTATTTAATACATTTGAATCTCAAAAAAACATACAACTGGCTCAAGCTTCTCAATCTCTGAAAGGCAGTAGACAATGGAACCGCTCAATGCCATTAACTTCTCTGTATTTCTCCTATTGAAAATACGAAAGGAGAACGAATGGTAAAAGGTAAAGGTAGCCGACTCCTCCCTTGTTAGAGACCTTGACCTCCACAAATAGGTTATTTCTACCTCCAGCTCAATGATCAGTTCAAGATTTTAGGGGTCTGTGGTCATGTGCACCATTGAGTAGTTTCTAGCACTGTCCGTGCCAAGAAAGGCAACCACGAGCTAATTCCCAAAATGTTTGTCAAAAGCCTTATTGAGAGAAGTCATATTTAGCAAAAAATAATTGGAGATCATACAGTATTCCATGTTCTCAGATGCTCTAAAATCTAACCATGGATTATGGCAGCTTGGTAAAGAACTGATGATTTATGTAGAATTGTAATGACTATCCCCAAATAGCTTCACTGAATTATGGACCTGTGTAATGGGTCAGTATGAGAGACAGTCCAGTGAAAGTCTTTGTTGGGTCTACTATGACAATATTGTTGCTGTTTCAAATGATGTCCACTTTATGCACAGAAGAAAATTCTTACTTCATCCTGGAACTGAGAAGTCAATTTTGTAAATTATTAGACTTCTGTTTTCAAGATAGCACTTAGAAACCTGAGAAACAAAAGCACAGTCCATTAAATACAAGTCAATTTTAAATAAAATTATTTAATAACCTTAAGATTATTACTACAAGTTCCATTTTATGTCTCCATCATTATTTTATTTTCTGTTACTTAAAAAAATTAGTCTATTGGTGTATAATATATATACAACAAAATTCACCAATTTGAAGTATAAAATTCAATGAGTTTTGACAAATGCATAAAGTTGGGTAACTACTACCTGTCAGAGCAGGAGCATCACCATTTTGGACAAGCACTGCCATTTTAAGCTTCACCTTGATCAAAAACTGCCTAAATCCAAAGGGCATCAGCCTAATGGCTAAGATCAGCATGACCATAAACCACAAATAACATCCCCTACCAGAGACATGCCAACCCTGAGATAACCTCCCTTCCGGCCGGAAAGATGTCAGCCCCAAGATAACCTTCCCTCCACCCAGAGACATTCCAACCCTGTCAAAAACTTCTGCCCAACACAGAAACATTCCAAGCTTGTGATAAGCCCCGTCACCCTAAAACCAATATATACTGTTAGTCTGTAAGAGATAGTGCTCCTGACGGAAATTGGCCAGAAGCCCCTCTCAGGTTTATTCCCCAAAATAAACCTGTCTTTGACTGTTGAGCTGCTTTCTGTGTTCTTTCCTCTTTCTTTAACACCTATACCACCACCCTCATGATATACAGAACATTTCCATCATCCCCCCATTTCCCAGTGCTCATGTGTTGACAGTCTCCTTCCCCCAGCTCCAGGCCCTGGGAACCACTGATCTGCTACTCTAGTTTTGTCCTTTCTAGAATTTCACATCAATAAAATCATATAGTCTTTTGTGTCCGAACTCTTTCAGTTAGAATAATTGTTGTGAGATTTATCTGTGTTGTTGGGTATATTGGTAGTTCATTCCTTTTTATTGCTGAGAAGTAATTCCATTGTGTGACTATGCAGATATGCCAAAATTTAGGTTGATTCTAATTTGGGGCTACTATAAATAAAGCTGCTATGAACATGAATTCACTAGTCTGTGTGAATATATATTTTCCTTTATTTTGGGTAAATGCCTAGGTGTGAGATTGCTGGATTAAATGGCACCTGTATGTTTAACTTTATATGAAACAGCCAAATTGTTTTCCAAAGTGGTTGCACCATTTTGCATTTACTAGCAATACACAAGCATTCCAGTGGCTTCACATCCTTGGCAATACTTGGTATTGTTAGACTTTTTAATTTTAGATATTCTAGTGCATATGTAGTAGGATTTTATTGTGGTTCTAATTAGTATTTCCCAATGGCTATCAATATCAAACATATTTTCATGTTATTTGCCATTCATATATTTTCTTTGGTGAAATATCAGTTCAAAATTTTTGCCCTTCTTTTTTTTTAAAAAAAATGAAATTGGGCTGTGGTCTTCATATTATTGATCCGTAAGAGTTCTTTATCTATTATGCATATATTCTGGATATATGTTTTGCAAATATTTTCTCCCTGCCTGTGAATTTTCTTTTCATTGTCTTCGCAGTGTATTTTCAAAAGCAAAAGTTTTAAATTTCTTTCTTTTTCTTTTTTTTTTTTTTTTCCCAGACAGGGTCTGGCTCTGTCACCCAGGCTGGAGTGCAGTGGTGCAATCTCGGCTCACTGAAAACTCTGCCTCCTGGGCTCAAGTGATCCTTCCACCTCAGCCTCCCAAGTAGCTGGGACTACAGGTGTGTGCCAGCTAATTTTTTTTTTAACTTTTTTTAGAGAGGAGGTTTCACCATGTTGCCCAGGCTGCTCTTAATCTCTTGAGCTCAAGCGATCTGTCCGCCTCAGCCTCCCAAAGTGTTGGTATTACAGGCATGAGCCACTGAGCCCAGCTGCTTAAATTTCAGTTAAGTTTAATTTATCAAAATTTTCCTTCGTGATTTTTATGTTCTTAGAAATCTTTGCCTAACCCAAGGTAACAAGAAAACAAAATTTCCATATCCTCATCTGGAAATTTTATAGTTTTGATTTGTTATTTAGATCTATGATCCATTTTGAGTTAATTTTTGTATGTAGTGTGAGGTAAGAATCAAAGTTCATTTTTTGCACCTCGATATCCAATTGTTCCAGCATCATTTGTTGAAAAGAATCTCTCTCCCTATTGAGTGATCTTTGCACTGTTTTGAAAACCAACAGATCACACTTGTTCAAGCCATGGCCCATGGGCTGCATGCAGCCCAGGATGGCTTTGAATGTAGCCCAATAAAAATTCATAAACATTATGCAATTTTTTTTTTAGCTCATCAGTTATCATTAGAATTAGTGTATTTTATGTGGGACCCAAGACAATTCTGCCACATTCTGCCAGTGTGGCCCAGGGAAGCCAAAAGTTTGGACACCCCTGCGATAGGCCATGTAGACAGGGGTCTATTCCTGGATTCTGTACTGTTAGGCTGATTTCATTAATTTATGTGTACAGTTATGCACTGTATGTCATTTTTGCCAATGACAGACTGCATACTGGATGGTGGTCCCATAAGATTATAATACCATGTTTTTACTATACTTTCTTTTATGTTTAGGTATATGTAGATAAACAAATACTTACCATTGTGTTCCCATTGCCTACAGTATCCAGTACAGTAACATGATGAACAGGTTTGTAGTCTAAGAGCAATAAGCTAGACCTTATAGCCCAGGTATATAAGAGGCTCTACTGTCTAGGTTTGATAAGTGCACTCTATGATGTTCACACATACAAAATCAACAACAAAATCACCTACATATTTCTGAACATATCCTCATCGTTAAGCAATGCATGACCTTATATGTGATTGCTGTAGTCTTGAAATTAGGTTGTCTAAGTCCTTCAGCTTTGTTCCTTTTCTGAATCATTTTAGGTATGCTAGGTCCTTTACTTTTCTGTTTACATTTCAGAATTAGCTTGTCAATTAAAAAAAAAATTTCACATAGGACTTTGATTGAACTTACATTGACTTTCTATGGTAGCCATAAAATTGTGGCTTGCAGAGCTCCCACTATAAGGAGTGCAACCAGTGCCCCAGATGCTATGCTTTGAGATACATTGCTTTATTTTGGCCGGGGCCACACCTTACTTGGTCAAGACTGCTCCCTTGTCAAGGACTGAGCGTGGCAGGGCTACAAAAGCAGATTCATTTCTGGGAGACATTAAACTCCTCTTTTGGCAATGTAAACTCAAGGAATCCCTGCTGGCTTTGTTGAAGCTTCCTTAGACTGCATGACAGTCTAGGACAGTTCCACCCAACATTCTCTCCCTCTCATCTTCACTTAGATTCACACTTGCCTCCTAGCCTGACATCTTTCCCAGCCTTTTCCAGCTCTCACCCTCATTTTCTTTTCAAAAGCATCTTCCTTAATAAAATCCTTGAATATTACTCCTGTCAATGTCAGCTTCTCAGAGGATCTGGGTTAACACAAGTGGTACCAAGAGTGGTTTGAGAAAACAGACAGCAAGGTGGAGTTGTAAAATTAACTCACCTACTTGGCAGGTCAGAAGCACGTGTATGGTCCTGGTAACAAGATGCAGTCCAACTGCTAATATTTCACTGGTAGGGGGGCCTTGAAAATGTTCCTGTCAGGGCAAATGCTGCGATGGGTGTGATGATATCTGCATTTGGAAATATGAGGGAAACTTCTTATAAGTATAGTGCAATTGGGCCAGGTACAGTGGCTCACGCCTGTAATCCCAGCACTTTGGGAGGCCAAGGTGGGTGGATTACAAGGTCAGGAGATCGAGACCATCCTGGCCAACATGGTGAAACCCTGTCCCTACTAAAATACACAAAATTAGCTGGTGTGGTGGTGTGCGCCTGTAATCTCAGCTACTCAGGAGGCTGAGGCAGGGGAATTGCTGGAGCCCGGGAGGTGGAAATTGCAGTGAGCCAAGTTCGCACCACTGTACTCAAGACTGGCAACAGAGCAAGACTCTGTCTCAAAAAAAAAAAAAAAAAAATATATATATATATATATATGTATATAGCACAATTGGCTGGCTAAGGCTAAGTGCATTGACTGCATGTTAGTGGGGAATGAGAGACTGAGAGCCATTATTATGCACTTAATAGCTAAGTGTGGGAAACATAGAGACTGCAGTGGTAATGGTGGTTGCATATAAAGAACTCTTTACCACCTATAGCTGAAGGGCAGGCACAATAAAAGGCAAGCTCAAGACCTAATTATGAGGATCTCAGAGCACCAGAGATATTAAACACTCCTTTAAGCAGGAAATCTGGAGAGATGTCCTTAGTGATGCTGAATCTACAACATTCCCACCCCCATCCTCTGGGCATGGATGGGTGGCCCATCTTTCCCTAGTAAGAGCTAGCACTTTGACCATACTGAAAGATGCTGCAGAATCTTCCTCACCAAAAGACACAGACACAGCCCTTGAGACCTGTCTCTATCTCCATTCCTGCTCCCAGACTGATAGAGTGAAATTCTAAGATAACACATATATAGTCAGCGTGTGCCCTGTAAGGCAAGAAAGAGATCTACACAGAAAGAAATAAGACGTGGTGGGGCATGGTGGCTCATGCCTGTAATTGCAGCAATTTGAGAGGCTGAGGCAGGAGGATCCCTTGAGCTCAGGAGTTTGAGATAATCCTGGGCAACATAGGGAGATCTCATCTCTACTGAAATTCAAAAAAATTAGCTGGGCATGATGGTGCAGCTACTTGGGGGTTGAGGCAGGAGGATCATTTGAGCCTGGGAAGTGTAAGAGTTAAAGAAAGAGGAAAGAAACACAGAATGCAGCTTAACCGTCAAAGACAGGTTTCTTTTAGAGAAAAACCCGAGAGGGGCTTCTGGACAATTTTGGTCAGGAGCGCTTTCTCTTACAGACTAAGAGTATATATTGGTTTTAGGGTGAGGGGCTTATTACAAGCTTGGAATGTTTCTGTGTGGGGAAGATGTTTATGACGGGGTTGGAATGTCTCTGGGTGGAGGGAAGGTTATCTTGGGGCTGACATCTTTCCAGCAGGAAGTGGGTTATCTCAGGGCTGGCATCTTCCCAGCCAGAGGTGAGTTATCTTAGGGCTAGCATGTTTCTGGTTGGGGAGGAGTTTGGAATGCTTCTGGTCAGAGATGTTGTTTGTGGTTTATGGTCATGCTGACCTTAGCTATTAGGCTGATGCCTTTGGATTTAGGCGGTTTTTGATTCAGGTGAATTTAAAAATGACAGTGCTTGTCCAAGATGGCAATACTCCTGCTCTGTCAGGAAGTAGAGGCTGCAGTGAGTCCTGATCATGCCACTGCACTCCAGCCTGGGCGATAGAGTGACACCCTGTTGAAAAAGAAAAAAGAAAGGAGACAACTATCCGATATGTACTGGCAGTACCATGGAAATACTCCTGGGGTTAGACTTGAGGGTTTTTGGTTGAGGAAGCTAGAATGTTAAGCTGGATAACCAAGAATTCATTGATTTGGGAGCATTTTCTCAGGATATAGTTTTTATCACCCTAGCAAAGCCCCAGGGGATAGGACAAACTAATTTGATGGGAGTGGCTCCTACAAGCCAGGAAAAAATGATGGGCAAGCCTCAGCAAAGGAGAGATGTCTAAGCTTCCTTCATAGACAGCAAGGGAAAGAATGAAGAGCCTAATAAGCATGAATGTGTTCCAATAAAACATTATTTACAAAAACTCACGATGGGCTGGATCTGACTGTAGTTTGCTGAACACTGCCCCTGACAGCAGCCAACCAAGGTGCCACTTGATATCTCTAATTTAAAAAGAAGAACAAAGTTAGAATGGAGGAGTCAAAGTCTGAAAGCAGTTGCCCCAGTAACAAGTTACCATTTGGTGGTTGGTCCCCATGCCGGAGCCAATTTTCAGACCTGGAGCCCTTTGACTAAGAGGTAGCCAGGTCCTACAGGATCCTGTAACATCATGACAAGTAGATCCTGTGACACTTCTCTAGTTCTTCTGCAAAGTGACCTATAGCCATTTATTTAGGTGACCATACCCTGTGGAAAGGGAGGAAAAAGCAGATACTTCAAGAACTAATTGGCTACAGAGTCTGAGTCGACATTGGTACTCAGAGACCCAAGATATCATTGTGGCTCTTGGTCAGCATGGGGCCCGCAGGAACTAGGTAGTAATAACCACGGTCCTGGCTAAAGTTCAGCTCACAGTGGGCCCCTAGGTCCACGGACTTGCCTGTTGCCATTTTCCAATTCCTAAGCATATAAGTGGAATCGATGCCTTTGACTATTGGAGTAATCCCACATTGTGTCCCTGGTCTGTAGAGTAAGATTTTTTTATAATTAAGAAGGCCAAATGGAATTCACTGATACTCTGAGCAGATGACAGAGATTAGTGACCTGAAAGATGTAGGAGCATTGGTTTCTGTCATTTCTCAGTTTAATTTGCCAGGCTGGTCCCTGGAGAAACCATATTGGTCCTGGGGAATGACTTAAGAGCACCACAGGCTTAACCAAGCTATAGCCATCCTGGAAGTTGCTTGCCAATTCTGGTGTTACTGAAAAAGCAGATTAATCTCAGCTACATGGGATAAAGTCATCAGCTGGCAAAGTGTATTCTTCTTCACTTCAATTAGGAAAAAGTATCAGAGGCTGAGTGCAGTGGTTCATGCCTGTAATCCCAACACTTTGGGAGGTTGAGTTGGGAGGATTGCTGGAGCCCAGGAGTTCGAGACCAGCCTGGACAACATAGTGGGACCCTGTCTCTACAAAAAATTTACAAAAAAAATAGCCGGGAGTTGTGGCACCCACCTGTAGTCCCAGCTAATGGGGAGGCTGAGGTGAGAGGATTGCTTGAGTCCAGGAGGTTGAGGCTGCAGTGAGGTATGATTGAGCCACTGCACTCCAGAGTGACACCCTGTCACAAAAAAATCAAAAACAAAACAAAAAAAAAAAACAAGAAGAGGAAGAAGAGAAGAGAAGAAGAGAAAAAGAATGAGAAACACTTCATGTTGATGTGAAAAGGACAATGTTCACTTATAGTTTTTCCCGAGGGCTATATTAGTCCTCCTGCTCTGTCATAACACAGTGTGAAGAGGTATGGACCATTCCCCAGTCACACCAACCATCTTATCAACATCATGCTGCTTGGACAGGATGAGCAAGAAACAGCAGTGCCCTGGAGGCCTTGGAAAGTCACCTGTGCTCTAGAGGGTGGGAGAGAACCCTACGAAGATCACTGGACAATTCAGTGAAGGTTTTAGGGGGTCCTCTGATCAGGGTCATGCTGGGATATACTTTAAAAAAAATGCACATTTCGACATCTTGAATTCTTCACGCAGGAAAAGAAGTGTGGTACCTAGTGAGCCACTTTAGAATCTGGTGGCCACATATTCCAACCTGGGAAAACTGATCCAGCCCATGTACCAGGTAACAAAAAAGGCTGCCAGTTTGCACAGCACTCAGAGTGGGAAAGAGCACTGCTTCAGGTCCGGGCCATGAAGCAATCAGCCCTGCTGTTGGGATCATCTGATCAGGCAGATCCTATGGTTTGGGAAGTGACAGTGGGGAAGGCATGATGCAGTATGAAACTTATGACAAGCTCCAGTAGAAGATTCACAACACAGGCCCCTGTGATTCTGAAGTGAAGCCAGGTCATCCTCAGCAGAGAGTGACATGCCTTGGGAATCAGTCCCTGTGCATCACTGGGCCCTGATAGCATTGGAACACTTAGCTATGGGACAGCGGGTGACCATGTGTTTAGAACTTCCATTTATGAACTGCGTTCTGTTAAACCTTCCAAGTCCTAAAGCCAATGAGCTCAGAAAGTCCACTCTAAGATGAAAATGGAGCATCTGGGATCAAATTAGAGCAAGGCCAGCAGGCACATGTCAGTTGCACGAGCAGGTAGCCCAAACCCCCATGTCACTCACTGCAGTTGCACTAGTGCACTTACTCCCTATGACCAGCTCGAGGAGGAGGAAAATGTTTAAACGTTCAAGGTTGATGACCAGCCTGAGCAACATAGCAAGACCCGATCTCTACAAAAAAAATTTTTTTTTAATAAACTGGGCATGGTGGTGCATATCTACAGTCCTAGCTACTCAGGAGGCTGAGGAGGGAAGATTGCCTGAGCCCAGGAGTTGGAGGCTGCAGTGAGCTATGATTGCACTTCTGCACTTTAGTCTGGGCCACAGAGAGAGACTCTGTCTCTTAAGAAAAGAGAAAGTTTCAGCTGGGCGCGGTGGCTCACGCTTGTAATCCCAGGACTTTGGGAGGCCGAGGCCGGCGGATCACGAGGTCAAGCGATGGAGACCATCCTGGCCAACGTGGTAAAAATACAAAATACTAAAATACTAAAATACAAAATACTAAAATACAAAAATACTAAAAATACAAAAATCAGCTGGGTGTGGTGGCGTGCACCTGCAGTCCCAGCTACTTGGGAAGCTGAGTCAGGAGAATCACTTCAACCCTGTAGGCAGAGGTTGCAGTAAGCTGAGATCGTGCCACTGAACTCCAGCCTGGCGACAGAGTGAGACTCTATCAAAAAAAAAGAAAAGTAAGAAAGAAAGAAAAGAGAAAGTTTCAAAGTTGGTCTATAGATGACTTGGTTCAGTATGTGGGGGCAAGCCAAAAATGAACAGGAGTTGCATTATAGCCACATTCATGGGTGATTGGATGGTGGAAAAAAAATGTTCTCCCAATGGGCAAACCTTTCAGCAGCACACCTGAAATTGCCAGAAGTGAGAATACATTCAGATCTCTGGATGGTGGCATAGAAGGAAGTGCGCTAAATGATTGGGACAAGGGGTTCTGGAGGAGGGACATGTGCATAAGAAAATGGGAGTTGGCACAAAGCATGAAGATGTTGGTATCGTGTATGAATGCCCAGAAAGCATCCACCCACCATGGAAATGGCACTGAGTAACCACGTAGATAAAACGACTTGACTGGTTGACATTTGTCAGCTTTATCACCAGCCACCCAGAGCTGCCATGATAGGCCCATGAGCATCATGGCCTTGGTGGCAAAGACAGAGGTTACCAATGAGCCCAGCAGCATGTGCTTCACTCACCAAGGTCTGTTTCACTACTGCTGTTTTGGAGGGAATGCCCAGCTTGTCAGCAACAGACACCAGCACTGAGCCCTTACCATGGCACGGTTCCCCAGGGGACCAACAGATGCTTTAGCAGTGAGTTGACTCTATTGGCTCTTCCCGTCTTGGAGGGGCTGGAGGTTTGTCCTCATAGGGATGGGCACCTCCTCTGGGTATGCGATCACCTCTCCCACTTGCAGAGCCTCAGCTGTCCAGGCAGCTCTAGAAAGCTCATGCTGGCTGTTGAATGGAAACTGGGCTGTATTGAGCCAGGTTGAAGACCAGGAGGCCATGGAAGGAGACACTGCAACAGCCCAGTTAAGAGTTGATAAGAAATGATGGCTGGGTGACAGTAGAGATGGTGAAATAATAGGATTCAAGTTTAAAATAACGAAAAGGTAAACAATGTGTTATGATAAAAGCTTACTTTCTTCTAAGGCATCTTAGACCCACCTTTCTACATTTTAATGGACAATACGTTCTCTCTGATTTTCCTCTGATCCAATGAATCCTTTGATAAAATTGCAAACAATGTTTTAGGGTCCCGCAGACACAAAGAAAGCAGGGTGAGTATCTAGTGGCATTGTGCCCAGAAAGGGTGTTACTTTTGGCAAAATGAACCAGAGCAGTTTCCAAAGTAGTATTTATTCTTTTTAAAATTATGCACACAACAAATGTCTGGGTGAGCCGACTTCTCTAACCCATGTACTAATGTGTGGGTAGGCTTATAATTTGGGGCACTCACTCAGGAAATTCTGAAATTAAGGTTCTTTCAGAAGTGTTGACTCATCCCCTCCACACTTTCTGAATATATCCATTTAACACACTAATTAGTAATTCTAAATTGCATTCTAAATTCTGCAGGTGATTTTCTGATGAAATGTTGCTTCGCTAATTCTGGTGGGTGTTGTTTAGAATTTGCTTCTGCATTGAAAATAGCTTTCATTTTGCTTTTGATAAAAATGGAAACTATTAGAAAAGGTCCATCCAACTGGATATGACACTGTGACTCCATCACAGTCTACTAGTCTATGAGGTTTGCATTCAAATACGGCACTCATGCATCTGTTTTTCGCCTTTGAAGAAAGCAAGTCCTTGGTACAGGAGAGTTTATGAGAAAATCATTGTTTTTAAATATCTATGTGCAATGCCCAAGAAACATACATTTAATGTACTAGACAGTACACAGGATATACTCTGTACCATGTATGTATTTAATCCACCATTTAGTAGTTTCCTGAGACTGATCAATTTTCTACCATCAATGCCTACTGCTTGATGTCAAACTTTAATTCTAATTTAAAACTAATGATTTCAAATCTTAAACAAAAGTAGGTATTCCTCACTAGGAGGCATTTACATAGATCTTTAAGTGATGCACAAAGAAAGAGTAGGTTTTTGTTTTTTCTTTTTTCTTTTTTTTTTCAGATTTCTATGTTGGATGCATGTAGAAAGCTTTCATATTGAAGCAGAGTTTTCAGTGAAGTTGGAAAAAGAAGAACAAAGGTGAAGATATCCACTTAGCAACTCTCATCATTTGTGTGTCACCATGGCTTCAGAGACAGGGATACACATTTAGTATGAAAAGGAGGCTTGGAGGTTAGCGGAGAGTTGGTGGTGGTATAGAGTAAGAAGACCTTTTCAAAGTTTGCTTTCTTGAAGAGCACTAGCTTCCCTGGCATGGCCAATGGGGTGTTTGCTGTTCAGTAGCTATAACTTAAAGTGCTTAAAACCACAAGATTTACTGCTCCTAAAGGTACCGAATACAGCTATTCAGTATGCATGCACATTTGTTTACAGTTCTTCAGTGCTGAGGTTATAAAACAATATGGACCCTCAAATCTCATGGAAAAACCAGTCTAATACCATGTTAGAGAAAAAAGAGAGTGGATGCAAATGGTTAAATTAGGTACTCTTGAGGGACCAAGTGTCCTATCACACATGTATGAATCTATGCTGTCAATTACTCTCATTGTTTCTTCACTAAAACCTCCCTTTCAGAAGTTTATGAAAGAGGAATTTAAGATTCAACTTTGGAGTAAGATTACATGACTCTTAAGATCCATTTCAGGGCCGGGTGCGGTGGCTCATGCCTGTAATCCCAGCACTTTGGGTGACCGAGGTGGGTGGATCATGAGGTCACACGTTTGAGACTAGCCTGACCAACATGGTGAAACCTCATCTCTACCAAAAATACAAAAATTAGCCGGTCGTGGTGGCACGTGCCTATCATTTCAGCTACTCAGGAGGCTGAGGCAGGAGAATCGCTTGAACCTGGGAGGCGGAGGTTGCAGTGAGCCGAGATTGTGCCAATGCACTCCAGTCTGGGCGACAGAGCAAGACTGCAACTCAAAAAAAAAAAAAAAAAAAAAGATCTGTTTCAAACCCAAGGTTCTATGAAGCCATAAAAATGATGCTTGTGGCCACATTTTGGTTATACTTCTTGCTGCCATAGTCCTTTTATGCCCCTCTCACTTTTTCACAGAAAAAAAAGGTTTATGAAATATGTAGATGTTTTATTTTCTACATTAATATTTATTACCTACAAGTTATGTGACACCGAATAGTTTGTAGCTCCTTATCCAGGACCCATATTCCCAAACCTGCAGAATCAGGACATGTGTTTTGCATGTGAGTATCAACATGATAGTGTATTTGAAATTTCAACATATGGCTAAGAAATCTCTCAAGTCTTCCTTCTCTCCTAAATCTCTCCTTTTCTGGGTCTCCTTGTCTTATTCCCCACCTGTACCTGTTTCCATAAAACCCTCCCAGCACCAGTTTCTTCTGAACCCCATCAACACACACACACACACACACACACATGCACATACACACATGTATTCACACATACACACATGTACACATACATATATACACACACATCTACACGCATACACACACAGTGATATCTCATGATACCACCATGCAAAACACCGGTGTCCTGATTCTGCAGATTTGAGAACATGGGTCCTGGATAAAGAGCTACAAACTATTGGGTGTCAAATAATTTGTACGTAATAAATGTCAATGGAGAAAATAAAACATCTAAATCTTTTATAAACCTTTTCTCTCATATTAAGACTGAGATGTTTTAGCAAAGGAATCTGTGAGCTCATTGAAGATGGGAACGACACATCAACTTTTGGTGTCCTCCAAAGTGGAGAACTTTTTTTTTTTTTGAGATGGAGTCTCACTCTGTTGTCCAGGCTGGAGCGCAATCTCAGCTCACTGCAACCTCTGTCTCCTGGGTTTGAGCAATTCTCCTGCCTCAGCCTCCTGAGTGCTAGGACTACAGGCACGCACACCCACACCCAACTAATTTTTGTGTTTTTAGTAGAGACAGGGTTTCACCATGCTGGCCAGGCTGGTCTCGAACTCCTGACCTCAGGTGATCCACCAACCTCAGCCTCCCAAAGTGCTGGGATTACAGACGTGAGTCACCGTGCCTGGCCCAAAGTGGAGAACATTTCTAATGCTCCTTTGGGGGAGAAGAGAAACCAAAAGGTTAAAAAAAAAGTCGGTGAATTTTTTCTTTCCAAGAATTCAGTTAAAAGATAAATCTTAATACTTAGGGCCTTAAGAACTAGAACTTAGGACCTAGCATCAATGGATATATTTTCAGTTTTAAATAAATTTATTTATTAGTAAGTTTATTCACAGGTGCCATTCTGAATAGCACAGCAGAAAGTTTGTCAAAAAGTTTTTTTTAGGAAAAATTTTATTGAAATATATGCATACAGAAGAGTGCATTAATCATAAGTGTATATAGCCATTGAATTTTCACAAAGTTAATGGCCCGTATCACTGTATCAAGAAAACAGGACATTACCAGGTCCCTAGTCCCTTCCACCTTGATCCCTCGCAGTCATTGAGTCCTACAAAAACAGACCACTTTCCACACTCCCCTCATCATGGATTCGTTTGGCCAGTTTCTGAGTTTTATATAAATACAATTGTACAGGATGTGTATTTTTCTGGCTCATTTCTTTATTTAATGTTATTTCATGAGATCCATTCATATTATTAACATATAGCAGTAGTTTATCGCTTTTTGTTGCTTTATTGTAATTGATTGCATGATTATTTGCAATTTATTCATCTATTCTATTGTTGACAGACATTTGGGAGGTTTTCAGGTTTTTGGTTATTATAAGTAAAGCTGCTATGAATCTTCTTACACACATCTTTTGAGTGTACACAAACATGCAATTTTGTTAGGCATTTTTCTAGGTATGGAAGTGCTGGGTCATAAAATATATGTGTTTAGCTTTAATAAATACTGCCAAATTGTTTTATAAGGTGATCATACAAATTTATACTCCCACCAGCTGTGTATGAGACTTCCAGTTGTCCCACATCCTTGCCCACACTTGGTGTATGTTCTGCCTTTTTATTGTTAGCTAGTCTGTTGGTTATGTGGAAGTATTTCATCTTGGTTTTCATTTTTATTTCTGCCATGACTAATGAGTACTATTTCCTCTGTTTATTGACAATTGCGATATTTTATTTCATAAAGTGTGGGCTGAATTATTTGTCCGTTTTTCTATTGTGCTGTTTGTTTCTTCTCATTGATTTGTGAGAATGTGGTAGGAAGCCTCTAAAACGTCCTCCAGGGACCATCCCCTGCTGTGTTCCCACCCTTGTGTACCTCTCCCTTGAGTGTGGACCAAATCTAATGACTCACTTCTTTCTTTTCTTTTCTTTTCTTTCTTTTTTTTTTTTGAGATGGAGTCTTGCTGTGTTGCCCAGGCTCGAGTGAGTGGTGTGAGCTCAGCTCACTGCAGCCTCTGTGCCCCAACCCACGTCCAGTTTAAGCAATTCTCGTGCCTCAGCCTCCCGCTTAGCTGGGATTACAGGCGCCCACCACCACACGCAGCTAATTTTTGTATTTTTAGTGAGATGGGGTTTCACCATGTTGGCCAGGCTGGTCTCAAACTCATGACCTCAAGCAATCTGCCCTTGGCCTCCCAAAGTGCTGGGATTATAGGGGTGAGCCACCATGCCCAACTATGATTCACTTCTGATGAGTAGAATACAGCAAAGATGAGAAAGACATCACTTCTGACATCCAGTTACAAGAAGATGGTGACTTCCATCTTGCTGGTTCTCTGTCTGTCTAGCTATCTTTATCAATCAATCATCTATTATCAATCATCTATCTATTATCTATCATCTCTCTGTCTATCATCTATTATCTGTCTACCTATTATCTATCACCTATCTGTCTGTCTATCTATCTATCTATCTATCTATCTATCTATCTATCTATCTGTCTGTCTATCTTGGAGCCTTTGCTCTAGGAGAAGCCAACTGCCTTGTGAGCTGACCTATGGAGTGGGCCACATGGCAAGAAACTGATGTCTCCAGCCAAGAGCCAGAAAGCACCTGGTTCCTGCCCACAGCAGCTCCTCTCCGAGTGAGGTCTTGAGATGACCAGAGCCCCCGCTGACAGCTCAACTCCAATCTCATGGGAGACTCTAAGTCATAGGTACTCAACTAAGTCATGCTCAGGTGTCTGACCCATAGAAACTGTGAGATAATACATATTTGTTGTTTAAGCCCCTAAATGTTGGGATAACTTGTCCTACAGCAAGCAATAGATGAGGTGTTCTTTGTAGATGCTGGATAAGAGTCCTTTGGCATTTATATGTATTGCAAATATCTTCCCCCACTCTTGGCTTTCCTTCCCATTCTTGATTTCTTTAATAAACAAAAGTTCTTACTTTTTTTATGTATTTCAATTTATTATGGTTTTGTTTTATGGTGAGTGCTGATGTCATCTGTTTAAGAAATTTTAAGAAATATTTCCTTATTCTGGAGTCTTTATCTTCAATTGCCTCAATTGAAATGTTATCTTCAATTACTATATTTTCAAAAGAAAAACTCATCCATCAAAATAGAATATGTTTCCTAATAATCACATTATAATGCATAACATTTATTGAGCAATTACTAAGGGAAAAGCACCAAGCTAGTTGCTTTGGCTGCATAGTATAATTCAGCCCTCACAGGTTCTATGTAGCAGAAGGGGGGCGTTTAAAACCAGACCTGTATGAGTCTGTTAAAGTCTTTACCATTTGTTATTTATTTAATTAATATTCTCTTGACACAAGTTTGTCATTTTGAAGCCCTGGCTTCTCTGAAGTACTTTCTGGCTTAATGGGGAGAAGGAAGGATGAAATTGATCAGTTCACGTCTCTTTTTTTTTTTGAGATGGAGTCTGGTTCTTGTTGCCCAGGCTGGAGTGCAATGGTGCAATCGCAGCTCACTGCAACCTCCACCTCCTGGATTCAAGCGATTCTCCTGCCTCAGCCTCCCAAGTCCCTGGGATTACAGGTGTGCGCCACCATGCCTGGCTAATTTTGTATTTTTAGTAGAGACGGGGTTTCATCATGTTGATCAGGCTGGTCTTGAACTCCTGAGCTCAGGTGATCCGCCCACCTCAGCCTCCCAAAGCGCTGGGATTACAGGCATGAGCCACCGCGCCCAGCCCAGCTCACATCTTAAAACACATTGACCTTGTGTGTGTGTCTTTTGGTTTCTGCACAGTAGTTCAAGTTGTAACAGAACATACACCGAGCTTGAGGCATCCTGTCTTCTTGTCTACAGATGAACATTTTGTAGTTATATGAACTTGGATAATAACTTATTTAACCTCTCTGGGTGTGTTTCGCATTTTTCCTAAGCACCCAGCATTTTGCCTTTTCAATGGTGCTCTGAGTTGCTGCAAGGAAGTTACCTTTTTACTCTGGGAGAAGCTTTTGTGAAACAGATCAGCAGCATGGCTCTCTTGCTAGGAAGACAACTGTGTCCCTGGAGGCTCCTACCAGATCCTTCTCCCCATCAGAGCATAGTCAAAGAACAGGAATATACCCCTAGGCTTGGCTAATCAGAATCTCATTCTGGTGAAACAATGGGGTTATGCAAAACTGGAAATTGATTGGTTTTACTTCATTCTTTCTAGTGGAATTGACAGACATTCAAGTAGTTCCCGTCCTGTTTCCACCTCTGCAGCAAGTATCTTGTGAGGAGTGAATTATATCATGCAGCTAAAGCAATTAGCACCGCCTTTCTCTTAGTAATTGCTCAATAAATGTTATGCATTGTGTTGTGATTATTAGGAAACATATATTCTATTCTGGTTAATGAGGATTTTTTTTGACAATAATCACAATAAAACACATTCTATAGCTCAACCTTTATATGCATGATATCTGTATTTGGCAAACCAGGCAAGCTCCTTGGGGTGTCTGATTTATGCTTTAATTCATATTCTTCATCATAACTAAGGGCCTTGTCTCTCTAAGTAACCAAGTACATAGAATGCAGAAAACCTTAGCATAACTAGAAACAGCAATTAAGAAACTAACTTTGAGGATACCTGTATGTCTGTAAGCTGTTTAGTCTTCCTATAAACTATAGTATTCAGTGCCTGTTAGCAATTTGATAAATATGGGTTTAATAATGGAATATTCTCATTCTGGATATCCTATTGGGTCTTAGGTGTTAACTTCTTTGACTTAAATCTTTATAAATTATTTGAACAGAGCCTTTCAGGGTCAGGATGATTATACAACCTGTTTGTATGTAGGTCTCTATATAATTTTTTTTGTACAAATACTCTCAGAGCAATTGTATTTACCCTCTCCTGTCTTGTCTTTTCTTTTAAAAAGAATCAGTAGCTTTAAGGGTACAAGTGGTTTTTGTTTACATGGATGAACTGTATAGTGTGAAGTCTCAGCTTCTATTGTACTCATCACCTGAATAGTGTACATTGTACCCAATAGGTGATTTTTTTAATCCTTCACACTCCTCCCACCTTCCCCACTTCTGCGTCTCCAGTGTTCATTATGCCACTCTGTATGCCTGTGTGTGCCCTATGCTTAGCTTCCATTTATAAGTGAGAACATGCAGTGTTTAGTTTTCTATTCCTGATTTACTTCACTTAGGATAATAGCCTCCCATTCTATCCATGTTGCCGCAAAAGGCATTATTTCATTCTTTTTTATGGCTCAGTGGTATTCCATTGTGTGTGTGTTTGTGTGTGTGTGTGTGTGTGTGTGTATATATATATACATATATATATATATATAGGGAGAGAGAGAGAGAGAGAGAGAGAGACATTCCATGGTGTAACACATTTTTAAAATCCACTTATCGGTTGATGGGTACTTAGGTTGATTCTATATCTTTGCAATTGTGAATTGTGCTGTGAGAAACATAGAAGTGCAGATGTCTTTTTAATATAATGACTTATTTTCCTTTGGGTAGATACCCAGTAATGGGATTGCTGGATCGCAGGGTAGATCTGCTTTTAGTTCTTTGAAAGATCTCTATGCTCTTTTCCATAGAGGCTGTACTAATTTATATTTCCACCAACAGTGTATAAGTGTTCTGTCTTTTGTAAAATAGTTGAATGGGGAGTGAGGAAGATAAAGGGCCCTAGAGAGAGGATGAAGAAGAGAGATGAAGGCTAGGCAAGAAAGCCCCTGATCCTTGTAGCTCAAGGGCTAGGCATGGTTACACTGCTTTGTGTGGCCTGTCCACCTCAAGCAGCCCTCTCCTTAGACTGGGGCTGCTGATACTACAGCAGATCATCCAGGATGCTGGTTGGCCAGGACGTGCTGACACTTTTCTGAGGAGAGGTAGAGACAACCCACAGAGAGGCCAGAGGGAGAACTGGAGCCACAGTATGTTATTTGAGGTAGACCTAGGGAAAGGTGGAGAATGAGATGCTCCTCAAAACTCGTGCTCTACCTAGACACTACTTATGAATTAAAATCTGTCCTAAAAACTCAGGACATAAAACACCAAATAGAACAGAGCAAAAAACAACTGCCCATCATTTGCTGGAGCACTGACTCTGCCATGGTTCTACCTTTCGCTTACTCTTTGGTCTGAGACATGATGATGAAATCCCAAGCCACACCTCATACCTCTGCAGGACATACCTCATATGTGAGCACCAGTTTGAAGTTCAATTTGGGAATCCCAGTCTTAGGCTATGACTCAAGCAGAGGGAAATTCCAAGCTTTTCTTGCAGGGAGGTGGCTCAGCTTTAGAGGCAAAGAGCAGGGGTGAGGGGAGCAGTGGCCCCAACTCTCTCCTGCAGCTGTTTCTCTCCTGACTGCCCATGATCACAGGTTCCTGCTCACTCCTTTTGGACTGTAGCTCCCTCTGAACCTGACCTCTAGAACTCTTCTCTACAGTTAGCTCTATCTAGATTTGGACATATCCCTTTCCCCTTTAAAAATAAGAGTTTAGGAAGGGGAACATCACACTCTGGGGCCTGTTGTGGGGTGGGGGGAGGGGGGAGGGATAGCATTGGGAGATATACCTAATGCTAGATGACGAGTTAGTGGGTGCAGCGCACCAGCATGGCACATGTATACATATGTAACTAACCTGCACATTGTGCACATGTACCCTAAAACTTAAAGTATAATAATAAAAAAAAAAGAAAAGAAAAAAAAATAAGAGTTTAGGTCAGGTTGGTGGCTAACACCTGTAATCCCAGCACGTTGGGAGGCAGAGGTGGGAAGATCACTTGAGCCCAAAGAGATGGAGACCAGCCTGGGCAACATAGTGATACCCCATCTCTACAAAAAATTAAAAAAATTAGCTGGATGAGGTGACGCATGCCTGTGGTCCCAGCTACTCAGGGGGATGAAGTGAGAGGATCACTTGGGCCTGGGAGGTTGAGGCTGCAGTGAGCCAAGATTGTGCTACTGCACTCCAGCCTGGGTGACAGAACAAGACACTGTCTCAAATAAGCAAACACACAAAAAAGAAATAAGAGTTCACATACATTCTTTAGAACACAATGAAGAACAAAGTTGGGAATTTTCCTAAGGAAATTGGTTAAGAATCTAATGTACATAAAGTAACACTTTCCCAAAGAGTGACTGCTAACTTGTAGAAATAAATATTCTATATCTCAGGTAAGATACAATTTGATCACAAATTGGCTCAGCAGGAATATTTGCCTTCTCCCCTAACATACTTCTCTGGCTTAAATGCTGAGCTCATCATGCTGGTGGAAGTTGTTCTGGTGAACTTTCCCTTCCTCTTAGTGCCTGGTTCCTAATTTCTTCTGCAGACACAGCTCCTGGTCACCCACTCTGCTTCTTTACTGTGCAACGTACTCATGTTGCCACCACCCTGCTCAGAATGAGTTGAGCTCCGATTCTTGGCTCCTGAATGAGATCTGAGAAGTTCCTTTTCTTGATTTTAAGCCATTGGCACGGACCTTTAAGCCACCCATATAATACAAGTTTCTAAGGACCCAAAGACTTTTAATCCCTACTTTTGGCTGACCCAATTCTTACTGTCCTGGCTAATTAGTGTCTAAATCAGAGTCCCCCAGAGGGCTTGTTACAAAGTAGAATCCTGGTCCCCACTGCCCACACTGCCATGAGAATCTGCATTGTAGCAAGGCTCTCAAGTGCTGTGTAGAAGTCTAAACTATGCCCTTCGCTTGGTACTTATTAAATGGAGGCACTTAATATGCCAGTAGTGCACCAGGGAAACATAAATGGCAATTTAAAACACTATTTTTGCATTAAAATAAACATAGGTATATTATGGGGTAGAATACACTACTCACAAAACTTTTCAAGTTAAAACAAGAAACCATGAAGTAATTTCTGGTTTACAGTAGGTAATTTCAAACTGTGCCCACAAGGATTTGGGCATGTGCAATTATTACCATCCTCCCTTTTGAGTAATTATGCTGGAAGGTCTGGGAAGCAGGACTTCTTTACCTGTTTCTGAAACTTAACATCTGGGCCTGATTCCATTAATCATAATGTAGCTTTAATAGTGGCTGTGTCTTTCCCAAGGGACAGTACTTGCAATCTTCATGTCATAACCCGCAAAAGACTTCTCTTTTAGATGAAAATTTGGTCATCTTATTGGACAACTACATCCTGTTCCCTGTTTTAAGCCTGAATTCTCAGTGATGGTGTCTTCTGTAAGTTCTGTTGAGATATTTCCCTGTCCTCTCCTCTACACCTCCATCTCCAGAGAGCTGGGTTTTTTTGTTGTTTGTTGTTTTTTGAGATGGAGTCTTGCTCTTTCACCCAGGCTGGAGTGCAGTGGTGTGATCTTGGCTCACTGCAACCTCCCCCTCCCAGATTCAAGTGATTCTCCTGCCTCAGCCTCCTGAGTAGCTGGGATTACAGGTGCGCACCACCACACCTGGTTAATTTGTGTATTTTTAGTAGAAACGGGGTTTCACCACGTTGGCGAGGCTGGTCTCAAACTCCTTACCCCATGATGCTCCCACTTTGGCCTCCCAAAGTGCTGGCATTACAGGTGTGAGCCACCGCGTTGGGCATTTTTTTTTTTTTTTGAAATCTGATTTTCCTCAGGGTTACAGTAGAAAGCATTTTATGCATTCAGTAATAATAAGAGAACACCAAGAGAAGGGCTGTCCTCTATGCTCTCCAAATAACTGACATATTTCCTTAGAGAATTTGGTTGATTCTATTGTGCTGAACATCTAAAGAGGCACAGAAACTAGCAAAGAGGCCTCAGAGATGAAACTAGAAGTGAGTAGCCCACCAATTCCTTAGAAGACCATAAAAGATGCAGAGAAAAACTTGTGGAGTTATTGGAGGTAAGTGCACAGGAATGCATGAAAAATCATATTTAAATTTTGATGGTAGAATCATACCTGATAAAATCCCTTACCAGCAACCACTGTTGTTAGAAGCTCCTGGCTTTATAAGATGGGAGAGAGCAGAAAAACCTCAGTTGTTATTTTAGTATTTCAGTACACTGATAACAGCCTTAAAACATCATTATTATTACTTCTCTTATAGATTAAGAATCCTCTCTGGAACTGTGTAGGAACTTCTTCCTGAACAGAGCTGACACTGGTGATGAAGTGGGGTCATAATGAGAGAATTGTAAGGGAAACTGGTTGCAAATGCTGTACTTGTTCAGTTTATTTGGTCTTGCTTTAAAACAGTTCAAGTGGTAAAATCTCTCCTCAGTCACCAAGGAATCATAGCTATGGCTAAGTAGCTGTGAATTTGAGAAGGAAATGTTTTATAAAGAACAGTTTCATAGGATGCACTGGTTTATGGCCATGTTAGGGCTGACTTAGTAACCTGGGTTGCTTGGGAGGTACTTTCATGCCAATTTATACCTCACTGTAGGGAAAGGCCCAAAATATCAGAATTTCCTTCCCTTGCTATCATTACCACATCTGCCTTCTCCCTGCCAACATAAAGTATGTGCCCTGAAAATGTTCAGCCTTTTTATTCTTTTATTTATTTATTTATTTGAGACAGAGTCTCACTCTGTTGCCCAGGCTGGAGTGCAGTGGTGCGATCTCCTCTTGCTGCAACCTCTGCTTCTCAGATTCAAGTGATTCTCCTGCCTCAGCCTCCCAAGGAGTTGGCATTACAGGCATGCACCACCGCACTCAGCTAATTTTTGTATTTTTAGTAGAGACGGGGTTTTGCCAATTGACTCTGGAAGGTAACCGGATCAAGACCACTACCTTTTCTTGCTTTTTTTTTTTCTTTTTTTGAGACAGAGCCTCACTCTTTTGCCCAGGCAAGAGGCACGATCTCGGCTCACTGCACACTCGGCCTTCTGGGTTCAAGCAATTCTCCTGCCTCAGCTTCCTGAGTAGCTGGGATTACAGGTGTGCACCAGCATGCCTGACCAAATTTTGTATTTTTAGTAGAGATGAGGTTTCTCCATGTTGGCCAGGCTGGTCTCAAACTCCTTTCCTCAAGTGATCTGCCCACCTCCCCCTCCCAAAGTGCTGGGATTACAGGCATGAGCCACCTTGCCGGCCTCAGCCCTTTTATTCTGATGCATGTGAATTAAATTGGAATTTTATGGTAGTTTATAAAGTAATTTACATTTTAGAAAATAGGCTCCTCGGCTCTGAAACAGTTGAGGATCATTTATAAGGACAGAGTGGGCTTAGGTACTGAAGGAATTTTCTCTAGAGCTAAGAATATAGACATTGTCCTGAAAAGATGATATAAGGAAATTATTTTCCAAGCTTTGGATTTTTTTAGCATGATATTGTCCGGCCAGGTTTTAGAAGCTCAACAAATGCTCAATATGTTGCTTATTTTGTAGGAAATAGCAGGTTTGATACAGCCTTTCCCTTAACATCTTCGCTATGCAATTTGAAACTGCATTACTGGGGTTCCTCCTCAAAGTAGGGTGTATGCAATTCCATGGGGAAAATCCTGCCCAGGCCTAATAATAGATGAATAAAATTCTAACATCCTTGGGATTTTCACATGATTGTCAGAAGGCAAAACAGAAGATGATGTAAGTTTAGCAGATATGAATTTTTGGAGTCTATTTTCAATGTACTCTTTAATATCTCAAGTGAGGTAACTTCGTGGCTGTTTATGCTCATTATTTAGTAACAAATAATCAGAGAAAAGCTCTTTGCAGGAAAACTGTTCATTTTGAGTAATAAGCTGGAGCTTAAAGGAAACAATTTTCCTAGCTGTTCTCACTTGCTCTTGATAGGACTAAGCCCCCTGGAGGAGATGAAACTGAAACATTAACCCACCGCGCTGCACAAGTCACCTGAGTTTGCTGAAGGTGCATGGAGATGCCAGGGAGAACCCTCCTCTGCCAGAGAAGAGGTTTTGTAAAATGCCGGCTAAGGCTTTTGGTATCATCTATTTATTAAAATAGCAGCTTTGGCCGGGTGTGGTGGCTCACGCCTGTAATCCCAGCACTTTGGGAGGCTGAGGTGGGTGGATCACTTGAGGTCAGGAGTTTGAGACCAGCTTTGGCAACATGGGGAAACCCCGTCTCTACTAAAAATACAAAAATTAGCCAGGCATGGTGGCACACGCCTGTAATCCCAGCTACTCGGGAGGCTGATGCAGGAGAATCACTTGAACCTGGGAGGGGGAAGTTGCAGTGAGCCAAGATCGTGCCACTGCATTCTAGCCTGGGTGACAGAGTGAGATTCCGTCTCAAAATAAATAAATAAATAAAATAAAATAAAATAAATAAAACATAAAATAGCAGCATTATGGTCTCTCCGTTTCTTGTCACTCCGAGGTGGTCCTCCTGAGGAAATTGGAGCAATAGAAAACTCAGCTGCACTCTGCCTCTCTGCATGGGTGGTTTGTGCTGTCTTTTCTCTCAGGAAGTCTTGGGATCAAAAGTGCTGAGCACAAACAAAAGGGGTGGGCCAGCTTCCTTGCCCCTTTCAGTTCCTTGCCGTTCTGCACTTGAATAAAAAGATCCATGACATTGTTTTTGTGAGTAAGCTTAGATGAAGGGCCCTGGTAGGTTCCTTTTCAAATACCCAGGAAGTAATGTGTCTTATAAAAAGTAACATTTGTATAATTAAAATAAGATAAAGTAATAAAATAATAAATAATAAGTTAAACCAGGCTGAATGTCTCCTAGAGACACTAACAATAGTAGTATTTGAGTATAAGAAAATAGATGAAAAAAATAGATTTCATGTGAAATCCAGATCACACTGGACCCTTCTGATCTAATTAAAAACCTTTCAGCCTGGCTGGTTGGCTTGGCTGTTCCATGCTTTCTGTAGAGTATTTCCACCAGAATGTGGGAGTTCTGGGAAGCCTGAGGCCGTGTCTGATGTGCTGAGTGATAGGGAGCTGGTTAATGTGGTTCCTGGAAGAAGCGATGACTTTTCTCTACGTGCTGCTTCTATTCTGAACACACCTCAAACCACTCAACACGCTCCTTATAGATCTTGGTTAAAAGCCATTTCCCAGCCCCCGAAGTGCAGCTATCATACGTGGGACTATTTTTGAAATTTATCAGACAATGCACCATTATATATTTGAGGGAGACCTTAGATTTTATTTGTGAATACATTTTTATTTGAAATGAGATGTTTAACAATGTTAAAAATGTTGAAAAAATGGTAATCATGCCATCTCAACACAACTGCTGCCATTTTTTGCTTATTATAATGTTCATGTTTTATATAGCTGCAATTGTAGTATCATTTTAGCTCTGCTTTTTATTTTAATAACACTTCACATTTTTCACATTGCCATATATTTTTCTTAGCTATTTTTCTCAGTGTCTGCATCTTAATTTATTGTGTAATGTAACTACAATGTCTTGTTGACTGTTCAAATTGTGACTTTTTTTCGTTTCCTCTTTCTTCATAGGGTTTTTGCTTCTACTGAATTATTTTCTTGGGATAAAGTCTTAGGAATAAAATTACTAGGCTACAGTTTATGACAGTCTTTGTTGTTCTGCCTGTTCTTTGTCATATTTCTTTCCCCAAAAATGTTTAT
Source organism: Homo sapiens (assembly GCF_000001405.40). NCBI lineage: Eukaryota > Metazoa > Chordata > Mammalia > Primates > Hominidae > Homo > Homo sapiens. The sequence goes on along the minus strand of NC_000010.11, from coordinate 33,565,510 downwards.
AATACCAATGCCAACAGTAATATAGCAGTGAATGTATAACACTGTTTTTTTAAGCAAATTGCTGATACTATTTTTTTTTTGCTAATTCAGGTGAAAATAAATCCTCAAGTTTGCTTTAGTATGCAGTTCTTTGGTTATGCTTGTGAAGATATAAATTATTTCTCCATGTTTGTTATTTGTATTTCCTCTTGTACCAATTATCAGTGTGATAGATTTCATAATTTCTCCTGTGCTTTGGATTCATCAGTTTTACAATGGGGTTTAGAAAACTTGCACAGCTGATTAGGTCTCCATAAACTACCTAACTCTTTCATTGCCCTGAGGAATGGCTTTACAATTTTTTATATATATAAAAGTATATATATATAATTATGTATAAATATATACATAATTATATTCTATATAAATTATTTATATAAATATATATTATATAATTATATATAATTAAAATATTTATATATTATATATAATAATATAATATATATTTATTTATATATAATATAATGATATATAATTATATATTTAGATAATTTTTTTTTGAGACAAGGTCTTGCTCTGTTGCCCAGGCTGGAGTGCAGTGGCACAATCTTGGCTCCCTGCAGCCTCCATCTCCCAGGCTCAAGCAATCCTCCCACTTCAGCCTCCCAAGTAGCTACGACTAACTACAGGAACGCACCATCATGCCTAGCTATTTTTTTTTTTTTTGGTAGAGACAGGGTTTCACAATGTTGCCCAGGCTGGTCTCAAACTCCTAGGCTCAAGTGATCCCCCTTCCTTGGCCTCCCAAAGTGCTGTGATTACAGGCGTGAGCCACCATGCCTGGCCACAATGATATTTTGATTCATAAATGTTACTGAACAAATATTTGGAGCCACTGTTGGTCGGGCTCTATGCTTTCCTTCTGTGGTCTCATTATAGTCCATATTTCATCCCATTGCAGAAAAGTCAGCAGCAATAACCTTAAGCCAGTTACTCTCAGTGGAATAATAACTATTTTGCCAGAGAATTAGAACTTTAGAAGACTTAAGCTATTTAAGGCACATATCTTAGCTGAAGAGTCCAACTTTTCCAGCACATGTAAAGGCCCCTCTGTTATTGTCTAGGCAGACAGCATTGTTGCTGGACCAAAAAACTCCATCATCTTCCTCAAGTTCAATCAGTATCCTGAGTGCCTAGCACAATTCTTAATGTGTAGCAGGTGTATGATCACTATGGATGAAGGAATGGATATAGCGTGATCACAACATTATTCTTTTTTTTTTTTTAAGATGGAGTTTCACTCTTGTTGCCCAGGCTGTAGCGCAATGGCACGATCTCAGCTCACTGAAACCTCTGCCTCCTGGGTTCAAGTGATTCTCCTGTCTCAGCCTCCCGAATAGCTGGGATTACAGGCTCCCACCACCATGCCCGGCTAATTTTTTTTCTTATTTTTAGTAGAGATGGGGTTTGTCCATGTTGGCCAGGCTGGTCTTGAACTCCTGACCTCAAGTGATCCACCCACCTCGCTCTCCCAAAATGCTGGGATTACAAGCATGAGCCACCGTGCCTGGCCAACACTGCTATTTTAATACATAGATGATACCAAAAGCCTGGCCAACATTATTCCTACTACAAATAGGATGTTTGAAGAGGATATGGATTCTTTATTTAATCTCTAACTGACCTGATCTTTTTTATGAGCTGGGAGCCCATTTGCTAGGTAGTGGGAGAAAATCTTTAGATCAGTTTAAATCTCCATTGGAAACAAAAATTGACACTCTCTTTTGAGGTTTAACTTAGCCTTTTCGGTACAATTGAGCAGTCTTTCAGATTGGTCCTCTGTCTCCTGGCTTGTCTCTGAGATGTTACTCCAGGGACCGCAGATGCTGGGCTGACTTACATCGCCTGGGGAAAGGGGCCCCCAAAGCGGATTTGACTCTGCTCTAGCTGCCAGAGCTGATCCACATGTTGGTGGTGCTCTTGGTCACTATGGCTGATGAACTCATGGCCTATTCCTGTGCAAGTTGGTCAGGTCCCTGAAGGTTTGGCCTTTTCTCATCAGCTGATGGTGCTGCAGTCACTGCCGAGTGTCTGGCGTATCCCCCATCTGTCCCTGACCCAGCCTATATGTCTCTCAGGCACCTTAACAGCCACCATCTATTGGTTCAGTAGACCCACATAGGCTTGGACCACCAAATAAGCCACCTCTGCCTAACCACGGTGCTTCCTCTTCATAACTGGGCCAAGGCTGCCTCATGTTGGAGAAATACACAAAAATGCAAAAAAGAAAAGGAAGCTAGCATTTTCCCAAACATTACCACTGTTCCGTGAAAGAACGGGTGTTGACAGATATTCACAAAGAAGTATATTGCATGACCCTCAGCGTGAAGAAACTTACAAATACATTTGGAAGGTGGCTTGGAGGAATGTCTTGAAATCTTAACCCAATATCTCATACCACCTATAAAACTGAGATTCAAACATTCTTGACCTGTTCTTGGTTACTTACTCCTTGTCACTGTGGAGGAAAGAGTGAAGGTTTGTAAAGAGAGAGGCCAAGAGTCTAGTGCTAATGGAAGTCCTTCCAAAGGGAAAGAAAGATCAGGGGTGTGGAAAAGGTGCCATACTCTCACAGTTCATTCCAGGTATCATTTTCCCACACTGGAGGGAACAAAGATGCCAGAGAGGCTCTGGTAGTGTCTCTGCTTTTGCTAGGACTAGTCCTAAGCTCTTTTGCTTCCTTTCCACCTTCTTACTGATTTTCTCTCCTTACTGCACTCCAACCTCCCACCCAAAGGACCGAGGCAGCATGAAGAAAGCTACCCAGGCTTTTTTTCTCAGCACTTCTAGCCTACTACAGTGGAGAACCAACCAGTCTCCATCTTCTAAGTGGGGGATCTTAATAACGTTGACTGCCTTAAAAAACAAGCGCAGTATTTACTTTCATAAGACGTTTGACCTCCAAGTGACATTTTATATTTATTTGTATTGTTATTCTTTTTACCAAAAACAAAAATTTTAGTCAATATCTTGATTGAAATTAGGTTGCTATTAAACTTGTTTCAGAAGTCCCGAGTCTGTGCCAGCAGAGGAATGGGGAACCAATGGCGGTGAATTAGGAGGTCTAAGAAGCAGCCAGTCCAGGATCTGCTATTTTCAGCAAGTAAATTCCCCACTGAGAGTCAGGGGTTGCATGCTTTGCTGGGAACGGTGGAAGAAAGAAGTCACATTCTGTTTGGCTGTCAGAGAGGCACTCACCCCCTAAGATTCAGGGAAATGCTTTTGAATAAACTTCCACCAAGTGAACTGCGGGCAGTAGTGGGATATCACCCTCTAAAGTCTCCCCGTGGACAAATCCCATCCAGGGTGTCCGGGCTCACTTAAGGAAGGAGGTGCTGGTGCCCGCTGCCTGCTCCTGGCAGCTGTAAGAAAATGGAAGCAGTTTCCTGGAGTCTGAGACAGGAATGGTGGGGGGCACAGAGGGTGCCACTTTGCTTCCCATAAGCAACACCTCTCCTTGTTACATAATTTCCCCCCAAACCCACACAGTAGGCAAAATGCATGCTAAAGAGGCTTTCCTTAGCCAAAATATAATTTTCTGCACACTGTGATTAACAAAGCCTTCTTCTTCGCACCATGGGTCTATGATTGGCCCTGATTACTCAACAATAGGACGTCAGGGGTAGGGTACTTGGTTTCCTAGCTCATCTTCTCCCTTTTCTCCCATCAAGCAATAATCATGGTGATTCTCAAATGCTAAACTCACTAAGGGCTGATTTGCTGCGCTTGCCACTTATCCAACCAATTTAGCAGCAAGGCCCTCTTGGGACCTTATCTCTGGTTTGAATCATGTCCCCCACACCTGAGAGTGAATGAAGACGTTGTCTGATCTGATGAGAATACCGGGTGATTTGTTGTGTGGCTGATTGAATCTCAGGTGAAGGGCAGAGGTGGTGGTGGCCGATGTGGTCACTGGAATATGGTGGCACCCATGACCTTTCTTCACCTTCCCCCATCTGAGTGCCCACCAGCCCTTCTAGGTACGCACTGGGCAGCATGTGCCATGGCAGGGGAAGCGATGGAGAGAGAGTTGCAGGACACCATGGGGACACACCTGCTTTGCACATGAGGAAGAAAGCTGGGACCCAGGGGGCTGATTGTGCTGTACAGACTCAGAGGTTCAGGGTGTCAATGTCCCCACCCCCATCCCCACAGAGGGAATGATTTGATCTGAACTCTACTGGGGGCATGTGTGACAGGCACCACGGCAAGGCTGCCCTTTCAAGGAACCATAACCAGGCGTCAGTGACAGGACTTCATGAACTTGTTAGCAGGGTGAGTTTGTCTTTCAGTCCCCTTATATACCTTTTTGGACCCTTCTCTGTTTCCTTGGGTTCTCTACTTTGAATATGTGGCACTGTGTCACCCATGTACTACCCAAACTATTCCTAAATATTTCTTGAAAGTATCTTAGCTAGCAAGAGAATCATAATTTTTTTTTAACTTGGCAAAAATCTTTTCTTCCTATATTGACTAACCTCAACCCCAAGTGTCCCCTTGGGCCTTATTTCTATCTAAAATAACTGTTAGTATTGAGTTTTCCTGCCCTGACTCTTTCCTGAATTCCACTTCTGCCAAAACTTGCCTTCCCTTGGTCTCCTCACTTTAACCTCTTCCCAGAAAACTTGTGGAGTCCATGCATTGAAGCAAGAGGTAAACAGACAATAAGCAATATCACATGTCTGTTGTAACTGGTGATACAATACCTTCACCCAAAGAAGTGACTTCAATATCAGGAATCTTAGACCCTCAGTCAGGGAAATGGATGGATGGGGTGGAATACATCAGCTTTTCAGAGCCCTTCAATTCCCATTCGCTGCCCACTCAGATTACACTTAGGGTAGCTTAATTGCCACACACACCCTTGTTCCAAAGCTATATGTGGGGCATCTCTTTAGAGTGGCCATTTTTTCCCAACTGAAAATTAAAAACTATGATCTAAAAAGCAGTACCTTATGAAATAAGTTGTGAATTTGTGGATAGAACAAAGAGAAGTCTATAAAAACACATTATTTAGGTATACAATAGAAATAATTCTTATCAAAAAGAAAACGATTGTAAGGAATTGGAAGTGTCTCAGAATATTGAAGCTATGTGGTTGTATGGTTTCCGTGTCGGGTACTATGGTGACAGGGCCATACACAGTGGAGGGAGAGCCTTGGGTCAAGAGACCGTGGTGATTATCACGGCAGTGCCACTAGCCAGATGTGTGACTTAGAACAGGTCCTCTAACACCGGAGGATGTCCTTCTTCTTATCCTCTAAACAAGAAAGAAAATAGAAAAGAGGTGCATACAGCATTGACTGCAGCATCCGACGAACCTCAGTTTCAGTTATGATGCTGGCTCTGCCATGTGTTAAGTAGTGTGACCTTAGGCAGGTGACATCGCAGCTCTGAGCAGCAGTTTCCTCATCTGTAAAATATGGGTAATAACAGTGGCCAGCTCATTGGGCTACACATGGTATGGTTAACAAATAATAAGTCATTATTATTGAATGATAAATGGTAGCTATAATTATAAAATTAAAATATTATGATGAGATTAATTAGATTCAGGATTCCTTCCTATTTTAATCTACTTATTGGGAGACAAGGAGAAAGGAAATCGAAGGAAAAGTTTATAGGCTGTTACTACACCCTTATTTTTCCTCCATTTACCTCAGTGATCTAGAACAACCTAACACACTTTCCAGACCTGAACCACTCAGCCAGTTCCCTTCTCACCTCACTCCCAACCAAGAACATTTCTGGAGAAGAGGTAGACTGTGTATCTTAAGCAGAATTCCTCAGTTTCATTTCCCAAATGAGCTCTGTCGGGAATCCAGAATCCATCTCTCTAATAGTGACCTTCCCCCGTGAAAATTAAAGACTAATTCATCTAAAGACAGCCAAATGCAAAATTGCATTTGTAAACTAACACAAGCTAAATCATCATTCTTAAACTTTGTGGCAAATAGGAAGCTTTTAACCTCAGAACACTTAAGAATTTGGGTTTTAAGAAGCCATAACCCAAAGGTAATACATGAATCTTTTGCAAGGGAACTTCCTGCCATACTGTTTTGCTGTGGTTTTCATCCCACCCACCTAAACCTCATGAAAGTAAAAATAATGATCAATCATGCAAAGTGGGACTTGTCTGAAGGAACTGAAATGCGATAGAAGATGAGTGCCAGCAATGCATTGCAGCAGATGCAGGTTATCCAAGCCAGGAGATGATTCATTCATATTTGGCACTGACTGAGGGAGGGGCAGAGATGAATCCCAGAGCAACTGCACTGCGTCCTGACCGCCTGGTGTTCACTTCTGCCCTACTGCAGCATTTGAGTAGCCTGGGTGTCCACGTAAGTCAGTAGCTCCAGTCAGCAAAGAGAGTGTGCCTAGCTCCGTGCTCAGGGCCTCAAGAAACCAGAGTGGTGACTGTTAGAAAAACTTAGCTCATTATTTTCTGATCTTTCCCTTAAATGAGAACTTTATGAAAAATTCACACGTATACTCCCCACCACCTTGTAAAATAATCTTTGAAACTTGTGGGTTGATAGGTGGTTGATGGATGATGCTTTTGCAGTGTAAAGATAGAGTGAAGCAGAGGTAACTTTGAGGGTGCAGGATTAACTCCAATCACTGTGATTCTGGTGAGTACAGTCATCTGACAGATCCCCCATGAGTCTAGGTGCTCCATGCAAGCCCAGATGGCGAGTACTTTCTCTCTCCTCCAAGCCACTTTGATTAACTCATTCATCTTATCAACTCATTTAAAAAATACTTGTTAACCATGAACTAGGTGCCTTAAATGGAAAGATAAAGGCATCATAGTTCTTGCCTTCAAGAAGCTCATCGTCTTGAAAACTGATAGTGATAACAGAGAAAACAAGAGATGACGCTGCTACAGGTGGGTGACCTCAAAGTGCTGTGGCTGCCCACAGAAGAACTCGGAGAACTCCTCAAAGGCTCCCCAAGGAAACACCATCTGAGACCAAAGAGAGCAGTGACACTGGACCAAGGAGAAGGTGGCTGTCATCAATGAAGGAGTAGGATTCTAGGTGGGAAATGTCATCTAAAATTCAAGTGGCGGCCAGGCGCCGTGGCTCACGCCTATAATCCCAGTACTTTGGGAGGCCGAGGTGGGCAGATCATCTGAGGTCAGGAGTTTGAGACCAGCCTGGCCAACATGGAGAAACCCCGTCTCCACTAAAAATACAAAATTAGCTGGGCGTGGTGGCGTGCGCCTGTAATCCCAGCTACTCAGGAGGCTGAGGAAGGAGAATCACTTGTACCCGGGAGGTGGAGGTTGCAGTGAGCCAAGATCACGCCATTGCACTCCGGCTTGGGCAACAAGAGTGAAACTCCGTCTCAAAAAGAAACAAACAAACAAACAAAAACTCAAGTGACATTTTGAAAAATCCATTTAATTTCAGCAGTTTAATTTCTGAAGTTTAGTCAGAGATTGAAAAGGCCTTGTTCTTCCTGCCCGACTCCTGCGTCTGAGACAAAGTGCCAAGCTGCACAGAAACAAGAGATTGTACCATGTTGGCTTTCCGGAGGGATGCTGGAGGTGGGCTTCCATGCTGTCTCATGGACCACAGACACTCTTGACTACGGAATGATGTGACCAAGACAGGTGGAAGGCAGTGAGGGCTCACTGGAGTAGGAGAGAATTAAGCTGAATAAGTTCACAATCTTTCTAGGGGATACAGGATTTAGAAAGGGCGGGCACTAGGAGGCGTGGTATAACAAATGGAGCTGTTGTCCCAACCCTGCCACAACTAACCCTAGCATACCTCAATTCACCCACTTCTTTGGGAAGCAAAAATACAGTAGTAGAGGATGCCTGGAGCAGCCTATGAAGTATTCCAGCCATTCTGTCCTGCTGAAAATGTGGATACTCATTATCATCATTTTTAACAGTGACCCCATCAATGAGCACGATGCCTGGTGTTTTGTGTCATGTGAGGCTTTCAGCCCACATTGAGGTGCAGCAACTCATATCACCCACCTCACTGGGTTGTTGGAAGATGAAGTGAAAGTGCTTTATTAACTAAACAGTACCACAGAAACACAGAGTATTCATGTTATTTTATTATTATCATCCTCACAAAATCCTCAGAGGCAGGAGAGGCAGGCATTATTAACTCTCATTTTTGAGTTGCAGGAACAGGGAAGATGGGGAGGAAAAATGCAATGTGTAGACTAAAAAAGCTATGAATGCTTATCCTCCTGGAAAAAAAAAAAAGAAAATGAAGCAGTAGATTTTACACACTCTCTTCTAATCCAGTAATTTCAAGTTTTAAAAAAGTGGTTTGATAGAATTTTACTTTTTCCAAGGATTTGTCTGAGAGAATAGTCAGAAAGAGGTCTTTTTTCCTCCATTCTTCACCTTATAAACATTACATTTGGCATGGTTATCACAGAGAATGAAAAAAAACTTCGCTGCAGCAGATTTTTTTTTTCTTAGTGACAACTGACTTTAAAAAAAAAATGAGAGTGTGTGTTTGGGAGGGGCAGGCGGGCAGGTGCAGAAATGATCACCAGCACAATGTTCGCTTGCCTTTCCCTGGAGGACAGAGCAGATTCTGAGCACCAGAGGATCTTTGTTCCTGCCAGCTCTCCTCCGCTCACCCTGTCATCGATCCCCTCTGTGAAGGGTCTTTGTCATCTGTGGCTCTAAGTGCTACCGCGGCTGTGGGCTGATGAGAGGGGCGGCTGTGTTTGGGCGCCCAGGAGTGCTTCCGTGGCTAGAGTTCCCCGCTGAAGAGGGCTTTATCTTGATGGAAGGAGCCAGTGGCCAGACACCATGAATGATTTTGCCCTTTGCATCAGCTCCAGGACAATGTACTGTTTGAGCCGGCTAGCCTGTGAGCCAGTCACAGTTGTTGCTTTTTTAGGTGGGGTCCAGGGAAGACGGATGACAAGTAGATGGATCTCAATCAGGAATCAGGCCCATCTAAGCCAGGGGAGAGGTCACACTGAAAGCAGCATTCACTGGAAAAGGGGGACCCTCCCGATAGCTGCAGGCAAGACCCATGCTGAAGAAATAGGACATGATTTGAGTGAGGATGGCTCTAAGTTTGGGGCTGTCCCATTTTCTGCCCTTGTCTCAGTGAAATTATTAATGGTGCTCCCTCTCACCCTCAAGAGTCACTCTAATTTTAGGCATGACACTGTGCCTGCTATGCTACAATGTCCTGACACAGATTGGCCAATATTAAAATCCTGCCTAACATTTACTGACCACTCATTAGGTGACTGCAATGGTGAACCCAAAGATTTCTTTTTCTTTCTTTCTTTTTCTTTTTCTTTTTTTGTCATCCAGTCTGGAGTGCAGTAGCACAATCATAGCTCACTGCAGCCTTGAACTTCTGGGTCCAAGTGATCCTCACTTCTCAGCCTCCAGGTAGCTGAGACTACAGGTGCACACCATTGTGCCAGGCTAATTTTTAAATATTTTTGTAGACTTAGTGTGTTAGTCCATTGTGTTGCTATAAAAAAATACCTGAGACTAGGTGATTCATAGAGAAAGGAGGTTTATTTGGCTCATGGTTCTGCAGGCTTTATAAGCATGACACCAACATCTATCTGCTCAGCCTCTGGTGAGGTCCTCAGGAAGCTTTTACTCATGGTAGAAGGGAGAAGGGGAGCAGGCATGTCACATGGTGAGAAAGGGAGCAAGAAAGCAAGGAGGAGGTGCCAGGCTCTTTTTAACTATTAGATCTTGCAAGAATTAATAGAGAGAGAAATCAATGCATATTCACAAGGATGAAACCAAGCCATTCATGAGGGATCCACCCTCATGACCCAAACACCTCCCACCAGGCTCCACCTCCAACACTGGAAAGCACCTCTCAGCAGGAGATTTGGAGGGGACAAACCTCCAAACCATATCAGATAGGATCTTCCTATGCTGCCCAGGCTGGTCTTGATCTCCTGGCCTCCAGCAATTCTCCCACCTTGACTTCCCAAAACACTGGGATTACAGGCATGAGCCACTGCATCTGTCCCCTAAATTTCAAATATTTCAAACCTCCTTTGTTGTTTGATGTCATGCTGAAAGGTGTCATGATTTGATGAAAATGAGAGAGATCACTATAACTCAGAGCTCCGTGGTGGAGCCCAGCTTCCCAGGGCTTGCGGCAGATTCAAAGCTGAGTGGATTCTCAAACAAAACACTGTCACCTGCAAAATGGTGGCAAGAAGCCACCGGGTGCTTGAGGGTCTTCTGCCTTCTCATTTAAGGGGGAATGTGGGGTTGAACTCGGATGAAGATCCAAAATTGGATTTCGTGAGTATGAAAAGCCACACTTCTTTGGATTTCTGATGATTACCGTTGAAGGAAAAACAAATATTCATCTACCACAATACAAAGTGAGTTTTTTTTTCACATTACCTAAAATAATTTTTTATACAAAAAAATTGTGAAATAATACAACTCTGGACATAATTGCAACACCATATTTATCTATAGGCTCTGTTGAAGAAATAGGTAAAATAATAATTCTGTTAAAAAAAAAAGGAAAACATGACTTCTTTCTCTTGGTGTGAAAATAGTGGATTACCTTACCTGTTGGTGCTAAAATTCTATTCGGAGTCTTTTAAATTCTACAACAAGGTCTTGATCCTTTAACTTTTTATTCTAAATCCCACACAGGTGCCCTTTTGTGATACTTTATTGTTTCACCTGCCATCGGCAGTATAGATGGTATTAAAGGTCCCCTAAGAAGTCTACATAACATTGCCTTTCTATTTCTAAGATTGAATTTTTGTCACTTGTATCCCTCTGAGGCTCTGAAATCAGGGCATTTACTGTGTAGCCCTAACAGAAATCTTCTATATCTCTGACTCAAGCAAGATCTTTTGGGTACCTTGATTGTGGGCTGATTTTATCAAATGAACCAAGGAAACAAAGGAAAGTACATTCATCTCCTCTCCTGCAGTTTATCAAGAAGGTCCTTGGATTGCAAGGATTCTTTACTCAATCTCTACTTCTTTATTTCAAGATTATAAAATGTAAAGGGCTATCTTAACCAAGGACAAAAACCTCTACCTACATTAGCAATTAACATTAACCCCCTTTTATAATCATTCCATTTTCCCTCCTGCTGTTCTAGGGAAATCTGAATTAAAAAGCCTGGTGCTGCTCAAGGGCAATTAATAGCACTGAGATGACAAAAGATCTTAGAACAGCTGACAAAGTGGCCCTGGGAGGGAACTGGGCCCCGGCTCAAAGTCACGGTGGGAAGTGTGTGCCCCGTGCTGCATGGGCTTTACGCATGAAGAATGAAAAGATTTTCATCACCCAGGATAATGCAATTAAAAAGTACACCACCAGAAGCCACCCCATGCCAACTTGCTCAAAATTGGGCCTCAGACCCAGGGGCCGAATTGAAATTCGAAGCTGAAACATCTCCTTCGGCAGAGAGGGAGGGGAAGCGGGGGTTCACCCGCCTCCTTGTGCAGACAGGTGCCTGTTAGGGGAATGGAGGGGACATATGTTCATTGCCCATGGTAAGAAATGATTAGAGGACCTAGGAAGTGTGGACAGAGGGAGATGTGACTCATGTCAGAGGAGAAGCTAATTAAAAGGAGAATGTTGGGTCTCTTTTATTCCTTTCTGCTCAGTGTTTCTGCCCTGTGCTGTACACACACAATTTAACATGCATGGAGAAAGGAGAACAACCATCTCTAATTGCCCGAAAATGACATAGTATTTGTTGTCCTGAATGCCGCTTTGCCCAGGTGGAAATTGTTTTCCTGATTAGCCTGCTCACACAGACTGCTGTGGTCCACTGTACAGTTGGGATTTTTTTTCTCTCTCTCTAATCTCAGTGAGATGAACACAATTCAGTCTGTTGATTGCTGAAACAACAGGAGTAATCGTTCCAGACAATGACCACGACTCCAGACTGGCAAGAGCACCAGGGGAGAGGGAAAGGTCCCCTTCACTAAGAAGAGCCACATGGAGAACAGGTAGGCCTGGCCTGCTTCCCATTCCTCCTCCAGCTGCTCTCTGGAAGCTATGCTGCTTCCGCTGCAAGACACACAGTTCAAAAGGTTGACCCTTCTTACCCGACTTCTGACATGCTTCTGTAATGGTAATGGGTCAGTTGCCCAATGCACACAGCAAGTCACTACATTGCAGAGAGAAAGGGGTTTAATCATAGGGCCATCAAATGAGGACATGGGATGAAAACTCACATCCGTCTCCCTGAGGAGTTTGGGGCTAGGGTTTTTAAGGGCTTTGGAGTGGTCTGAAGTTTGGAGATCATTGATTGGTCAGAATGCAGAATAAAGTCATGGGACAAGGAGATGAAGAAGCTGTATTCTCATGCTGCTTCTTTTCCTCCGTGGTGGTCTTCAAACCAGTGGGCATCAGCTGTTTCACTGGGATTCAGGATGTGAAAAACACCTTAAGCAAAAGCCTTATGACCTAATGCTGGAGATCCTATCTGTCTTTAACAAAAGCCGTATGATTCTAACTCCAAAAATCCTATCTCTAGGAACAATGGGAATGCAAATGGTGAGTATCTAGTGCTACATGACTTTCCACTACAAGGAAGTGGGCCAAAGTACAGCTGATAAATGCTTAATTATAACTCGATTTCTGTTAATTCTTGCTAACCCTGTGAGTTCACTTCCCACCCCGAGGTTACTGGTAGAGCACACACACTCCACCAGCAAGCCTGACCAGCCTGTTGAGCTTTAACCAGCAGGCGTTGTGCTACAGCTGACTGTGAAGGATTCATGTGGGTTTGTTACCATTAAAGCTTCAATGCAAACGGATAATTTTCACTTTTCTGTCCAATCACAAATGTTTTCTATGGAATATGTGATGGGAAAGAGTGAAGGGATATACAAAAAAAAAAAGTTGGGGAAAATGCACATACATGCAACAGCTAAGGGAGCCAAAAACGTTTCAACTACAGTAATGAGACAGCCAAATATAAAGAGGTCCCTGGAGAACCTATGCCTGGCCTGCGCACTGGGAGGGTGGGGTGGAGCCACAGGAGTTCATGCCATTTGCAGCAGGGAGGAGCCTGGCCCCTCTTGTTCCTGGGTGGAAACCTGGGATTCAGTCTATGAGATGGGGGCTTATTAACAGGAACCTCTCTTGCTTTGCTGAGTTTCTTTCCTTTATGCTCAGTAAATTCCATTTTTCTCACCCTTCCGTGTATCCACGAACCTAATCTTTCCTGGTCCTGTGACAAGGATCCCGCTTTTAGCTTAACTAAGGAGAACGTCCTACAACAGTAATACTGGCAGCTAAAATTTGCGGATTCCTCTGTGCCAGGTAGTGTGCCCAGCCTTCATGTGTGCCATTTTTAAATGTTCACAATAAACCCAGAAGGTAGATCATTTTATGGCACCCATTTTACTAATGGGAAAGCTGAGGCATAAGGAAGTTAAAGAAAGCAGCAGAGCTGGAATCCGTACTGGTCAGTCTGTCTCTGAACTTGACCCAGACTCCTAGCCAAGAGCCCTGCAAGCTGAAAGTCCACGGAGAACAGAGAGAATCCAAGATTCTTAGTGATGGGGCTCATTTCTGGTTAACAAAGCTAGAAGATTGTTGGCTGCAACATGGATGGAGCTGGAGGCCATTTTCCTTAGCAAACTAATGCACGAACAGAAAACCAAATGCGGCATGTTCTCACTTATAAGTGGTAGCTAAATGATGAGAAGACATGGACACATAGAGGGAACAACACAAAATTGGGGCCTGTCAGGGGCTGGAGGGTGGGAGGAGGGAGAGGATCAGGAAAAATAGCTAATGGGTTGTGAACTCAGAAAATCTGAGACAGGTCTCAGTTAACTTAGAAAGTTTATTATGGCAAAATTGAGGATGCACCTGTGACAGCCTCAGGAAGTCCTGATGACACGTGCCCAAGGTGGTCAGGGCACAGCTTAGTTTTATACATTTTAGGGAGACATGAGCCATCAATCAATGTACGGAAGAAGTACATTGGCTGGGTCTGGAAAGGTGGGATGACTTGAAGCAAAGGCAGGAAGACTGGAGCGAGGAGGAGCTTCCAGGTCACAAGCAGGTGAGACACAAATGGTTACCTTCTTTTGGTTTCTGACTAGCCTTTCCAAAGGAGGCAAATCAGATATGCATTTATCTCAGTGAGCAGAGGGGTGACTTTGACTAGAACGGGAGGCAGGTTTGCAGTTCCAGGCTTGAGTTTTTCTTAGTGACTTTTGGGGCCTAAGATATTTTCCTTTCACAGGGTACTAGGCTTAATACCTGGGTGATGAAATAATCTGTACAACAGACCCCCATGACACAAGTTTACCTATATAACAAACCTGCACTTGTACCCCTGAACTTAAAAGATAAAAAATTAAAACAAAAAACTACATGAAAAATGGCAACTACTGCAATTTGCTGCAAATGAGTTGTCTAGCCAAACCAAATAATGGGCTTTCCGGAGCAGTGACCATTTATGTCATTTATGTCTACACCTACCTTTGTGCTTATCTTATGCAGAGCAGCAACAGCTATGGGGCCTCTGGTGTGACAATGATTCATACACAAAGATTCTTGAGAAAGACACAGAGTTGCAGCCTGAAATCTAGAGCATGAGAAGGTGATTGTATCCAGGATTCACAACACAAAATGTGCTTGGGAAGGAGGAGGGGGAAGGAGGGGCTGGAAGGAGGAAGGTGGGGAGAAGTGTTTCTTAAGAGGTGCAATTCCTTTGGGAAGAGTGTGTCTGTGAATGGTAGTCAGTGAAGAGAGAGGGCTACTCTAAAAGCTAAAACCTCCTTCTCTTCAGAATGAATAGCTCTTCTTGTCTGTGCTCTATTGGCAATTAATGATACACTATCACATAACATCTCCTTTACTACTATCTTGTATTATTGTTTCCAGCTTTATTGTTTAATTCCTCATGTGTTATCGACCTGTCTTCCAAACTCTAAGGTAAGCTCTTTGGTGCGGGGGGAAATGAAATTTTAAGATTACTTTTAACACTTATCATACATAATGGAAACCTAGTCCATATTTATCTCATGATAAGATGCTTGTACTTACTCTTTTTCTCTTAGTTTATGGTAACAAAAGTAATTTCATTTAAGATGTACCAGAAGGGCTCAAAGAAGAATAGTAGAAGGAGTCTTTTCACCACCACTTCAGCTACTTTTTTCATGTATCCAACCATCTGCTGAGCCATTATCCAGTGTTCCTAGAATTATGCCAGTGAGAAAGGTACAAAAAAGCGTAAGTACATGGCCATGTCTCTAGGATCTTGCAGCCTAAAGGAGGAAGGAGGACAGGTCATGCCTACTAACAGGGGAAAATGGAAACACGTGAGGGTCTCAGAGCTGGTAAGCACATCATCACACACCTGTCTATTAACCTGTTCATTCAACTGATAAAAATTTCTTGAGCGTCTACTGAAAATTGGGGTACATCCATGAATAAGAGATAGAGATCATATTCTCATGATCTGTCTCATTCTAAGGGGTGAGACAGATATTTACAAAATCATGTCAATGCTTATTTAATTATGAATGAAATGAAGAAGAAACCTCTTCAAGCACAAGTTTGTATGACAGTCTACAATGGGTGGGAGTGGGGCTAATCTAGATTTGGACAAGAATGGTGGTAGTCAGACAAGTATTTTCCACAGAAGTTTCCATGCAGGTGATACTTTAAGGTGAAGAAAGGTTAGTCAAAGGAAAAACATAGAGAATGGTAGAGAATTCCAGGTATCTCAGTTGGGTGGCATTGAGGTAGAAAAGAGCTTGGCACAAAAAATTAAGTGAAATAAGACTTGCAAGTCTGCAGCATGGCTGGGGGCTGGTGGGGGGTGAGTGGTTGGGGGGTTGTTGGTGGTGCCAGGTGAGCTAAGGAGTGAAGCGGGGTGAGATTATGCAGGAAGTGGTGGGTATGAGTTTGAGGCTTTTTTTTGTTGCTTTGGTTTCACTGTCTAGCATGCAACCTCTTTCTCTATTTGGGGGCATGTCCGACTCTGCATGGCATTGGTAGTATCTATAACTGTAGTCTCCTGCTCTGGAAGATAAAGAGAAGTGATCCTCTATCCATCCGCTAGCATCCAAGTCATAGTCCTAGGACCTATGTTCAGCCAATCATTCACCTCCCTGAGTCTTTCAATCTGGAACAAGAGATGCAAAATCAAAATAAGAGTTTAGAATTCTTCATGGCACTGGCATCCCCATTTCATCCAGCAGTGGCAGTGGCACTGTCTGATGCTCTGTCCTCCCAGACTGTTCCCTCCATCTGACCTCCAGACATCCCGCTGTTCATCTCATTTCCTAAGTCTCCCAGGGATTCTCTGGGCCCATTATTGTCTTCCAAAGAGCTCCCTCTTTCCGTAAAAGATCATAAGAATTAATTCTAATTGTTTGCAACCCAGAACCTGGACTGGTGAACAGTGACAAGGAGGTTGGATTTTAATTTAAGAACACTAGAAGCTGTGAAGGGTTCTACCCAGGGTGTAACAAGAATAAATTTGAATTTTAGCATCATTAAAAGTCCTTTATAGTTTTCAAATTACTTCCACATGACTTATTTGGTTTTTATAGCAACCAGAGAGTTGGGTACTATTATCTCTCTTCTTTGCATCAAAGAGAGAATGAAGTTGCAATAAGCCAAGTGATTTCTTTTTTAGTGGGAAATAGCTAATAAATGGCAGAAAAAGTATCAGAGACCAGGTCTTCTGATTTCTTGCACATTGCTCCTCCAATACCTCATGCAGTGAGAGGAAAACCTGAGATGTAGGAAACTAGAGAAGAAACTGCGTGGCTTCTATGTCAGAAACAGTAGCAAATTGTTTCAGCTTTCTACATGAAAACACCTACAGACATTCAACTCTATGCTCAGATCCATCACTATTCATATTTCACAGTAGATCCACATGAGAAAAAAAGAGGTAGCCCACCCAGAACACAGTATGTCTGGAAGTAGTTCTCACCTACAGTTAAGAATTTACAGGTTCACAAATGCATGTAGCTGCAGACGCATGTGCTGTCATTGAAGCGAATCTGAAGCTTGGAATCGTCAGATGACCAATAACAAGAAAAAAAGTATGCCAGTGAAAGGGTCAAGCCTGGTATTTTGTAGCTTGCTGTAAAGCAGCAAAGATTTAGAGTCAAATCATAAGCTTTAACTTCAGAGGTGAGACAATACTTATCTTGAAGTGCTGCTGTAAGGATTAGATAAGATAACCCATGGAATGTTCTTAGCATAGAGCCAATATTGGACAGATGCTCTAAAACAGGGGCCTTTAACTCCTGAGCCACAGATTGCTGTCAGTCCATGGCCTGTTAGGAACCAGTCTGCACAGCTGGAGGTGAGAGGCGGGTGAGAGAGGGAAGCTTCATCTGTGTTTACAGTCACTCCTCATACCTCATTACCACCTGCACTCTGCCTTCTGTCAGATCAGTGGTTGCATTCAATTTTCATAGAAGCAGGAACCCTACTGTGAACTACGCATGTGAGGCATCCAGGTTGCCCTCTCCTTATAAGAATCTAAAGCCTGATGATCTGTCACTGTCTCCCATCCCCCCAGATGGGACTGTCTAGTTCCAGGAAACAAGCTCAAGGCTCCCACTGATTCTATGTTATGGTGAGTTGTATAAATATCTCATTATATATTGCAATGTGATAATAGAAATAAAGTGCACAATAAATGTAATGAACTTGAATCGTCCTGAAGCCACCCCCAACCTCACCTGATCCATGGAAAAATTGTCTTCCATGAAACCACTCTCTGGTGCCAAAAACATTGGGGACAGCTGCTCTAAAAGGTGTTCATTTCCTTACTTTGTTTCCATCAATGTTAGAGGGAAAGTGGGGATTTGTCCCCTAGATTTATGAGATGGGTCCAATAGGATCTTACACAGAGGGCCATTGCTCAAATCTAAATCAGTAAGACAGACACTGCAGAGAGAGACTAGAAGTTTCCCAGTGGAACAGGGAAAAGGCAGCAGTGGTCTCTCCCCTTATTCTCAAGGCCAACCACGTTGTTGTGATTTTCTTTCTAATAATATATCTAGAACTTAGGTGACCTATTCAATCTTCAGGGTTGTTAGAAGAAAGAAATTGTCATTTGAAGTGAAGCATGCAAATTTATTTCACTTTTGTTTACTTTTATATTGGTTCTAAAAAGCAATTGATAAGAAAAGTTGAGTACATGTGTTTTTCAGGGAAAGCAAATAATTTTTTGATAAATAAAGAGTATTTTCTTTTCTGTAAAAACCAAATATTTTTTCTAAAAGCAAATTTTATTTTCCCAAATATTTGACAAGAGCAAGCTGTAAAATTCTGAAGGAGTTCAGTCAGCTGTGCAGATTGACTTTTGAAGTGTCAAATAAACCTTTACTTAACAGATGTCAGGACTGTGACTTTAGGAGATAATGACAGTTTTTATAGTAGGTTGGTGGCAGAATTTCTAAGGAGAATGAATAAAGTTTCAGTGCCAAGTGTGGAAAAAAATGACAACATGATTATTAACAATTGACTGAATTGAGGAAAGCAAAAATAAGTGTTTTAATTTGTTTGATTAGACAGCGTAAATTGTTCCATAAATACCAGTAAAATACATTTTACAAAAGGATAGACTATGCCTGCAGGTATAAATTAGACTAACTGAAAGGCCCTACCTTCCTCCAAAATCTCCATGAATGAAATTGATTTAAAATAAATTCAAAAGCTTTAGACAAGAGATCAAAATAGCCATGGAAGACTTTTAAACAACTATGTTCAGATTCTGCCTTTGCTGCAGCAGTAGCAAATAGAGAAAACTCTTCAATATTGACAAATATATTCCACCTTGGCAATGTGGGGTCAGTAGTGCTATTTAGTATAATTGAAATTATTCTTTAGGAGATTTAGCCAAAATCTCCTAAAGCTCTATTCCCGTATCCTACAAGCTCCCCTTCAATCCAACCTGCCTGCAACCAAGCAAATTTTGGAAGCAGTTCAAGTGCTATCCCTCTGCAAAGCCTTCTCTGACTCCTCTAGTCTCCAGGTAAACTCTCTCTTCCCTGAATATAGAGGTCTTTGTATAATCTCCACTGCTGTAGTTAGCATTGATCATTGATAGTCCTATTGAGCAGCCAGAATTCTCAAACCTTGAACTCAACTCTGGGCAACTTCCATTGTACTCTGGTACTTCCCAAGAGATAATACCCAGAGGATGCCAGCTTCACACTGAGATCCTGTTCTTTTCTGGAGAGGTGAGCTTAGGGGAATAAAATGAGTAATCTCAGAATATTCTGCCTGAAGCTAAAGCCAGCATCAGGACTGAATGTCCAACTCCTGGTTCCTGCTGCTGTTTTCTCAGGGTCTACCTTGACTCACCATGGTGCCAAAGAAATTAAAAGAGCTGCACCAAAGGCAGAAGTTTAATGATTTGGCTCCTTCCACAGAATTTTATTCCCTGGACTAAGCAGACCAGAGCTCCGCTTCTCATTTAAATGAGAAAGGGAAATTTCAGATCATTCCTATCCTCACATGTGTTGGTTTTGTATCATCAGTTGGTTTTGTATCTTCAGTTGGGTCTGGAAGGTAAAATGTCTACTGCTTCCTTTTTTCCCTTAAGTTATGAAAACACTGAAGGGTTCATCTTTAGCTCCTCTAAAAGTTTTTATGACATGTAGAATATAAAATAGCAACAAATACATAATAAATTGATAAAACATAAATTCTTGGGAAGTTTTTATAGATTATAGAGACACAAC
The DNA here is from genome assembly GCF_000001405.40 of Homo sapiens. Lineage (NCBI taxonomy): Eukaryota > Metazoa > Chordata > Mammalia > Primates > Hominidae > Homo > Homo sapiens. Next base: position 33,545,776 of record NC_000010.11, on the reverse strand, counting down.
TTACTATATAATCATTAAGGTAAAGTTGTTAGAGGACTAGATTCTAAATGCTGAAGGGTCATAAAATCTTAGTATAAACCATTGTCATTAGAAAACTTTAAAAATGTTATCTCTGGATTACAAAGAGCATTTTTGCCAACCAAGCTTACTATAGATCACATTAACACAAAACTTTAAATTTGCCCATCATTATTATTTACTTTTATATTTTATGGAAGAGTTGATCTTTGTGTCCTAAGGGTCTGGACACACTATTTGCAAAAGACCAAGGTGGCCAAGGCTCACCATACTGGCATTTCAAATTTGGATGTGAACAGATTTACAGATTTGCTGCTGTCAAAGACGCAGGAAATTAAAGACGGATATTGTGGCTTTTGTTCTGCTACTGAGTTCTTTTTTCAATCAATGATATTGAGATATAAATTGTGTACAATATAATGCACACATTTGTATGTGCTCAATAAGTATGTGGCATATATATGTATGTATGTATACACATAAACATATGTACATATGTGTATGTATACATATATTCATATATGTATATGACATATACATATATACACATACGTATATGTCAATATTTCCATGACCAATCAAGTCAATATGTCCATGACCCCCAAAGTAGTTCCATGGTACCCTTTCACAGTCATCACTTCATCATCCCTATAGAACCTCCTGTCTCAGCAAATGCAGGAAATAACTGAACTTTTCCCAGGACAGATGCCAGAATTTTATATAAATGAAATCATGTGCTATTTAATCTTCTGTGTCAGACTAATCAAGAAAAAAACAAATGAAGACATAGATTACCAATGTAAAAATGAAGAGTACATAACTATTGACCCCACAGATATTAAAAAGATAATACAAGGATACTATGAACAACTGGTGTGTTTAGACTTTTCATATTTACTGATTTTTTTTAATGGTTGGGTTAAACTATCTTGAAATGTGATTTCTTTTTGCCCCATTTGTCTTTGTTAATTTTTTCTTCTTTTTCTGCCTTCTCTAGGTTTAATTAAGCATCATAATTTAATTTTATCTCCTCTATTGAATTATTATTTAACTTGTTTAAAATAACTGTTAGTGGTTGTCTTAGGAGTTACAATATACATTTTTAAATAATTTGTGTCTAACTTAAATTATACTGTTTCGTTTGTTGGGTAACGATGTGGTATAAACACACAACATATTTTACTATTTTTGCTATGAAAATTAGCTTTTAGAGCAACTAATAACAAGAAAAAATTATATTTTGCCTCAATTTATTCCATTTCCAATTCTCTTCATTTCCTTGTGTAGATTCAAGGATTCAAGGTTTTGTTGTTGTTGTTGTTTTGAGATGGGTTCTCACTCTGCTGCTCAGACTGGAGTGCAGTGGCCTGATCTTGGCTCACTACAACTTCTGCCTCCCAGGTTCCAGCGCTTCTCCTGCCTCAGCCTCAGAGTAGCTGGGATTACAGGTATGCATCACCACACCTGGCTAATTTTTGTATTTTTAGTAGAGACAGGGTTTCACCATGTTGGCCAGGCTGGAAGATTCAAGTTTCTGACCTATCATATTTCTTCAGCCTGAAGAAGTTCCTTTAACATTTCTTATAAGATAATCTGCTACCAATGCATTCATTCTCTTAGTTTTTGTTAGCTGGAGAAAGTCTTTATATTTTATTAATTTCTCTGGATATAGAATTCTGGGTTGATAGTTTCTTTCAGAACTTTAAAAATAAAATAGTAAGCCGTTATTTTCTGGCTGACTTGTTTCTGATGAGAAGTGCGATATATTCTTATCCTTGTTCCTCTGTAGGTAATGTACCTCTGAGGGAGAGGGTGCCTGCCTTCATGATTTTCTTGTCTTTGATTTTCAGCAGTCTGAATATGATATGCCTGGATGATCTTATTGTGTGTTTGTTTTTATATTTATCCTTCTTGGTGTTCTCTGAGCTTCTTGGATCTATACTTTGGTGTTTGTTATTAGCTTGGAAAATCTTCTGCTATTATTTCTTCAAATGTTTCTTCAGTCTCATTCTCTTTCACTTATTCTTTGGGGATTTCAATTATGTACATTTTAGACAATTAGATATGGTGTAACACTCCTGGATACTGTGTTGTGGGGATTTTCTCCTCTACTCTTCTTTTTTTTGTACTTTAGTTTGCAGAATTTCTATTGATCTCTATCCAGTTCACTGATTCCTTCTGTGGCTGTCAAGTCTACTGTTGAGTCCCTCAAAGACAATCTTCAGCTCTTTTACTGTGTTTTTGTTTTTTAGTATTTTCATATTATTCTTTTTTATAGTTTCCATCTTTCTGTTGAAATTATCTAGCTGAACTTGCATGTTTTCTATCTTCTCCATTAGCATTTTTACCATATTAATCACAGTCATTTTAAATCCTGTGTTTGATAGGTCCATGTATGTGTCATATCTTAGTTGTGATGGTTGTATATGATTGCTTTGTCTCTTCAGACTGTGGGTTTTCTTTGCCTTTTCCTATGTCTCATACATTTTTTTTGGTTGAAAGTTGGGCATGTTGCAAAGGACAAAGATACATGTCTTTCTTGCTGCCAGGCCTTTAGTGGAAGGTTTTGTGTTAATATAGTCAGGAGTTGATCTGGGTTTGAGGTTTGTTGTTGCCATAACATAGTTTTCCCTTATCCAGTTTCACTTTCCATGGTTTTAGTTAACTGTAATCAATTGTGACCCAAAAATGTTAAATGGAAGATTTCAGAAATAATGTATAAGTTTTAAATTGCATGTCATTCTGAGTAGTGTGATGAAATTTTGTGCCATCCTACTCCATCCTGCCCAGGATGTGAATCATTCCTTTGTCCAGTATCTCCATGCTATAAACACCAATCACCATTAGTCACTCAATGGCCAACTCGGTTATCAGATCAACTGTGACTGTCATGGTATCACAGAGCTTGTGTTAAGTAACCCTTATTTTAGTTGATAATAGTCCCAAGTACCACAGTAATGATGCTGGCAATTAGAATATGCCAAAGGGAAATTATAAAGCGTTTCCTTTAAGTGAAAATGTGAAAGTTCTCAACTTAATAAATAATGAAAATTATATGCTGAGGTTGCTAAGATCTATGGTAAGAATGAATCTTCTATCCATGAAATTGTAAAGAAGAAAAACGAAATTTGTACTAGTTTTGCTGTTGCACCTCAAACTGCAAAAGTTACAACCATAGTCCATGATAAAGGCTTATAAAGATGGGAAAGGCACTAAATTTGTGGGTGGAAGACATAAACAGAGACATATTCCCACTGACAGCAATCAGGTTTGGCACAATTTGAGGTTTCAGGCATTCACTGGTGGTCTTGGAACATATCCCCCATGGATAAGGGAGGACTATCGTGATTATTTTCAGTGCACCATAGCCTCAAATTCCTCTAGCAATACCTTGTGTTTAGGATGTGAGCTAATTTGCCAGAGGGTTTTTCTTCCCCCTCAGTGTTTACTCCCTTCTTACCTTAGAGTTCTTCCTTCTGCACTGTTTCCTAGTTTTTCTTCCCCCTCAGTATCTACTCCCTTCTTACCTTAGGGTCTTCCTTCTGTATTGTTTCCTAGAGAGAATCTGTCTTTTGCAGCAATCTCAGCTGTAGGTTACTTTTACTCAACACTTGTTAGCATGGTGGTAGGGAGAGCCGGAAGGGGTGTATTCTCTCACCAAGCCTTAAAATGAGGCAGTCACTGTGGATTTAAGCTTGTACCAGCTGTAGTCCTGGGCTGCCACCCTCAGAGTAGAGTTTAATTTTTTCTCTTCCTTTCCTGCAATTTCAATGGATTTTCGCCAGTGCCCTAAACTGACAATTGTTATCATTTTTTGCCCTGTAGTTTAAGATTTTTGTTCCATAGGGGAGATATGGGAGATGGGTCTGGGAAGTGTTTCGGGAGTAGCTACTATTCCCTCCCCCAAGTCAGCACAATTAGGAAAACTTTCTTAGGAGTCTTCCCTATCTTCTCTTTGAGTGTCTCATCATACCCTTGGAAGACAGGACTGCAAGAGGATGCAAATATTTCTATCTCTGGGACCCGGTGGCTCCACATCCATATGTGACCTGGAGCAGTTCATTACAATTTCTAAGCTGAATCTCCTTTCCAAATTATACAGCATGCAATGGCATCTGCCCTAGGTAAGCAAATGCCTGAGTCCTGTTGCACCTTGTAGGTCCTGGCCTCTCCCCAGATTTTAGGTTCTTTCCCTGCCATGTCAGATCTCTAATGAATTCAAGAAAGGTCACTAATTTTCACTTGATTAAGCTTTCATTTTCTTATTGTAAGGCTGGGAGGCTGGGAATAAGGCTCTTTCTGACCCTTTACATCTCTTAACTGAATGCAGAGGATCCACATATTAATTTTTAATGCTGAACAGAAACTGCATCCCTGGGATTAACTCCATTTGGTCATGACAGTCATTCTATTTATACATTGTTGAATTCACTTTACCAATATTTTAGAAGAGAGGTTTTTAAAATCTATGATCATGAGGAATATTGTTTTATAAATTTCTTTTCTTATAATCTCTTTGTCAGGTTTTTGTGCCAGGGTTATTCTAATCTTTTAAAATTAGTTGGAAGGTGTGCCTTCCTCTTTTACTTTCTGAGTTTGTGTTAAGTTTTGCATTATTCTTTTGTGTGTGTGTGTGTGTGTGTGTGTGTGTGTGTGACAGAGTCTTGCTGTGTCTCCCAGGCTGGAGTGCAGTGGCACGATCTCAACTTACTGCAACCTCTGCCTCTTGGGTTCAAGCAATTCTCCCATCTCAGCCTCCCAAGTAGCTGAGATTACAGGCACACGTCACCATGCCCAGCTAATTTTTTGTATTTTTAGTAAAGACAGGGTTTCACCATGTTGGCCAGGCTGGTCTTGAACTCCTGACCGTGGGTGATCCTCCCGCCTCCGCCTCCAAAAGTGCTGGGATTACAGGCATGAGCCACTGCCTTTGGCCAAGTTTTGCATTATTCCTTACTTCAAAGTTTGAACTCACCAATGACATCATCTGAGTATAGATGTATCTTTGTGGGGAAAAATTTTTAATAGAAATTCAATTCCTCTGATAGATACAGGACAATTCAGATACTCTATATCTTTTTGAATCAGTTTTGGTAAGTGGTGTTATCAAGCAATTTGTCCATTTCTTCTAAATTCGCAAGTTTGTTTATACAAATTTGCCATCATGTTACTTTATTGTCCTTGTAATGATTGTAGGATCTGTAGTAAGACTTCCTTCTTTTTAAAATCCCATTATTGGCAATATCTTGATTAGTTCTGCTAGGAGTATCAGTTTTGTTGACCTTTTAAAAAAATGACTTTTGGCATTGTTAATATTTTTTATTGTTTGACTTGATTCCATTGAGTTCTGTTTTTAAATTTTAATTCTATTTACTTTCAGTTTTAACTTGCTCTTCTTTTTTTTCCTAACGAACATGGAAACTTGACTATTAATGTTAAGCTTTTTTTCTTTCTAGTAAGGCATTGACAATGATAAACTTCACTCTAGGCAGTTCTTTAGCTGCATCTTACAAATTTTGTGTTTTAATTGTCAATCAACTCAAATTTGAAAATTTTACTTGTAACTTTTTTGAAGTTTAATTAATGGGTTTTAGAAATATCTTATTAACTTCCCAAATATTTTGGGTCTTCATAGGTATCTTGGTGATGTCTAGCTTAATCTATTGTCAGAAATTGTATGCTTAATATTTCCATGTTTTGGAATTGATTAAATCCTATTTCATGGATCAGTATATAATTGATCTTGAACCAGCCACAGTAGAAAAGAAAGTGCATTCTGAAGTTGTTTATAGTGTTCTATAAATGTCAGTTAAGTCAGATTGGTTGATAGTATTCAGATTATCTGTGTCTTTGATACTTTTTTGAATATATGATTTAATAATTACTACAGGAAGGTACTAAAATCTCCAACTATGGTTGTGGATTTGTCTATTTCTCTCTTTACTTCAATCAGGTTTTGCTTTATATATTTTGAAGATCTGTTTTTAGATCTATTATTTAGTCAATGCAGGAAGGAATGTTATGTATTCCTGATGAATTGGTTTTTAAAATAAGTCATTTCCCTTTATCTTTAGTAATGCCCTTCTTCCTGAAGTCAGTTTTGTCTCACATTAATATAGCCATGCCTGTTTTATTTTCTTTATGGTTTTCATAACATATCTTTCCTACCCTTTTAATTTCAACCTTATCTATATCTTTATATCTAAGACATATGTCACATATTGATGCAGGATTTTTTGCTTCTTAGTTCAACTAAACTCTGGGTTCTTGTCTCACGACCAGGAAAAGTTAGGCACATGGATACATTGAAGGGAAAGGAGGGCAGATTTATTAGGCAATACAAAAGCTCTCAGCAAAGAAAGAGGGGGTCCCGACAACAGGCTCCCACCTCACAGATTGAATACCAGGCCACCAGGGGCTGAAGAGGCCAGGCTCCTCCCCCTGCATAAAGTGCAAATTCCTGGTGGTTCCACCCCATTCTCTCAGTGTGCAGGCGGGTCCTTAGTCTAAGCCACTCCACGTTGATTTATTTCCTTAGTGGCACATGTGTTTAGGGATGAAAATTTTCACCATGGCATGTTTAAGGAAGCCTCCTGTGCACAGTGACCTGGGTGGCATTTGGCTGTCTCCTGCCTCTTTTATTATAGTTAGTTAGGTTTTGAATTTTTAAAATTCATTCTGACAATCTCAAGCTCTTTATTTGAGCATTTATATTATTTATATTCAATGCAGTTATAATTACTTATGAAGATGTGTAGAGTTCTTTGATCTTTCTATAATTGCAGGACTACTTGTATTGTGTTTACCATCACTTTAGGTTGTCACTGACACTCCTCCAAACACGGCTTTTTCTCTCAAAAATCTTCTTTTCCTTTCTCCCTTTACTCACTCACTGCCTGCAAAATCATGAGAATGTTCCATCTAGGTAAACGTATATGACTTTAAGACTTCAAAAAATGGAGCAAATGTTAGGGGAAAAAAAAACTTAACTTCAACATTCCTTTAAAGCACGTAGAGTACATCATACAAGCTCTTGGTTTTTCTTCTCTATATATTGAATCATTTCCATTTCTTGATATATTCTTAGGTTCTTCTTGGGTATACACTAGACAGAAAACATATTTTTAGGGTGTAGAATAGAAAATACTGCCTAAAGAAACTTGCTTACTTTGGGGTGGTCATAAGGCTGCTTCAAAATTGTCATTTTCTATAAAGTAATTTGTGTGAAAGCTATATTCATAAGCTTTTCTTCATTTTCTTTTTCCCTCACTTTCCCTCCTTCCCTCCCTCCCTTCCTCCCTCACTCCCTCCCTTCCTTCCTTCCTTCTTTCTTGTCTATTTCTCCTTCATCAAATATCTACAAACACCCTACTAAGTGCTTGGTACTTCAATATCTTTACAAGTATTGAAGCCCAAACCTCAACATCTTTATGAGTACTCCATGGTTTTTTAAACTCTCAGCTTTATCTTAGCCACCGTGACAGGACTGCATCTTCCCTAGAATTCTACCATCTTTCCAGGACCAGAGTTTTTACAGCAACATTGAATGTCTTCTGGTCTCTGCCTTAACTAACTGAAAGGAATTATTTTGGTTCTTACTGAGGAATCTCAGTAAATAATCAGCAAAATGGTCCACATAAATAAATAATGCTCTTGGGAGGCTTATTCAAGAGGAATGACAAAGTCGGAACTTCCCTGTTCAACCAGGGGCATCTTTGTACAGATGTGCTCTGCATTTTTTTAAATTGTTTTCTTCCTGTGGCAGAAATTTTGTTTTTATTTGTTTGAAAACATCTCAGGATGGATCTAATTAGCTAAGGAATGTGATAACATTCTTGAGACAATATTAATTGTTAGAGTTGAAGACCCACATGTGATCATGTTCTTTTTCTTTACATTGTTAATGGATTTTTTCATGCTGAGCAGTAACTCAGAGTAACTTATGATGACATGTAAAGGTCTATAAATGTCATCGTATTATCTCATGTAAGGGTTTACCTTCTTGTTTTTAATAGTTTTTTATTACACTAATTATACTTGAACTTATGCTTACTGTAAAAAAAATACATTCCATAATCAGAGTAAAAAATAAAAATTTCCATTACCATTCTTTCCCAATCCCAATAGATTGCTTTTATAACACACACACACACACACACACACACACACACATCATTAGAATCTAGTTTAATTTTCTAAAAGGTGCTAAACAGCACCTCTGCGTATGTGAGAGACGTCTAAACATTGTTTTCAATGGGGCTTATAACCCAAGAACTTGGAGATCCCCTCTCTATGCTTTCAAAACTTGACCCCTATTGGATACTTGTTATGAAGGATCATCTTGACATTCAGGAAAATGACCTATAGAAGTCATCTGAGAGACCATGGAACTTTCCTTCTTCAGAAAACACTTCACCTCCCCTATCTCCTAATTTCAAGTTCAGTGTTTTTACTTTATACCAGACTGACTCATTCTCACTGTTGCACTTATTTCAAGACCTCTAACATTTTCTCTGCAGCTTTAACATTCTATGATTACTCACTGATGAAATGCAAAAGTGTAGTTTAAAAAAAAACACATAGACTTTATTATTTTCTGCCCAATTTTCTTTTTTTGTTTCCATGAATATAGGAACCTGAATCAATCTTGAGAGAATTTATTGGTCACACACCAAGTTAGGTAAAAGGCGGATGAATAATTTCTTTACTCATTTACTCCACTCTGGGAACAAGAGACTGTGCTGAATCGGGATGTGTGGCACACAGAGTAATATTTCCAGCTGTTTCCTCAAATACGATGTATGAAAAGGAAAACAGGCTCACACTGGCATTTGGGAATTAATTCATGGCTACATAGGAATGCAAGGTAGAGGCAACCCTGATCTCCTCTCCTTGAAGTTAATAAATTTTACGTGTAGATGAGGGTGAAGAAGTCCATGCTGTAAGACCAAACCCAGGAAAGCTGTTTGTGATCCTTGCCAGCCCTTTTCCACGCCACAGTCATGAAGGGTTTTCTAATGACTCTGTCTACAGCATTCCTCTCTTCTAAATGAATTCACTGTGTGAATGGGGGCAGGGACGGGCCTTCCAGGTACAAGGGCAGTGTCTTTGGTGACCTGGTTTCCACCAGCTACAGTGCTGAAGCCTATTTCAACAATAGCAGACATCAGGTATGATGGTGATGGTGTTTTTGTGTAGTTCTCTTCAAATAAAGATTCTGTATCAAAATCCTTTCACTGGATGTAGAGCCCAGGTTATGAGCACAAATAATACGATTGTCATTGATAAAAACAGCTCCCTTAAAATGCAACATACCATATGAGGTCAGGGATGTAGAGTTCATTACTGGCTTTACTCTCCTAATTGACAATGTTGTAGATGATTAATGACCATATTTACATTATTTTAGGAGCATAAGCAGATAATCAAAGTGGGGGAAATAGAGAATTTGCCTTTTGAAGGACTGTATTTCATGAGAAGTATAAAAGTCCTGTGGTGAAGCAGTTGACTCTTTTAGACACCACTTCTACATACACAAAGCCAGAAGTACCCCACTGCAAATGTTTAAATCCAATCAGAGCAGTTATTAGATGTCCTGTAAATAATGAAAGGAAAAAGATGAGCTGACTTAAATCATAAATAATGAAAGGAAAAATATCAGCTGACTTAAATTCTTTTTCTTAACTAGTGTGTGTAATTAGAAACAGACATTGTCTCTCCACCAACTTCTTGAAAAATCAGAATGCTGCAGCTTCTATAGATTCCCTTTATTATTTTTTTGGGGGGGAGGTAAAAAACCTATGTAATTTCAACTTCTTCTTGGTTAAATGAAGACCAGAAAGCCTGTGTCTGTTCCTGGGGCTAACACTCACTTTTAACTAAATCTTCACAGTGATTAAAATATAAGGTTAAAGACTAACTCTGATTTGATGATTCTAAGTAAATTGTCCCTTTGCTGGGGATAAATTTTACCATTTTTATTGTGAAAACATACCCCAAGATCCTTGGAAGAATGTTTTCAGTATGTTAAATAGATTATTATTCCTACCTCTTCCTGAGATTTTTTTTTTTCTTTTTTACTTACAGAAATAAGAAAGCTAGAATATAAGGAATGGGCTTATATGAGACAAAGGAGAACCAAGAGCGAAATAAAAACAGGAATAAGTATTAAATACTACACACACCCCCAAAGACATTGGGTGGACTATAGAAAAATAATAAACAACACAAGAGTTGTAACACTCTTCTGTCATTTTTATAATTAACAGCAAGAACACAAAAGTGTTCTGGGATTATAATTTTTTTAAAGTTGGAGGTTAACACATGTTCTCACTCATAAGTGGGAGCTGAACAATGAGAACATGTGGACATGGGGAGGGAACAATACACACTGGGGCCTGTCATTGGGGGAGGGAGAGCATCAGAACAAATAGCTAATGCGTGCAAAGCTTAATACCTTGGCGATGGGTTGATAGGTGCAGCAAACCACCACGGCATACGTTTCCTTATGTAACAATCCTGCGTTCTGTACATGTATCCCAGGACCTAAAATAAAATAGAATTTTGAAAAATAAAAAATAAAAATTGGCTGAGCATGGTGGCTCACGCCTATAATCCCAGCCCTTTGGGAGGTCGAGGCGGGCAGACCACCTGAAGTGAGGAGTTCGAGACCAGCCTGGCCAATATGGTGAAACCCCGTCTCTACTAAAAATACAAAAATTAGCTGGTCATGGTGGTGGGTGCCTGTAACTGCAGCTACTCGGGAGGCTGAGGCAGGAGAATTGCTTGAACCCAGGAGGCAGAGGCTGCAGTGAGCCAATATCATGCCACTGCACTCCAGCCTGGGCGACAGAGTGAGACTCCATCTCAAAAAAAAAAAGAAAATTTGGAGGTAAAATTTTATTCAGAACTGAACATAAAGCCTCAGTATTTTTGAAAAGTTCCATGACATCTAGTTCCAGCACTCTAGCCATATAAAGAAATGTTACATTAGCAATGTTTGCCGTTGCTTCTAGCGTTGCAAATGGTTAAAATGCTGCTGAGCTAAAACTGCCCAGCAGGACCAACAGGTTCATCAGCCTGTGGCACTATGCTAGTCATGGCCTGAGCTGTTTTCTAGCATTATCACCTCCACAAATGAGCACTGCCATCCTCCAGCCCCTGGTACATCTGTTGTACAAGCTTCAGATCAGAGCATAGAAACAGGGACAAATGCCACCCACTGGAGTGCACTTGCTGCTCTGCCAACTGTTAGCAATTGCATGGCGTGTTTTCCACTTTCTCAGTCTTTCAGTTCCTGCATTTCTGGAAGGTGGATGACAGGTAAAGAGTGCGATTTTCCTGCCAAAAATCCCCCCCATGGGCGAGAAGCTATTTGTGTTTTCTAGAAATAAAGAGAGAACATAAAGAAAAATCTGGAAATAGGAAACATGTATCATAGCCCTAGAGGCTTGAAAATGAACTAGAGAGGCCACTCATCCATTCAGAAGGATAAAACTTCAGCCATTCATTCATTTATCCATTTAACAGATCACTATCCACTAGACTGTGCACAGAACTAATGTATACATAGATAAGCATCAATAAAATAATATATATTAAGGTATAGTTGAATGGACAACAGTTGAATGGACTCATTTTGTTATATTGCATTATTATATTAGAGAACTAAATCATACTGTTGTTTATACAAATTTGATACCCTTGTGTTACTTCCAGCAATGAGTATTTTAGCAAGAATATGAAAGAATATATCCATGACCACCTTATGACATGCAGGTGAAAGGAGAAGAGAGGTTAGGAAAAAGGAGCCACATTTCTTAGACTGTAACAGCAAAGGCAGCATTGAGTGGGCTGAGCAAGGTGGAGATCACTGATAGAAGGGAAGAGACAGCCTTGGAGAAAGCAGATCTGCCCCCACTGTTATGCCGAATCAGTCCAAAGCCTCTCTTAGAGAGAGGTCAAGATCCTAGCAGGTCCCCGGGGATGCATTAGAAACTCCCGACCTCCTGTCTGGGTAGTCCTTGCTTATGTTTCAGGACCCACTGGCTGTTGACAATTTAATGATCTGCACCGGAGTCAATTTTTGGACTAAATTGCACACTGAGCAGCAAAAATAGAAGGGAACTTACGCCTCTCAGATATGAAATCTGCTTATTATACATGTGAGTCCCAAGGAAATGGAATGACCTGCTCCTTCCCCTGATCCGCGATATTTAGAATTAAGACTTCCTCAAGCCCAGCCTTTTTCTAAAGGGCTCTTTCATAGGGGTTTTCTGAAAAGGGGACCCAATCCCCATCCTCTCTCCCACTTTGAGATGATAGTTGGTAATAAAGTAAACACTTAGGTGTGCGGTCTAAGAATGATTCTCTTGGAATCCAGTTACAAGCAAAGCCATTTCACCCCTTACTCTTTGTGTGTGTGTGTGTGTGTGTGTGTGTGTGTGTGTGTGTGAGCAACAAGGCTGTTTATTTCACCTGGGTGCAGGTGGGCTGAGTCCGAAAAAGGAGTCAGCGCAGGGAGATAGGGGTGGGGCCGTTTTATAGGATTTGGGTAGGTAGTGGACCCCCTTTGACTGTAATTTTCCACCCCCTCACTCTTTAAGTCATGTCCGGTACTGGGGCTGGAGCAACTTGTGCCAGCGTGCTCGAGTTGATTGCTAAATTTCCAGCAGTTGTGCAAGCCAGATGCCAACCCATTGGTAGCTTGATGTCAGCCATGAGGGAAGGGTCTACACCATGAAAATCAGCAAATGCTGCAAACCGGTCCTGGAAAGCCAGTTGTGAGACATTTACCAGCACATCCCTGACTACATCAGTTGCTGAATTTTTAATTGAATGATATATTCACTGCTTCATGAACATTGCACATTTATTCAATGGACCAACTCTCTCCAGCAATAGCATGGCCTGAATATAATAACTGTACCATAAATATTAATAATATGAACGGCGGTATTCTTTTTTCTCTCCAAGTCACTTCAAATGTCCTGTGAACTGCCCCATTGAATAATATATAAAACTGTAAGTTAACCTCAGCATTATCTTGAAGAATTGGTCTTTGGAAGTGTAAGTGCCTACTCAATATTTGAATGCTGTAGACACCTAGAATTAGAATGTTTGGGATCATAAATGTTCATCCCAATGCTACTGCCTTGCCTTCCCATTAACCTGAACTACAGACTGTTGCTTGAAGAAAATCCTTTAAAGGAATAAAAATCCATGTGCTGCTTCTCACACCTCAGTACAGGGAAAGAAGCCACTTCCGCAAAGCTCAAGCCTGATTTATGCAGAAGGCTTCTAGTCTTACCTGCTTCCTTAAAATTGCTATTTAACATAATTTTTGGTTTATCATTATAAATGCTAAGTGATCTTGAATCACTGCATCTGCTGAATCAGATGATTGCTCATTTTCTTCTACCTACAATGAACAAGCAATTTGAATTCACCATGAAATAGAAGCCTCACAGGCAAGTAATAGGTAGTGGTGGGTGGCTTTTTAAGTCTAAATGTTTTTTCCTATTTGATTTACTTAATTGAGCTAATGGGCTCTATGATAGGCTGAATAGCCCAGTAGCTAAAGTCATCATTAGCTATTTTCTTGGCTAACACAATAATGACCCTTAAATTGTCTCCAGTATTTCCAATTACCTTTGAAAACATGTGGAATGTCAGAAGCCCTAATAGGAAACATAGATGATATGATGGTTATAGGAAATCTTCTCCGATACTGATAGTTTTCACAGAGTCCTTTTATGTGTCAAGAGAGAATGGTGAAACAAATTACAAAATTAGCAGAATGTGAAAGAGAGGATTTTGTCTCAAGAAATACAAGAATCAATGATACCAGAATATTTAAAAATTCTCTAACTCCAAACATTTCATTTTACAGTTTAGAAAAATCAAGGCCCGGAGATGATAATTACCCTATAAAGATAATATTGCTAATGAGTGGCAGCCAAAATTCAAACCCACTTTTTTTCCCTTGAAAAGTGTGTTTCTTATAGTAGCCTATTAAAAATATGCTTTACTTAAGGGCAACTTAAACTCCAAATTCCAAGTAGCTTAAACCCCTCCCTCTCTCTTTCTCTCTCTCTCCCCTTCCCCAATCCCCTTTCTTTCTGTCTTTTCCTTACCAACCCCCTTTTCTCATAAACACAAACTACAATCATTTGCAGTATCATTTGCAAAACACTAACTGCCAGCTGGGGATGGGAGGGGTGATGGAAGGAAAGCATGGCTGAGACTCAGTTCCTAGGCTCAGCCTGCAGCCTGAAGATAGTAGTATGTGGCATTGCAGATCATAAGAGGTAGCCAACACGGAGAGACACAAATTGCAGTAGAATTGCTGAGTGTAGGTTGAACATAAAAGTAACTAACTTTTAGGTTCCAAAGTGAATCATCAGTGTTACGATATAGGGTGGAATGTCACAAAGAGGCAATTCCTCACTGAAGTCTTCAGTTTGGGGTCCAGTCCTAGGGTTTTATTATTTTTTCTCAGTGTACTCTGTCTGGGGTAATAATCTTTGCTAAGCAATTCACAAGAGAGTGACTGATTGCACCTAGCGTTATTTTGTTAAATCACAGTGCAGAAAATCATAGCTGCAGGGCCTGGAATACCTGTCAGCTGGCCATCCTGTTCTCCACCCTGCAACAAAACCTCTGAGGAGGGAATGAGCTGCTCCAAGCAGTGCACAAACATAATTTATCTTTGTGTGTCTAGCACCTAGTGTGACATCTGTCACACTGAAGGTGCTTGAAGGCTCAATAGAGAATGAATGAACAAATGAATGAACTACCAGAAGGCTGCTTGTTGACTGTGCATCCAATTGGATGATTCTAAGAAAGATTATCAGCTCACAATTGTATGAAGCTCTAAAGGCTCTTCTGTATACTGTCTGCATCCATCCAATCAACTCGGAGTCAATGATGAGATAATCTCTGACCCCAAAAGGATGAGGTTCATTCTCCGGACCATGATGGATTCATTAAGATAATTCCATTTTGTGAGAACACTTGGAAAGTGGGCAGCTGGTGTTGCTAGGCAACTCCTCACTCTCATCCCCTGTCTCCATTGGAAACATCTCCAGCTTCCATAACCTAAAATGGCCCTCTCTTCTGTAGGACTAGATATGTCAAGCCATCGGAATACCCATGCGCACAAAGCAGGACATCTTCTTCCTTGGTAAACTGCTGGGATGGTAGTTTCCAGCAGTCACTGGGGAGTGAGAACAGTTGTGGAATTCCAAACTGACTGATGTCTGCTGGTGGTTGTTTTCCTCCAAATGACCCAAAGCAACATGACAAGAAAATGAATTGTACCTACGATCACAGAGGCTGATCCTCGGTCAGGTCACTGCTCCTTTTCAATTTTCTGTCTTTCTAATCAGAAGGTAAATTTCTCCTTACATAAATAAAGGTTGTCATTTTCTTTTTTCTTCTTCTAAATTTAGTTTTAAAATGTCACATAGTAAGATTGACTTTTTGTGTACAGATCTGTGAACCTGAATACATGTATTGAATCCTGGAAGCTCTATGACAATCAGAAAACAGAGAAGTAACATTACCCACCCCCCAATAAACTCCCTCATGTTATCATCTCATAGTTACACCCTAACCACCCCCAGCCTCTGACATCTACTGATATTTTCTCTGTCACTAGAGTACTGTCTTTTCAAGAATGTTATGTAAATGGAATAATACAGTACGTAACCTTTTGAGACTGGTTTCTTTCACTCAGCATGATGCTTTTCATACTCATCAAGGTTGTCGCACGTGTCAATAGCTCATTCCTTTTTTTTGGCTCAGTGATAACCCATTGTATAGATGCACCACCACTGTATAACAGGTATCTATGTACCATTCACCTGTTGAATGACATTTGAGTTGTTTCCTGTACATAGCAATTATAAATAGACCTGCTGTAAACATTTGTGTACAGGTTTTCTGTCAACATGTTTTCTCCTGGGCAAAATGCTTAGAAGAGGACTGTTGGATTGTATGGTAAGTGTGTGTTTACTTTATAAGAAATTGCCGAATATTTTCCAGAGTGGCTGAATCATCTTCCCACCAGCAATGTATGAGAGTTCTAGAAGCACATCATCCTTGTTGGCAATTGATATTATTTTAGACATTCTAATAGGTATGGAGTGGGTAGCTTATTGTGACTTTAATTTGCATTTCCCTAGTGATAATGACATGGAACATCATTTTCATGCACATCTTTGCCTTCCATGTATCCTCTTTGGTGTAGTGTATATATGAGTATTTTGCCCATTCTTAAAATTGGGTTTCTTGTTTTCTTACAGGTGAGTTTTGCAAACACAGCAAATATTTTTAGTTTTGACAATTGCAATTATCAAATTCTTATTGATGGATCAGCATTAGTTGTTATGTATAAAAATTATTTGCCTAACCCCAGATCTTGAAGATTTTCTCCCATGTTTTTAAAAATTTGTTTTCAGTTTTACATTTCATTTTTAAATCTATGATTCATTTTGGGTTAATTTTTTATATGGCCTAAGGTTTAGATTAAGGTTCATTTGCATTTTTTGCAAATGAATGTTGAAGTATTCCAACAAAATTTATTGAACAGACCATTATTCTCCCACTGAACTGCCTTTGCAACTTTGTCAAAAATCAATAGGCCTTATTTGTGTGTGTCTACTTCTGGACTTTCAAATCTGTTCCATTAATCAATATGGCTATGGCTTCATCAATACCATACTGTCTTGATTATTATAGCCCTGTAAAGTCAGTCTTAGAATCAGGTAGTATGAGTACACCAGCTTCATTCCTTTTTAAAAGTAAGTTTTTGGCTACTCTAGTTTCTTTTTGTTTCCATATAAATTATAGAATAAGCCCATGTCTACACAATATCCTGCTAGGATTTTGATAGCAATTGCATTAAATCTGTACGTCACTTTATTTTTACTATGTTGAGCCTTCCACTCTATGAATATGACATGTCTCTCCATTTATTTACATCTTTGATTTCTTTCCCTGGTATGCTATAATTTCTGCATACACATCCTGTACATACTTTCTTAGATTTATATCCAAATACTTCACTTTTTCAGAATGATCATTAGTAGCATTTTTTGTTTCCAATTTATTTATGTAGAAATATAGTTAATTTTTGTGTGTTGACCTTACAGCCTGCAATCTTGATGTATTATTGTGAATTCTTCAGAATTTATCATTTGTGAAATAGTGAGAGTCTTATTTCTTACTTTCTAGTCTGGCCTCCATGAATCCTCACAATAAATCTACAATTGTTTCATTGTTGTTCTGTCTTTAACTTGTAGCACTTTGAATAGGATGCATTTGAATGTGGAATTTTTTGTTATATCTTGTTTGGGGTCCACAGAACTATTTGAATCTATCATTTATGTCTTTCATCAAATTTGTTTTATTATAAGCTGTTATTTCTTTAAATATTTTTTCTGCACCTCCCTTTGCTCCTTCTGGAATTCTGATAATATGGATATTAGAACTCTTGGCGTTGTCTCATAACCCCCAAGACTTTTTCATCTTTTCAATCTTCTTTCTGTTGTCCGGATTGGATAATATCTATTCCTCTATCATAAGTTCATTGAATTTTATTCTGTCATATCCATTCTGCTGTTGAGCCCATTGGGTGAACTTTTTATTTCAGTTGTTGTATTTGACAGTTCTCAAGTTCCCTGAGCTTCTTTACACCTTCTTTCTTTGATGCCTTCTATTTGAGCTTTGTTTCAAGAATGTTTACGATTTTTTTGTAGTAGCTGCTTTAAAGCCTTTGTCAGAGAATCCAACATCTGTGTCATTTCTATGTTGGTATCTATTGATTGTCTAGATACCAAGGATTGTCTGATATTTTCCTGGTTCTTTGTATGTCATGTAATTTTGAATTTTATTATGGACATTATGAATATTATAAGACTTGGGTCTTGATTCAATTATATGAAGAGTGTTGGTGTTTTTGTGTTAGTAGACGAACAGTCTGATTGGGTTCAGTCCTGACTGTCTTTATTGGAGTTGTCATTCCACCGTCAGTTTGGTTTCCAAAACCTCTGCCACGCTCCTCAGACCTGCCTCACATGTGTACCACCCGGAGGCCAGGCTGGGACATGGCTGATGGTCTATCCCTTGGTTTAGCTCTCAGAATCTATGTCTGTATGCTGTTCAGGTATAGATCCAGACATGCGCAGCTCAGCGGTGAGCCCAGCAATTCACAAACAACTTGAAAGTGTTGCTTTCCTAAGCTTCTCTCAGGATTCATCATCAGCCCAGTACTTTCCATTTCCTGGAGCTCTTCTTTTCAGTCCTCAACCCAGAAAGTGGGGGCTTTAGTGACTCCACTCTGCTATTTACTTCCTGTAATAATACCTGCATTTCTGGCCAAGTGGGAGGAGGACAGAGAGAAGGAAATGCAGTCAAGATTACTCCACCATCTTGGGATCACAGTCCCCTCCCAGAGAGTTGTAGTTTCTGGCACTGGTTGCCACCACTACTGCCAATATAGGTTGGCTTTGGAGCTAGGGTGCAAGAGAAGAGAGGAAAAAAATGAAAGCAAAGGAGATAAAAAGAATAAGAGGATTTCCCCCACCCTCTCTCTTTCTGAGAGTTTAGAGTTCCCTCTCATGCTTCTGGAGCCAAAACTGGAGGTTGTCTTTGGGAGCTCTCTGGGTCTGTGTGCAGAGGCTCACTTTCAGGTTGCAGGCTGCATGGAGTTCAGGCCAGGGGATGCACCAGAGGAGAAACTCCATGCTAGTTGAGTGGTACTTGGAACTCAGACATAGTCCCCAATCTGTCTGCTACTATTTACATTTCAGAGTCCTCAAACAGCTGCTCCATGTGTTCTGCCCAGGGATGGGACAGGATGGAGGGCACTCTCTCCATCTCCATTTCAGAGTTGTTGGAAACTTGCTGGCAGATTTATTTTTACATTTTTCCATTTAATTTTTATTTTTGAGGCAAGGTCTTGCTCTGTCCCAGGCTGGAGTGCAGTGGCATGATAGTTCCCTGCAGCCTCAAATTCCTGGGCTCAAGTGATCCTCCCACCTCTGACTCCTGAGTAGCTGTGACTACGGCTGCATGCCACCATGCCCAGCTAATGTTTTTGTTTTGTTTTGGTTTGGTTCGGTTTTTGTTTTTGTTTTGCTTTTTTTTTTTTTTTTTGGAGAAATAAGGTTTCACTATGTTGCCCAGGCTGGTCTCAAACTCTCGGCCTCAAGTGATCCTCCTGCCTTAGACTCCCAGAATGCTGAGATTACAAGAGTGAGATTGCTGGTCAATTTTGAAGTTTTGTTATTGAAGGAGGAGCTGATAATTAATAGTCTTGGTTCAGTTAGATTTAATATTGAGGACACTCTTTTGGTAATTTTTAGTTTTACATACTTTCAAACTTCAAGAAAAGTTATAGAAATAGTACAAGAAACTCTCTTATACCATATAGCCAGACATATCAATTTTTTACATTTTGTTCATCTGCTACATCGTTCTCTTTTTTCTCTCTGTCTAGATAGATAGATAGAGTTAGATAATTTTTCCTGAATCATTGAAGACTGAATTGGGAACATTGTGTCCATTTATCAGTAACTACTTCATGGTGTGTTTCCTGAGAACAGAGAAAATTCTCCTAGATAACTATAGTACAATTATCAAAATTAAGTCATTTAATATTGACATAATATCATTATCTGATCCATAGTCTATATTCAAATTTCATCAATTGTATAAAGTCTTTTATAGCTGTACGATTCATTTAAAGATCATGCATTTCATTTGTTACGTCTCTTTAATCTCCTTAGTTAGAAAGAGTTTTCTAGCCCTTTCTTTGTCTTTCTTGATCTTGACTTTTTGAAGACTATGTTTAGCCAAGTGTCCTTCAATTTGGGTTTACTGATATTCCCTCGTGCTTGGAATCTGGTTAGGAATTGTTGGCAGAAATATAGTTGTATTCTTCTCAGTGAATCATATCAAAAGTCTCCTGATGTGAGTTTTTCCAAATATTGGACAACTTCTTTTCTTTTTTTTTGAGAGAAAGTCTCACTCTGTTGCCCATGCTGGAGTGCAGTGGCACGATCTCAGCTCACTGCAACCTCCGCCTCCTGGGTTCAAGTGATTCCCCTGCCTCAGTCTCCTGAGTAGCTAGGATTATAGGCATGTGCCACCATACCCGGCTAATTTTTGTAGTTTTAGTAGAGATGGGGTTTCACCATATTGGCCAGGCTGGTCTTGAACTCCTGACCTCAAGCGATCCTTCCACCTCGGCCCCCCCAAAATGCTAGGATTACAGCTGTGAGCCACCGTGCCTGGCCTGGACAACTTTTATATTGGATGTTAATTTTTATAACTTGGTTATGGTGCCATCCACCAGAGTAACCAATTAAAAACTAATAGTGTTTCTGCCCAAGAACAAGTTTAGGGCAACTGTGGCTGCTTGGTCTTGTGAAACATTTTTTTCTTGCTTAGTTTAGGTTGGTGGTTGTTTTGACCTAACATCTAGGGAATGCATTATTTGCAATCTGCCTGGAATCAAAACAAGCCTTGGTTATTCTTCTGCTGTTTTGTGCTTGCTATTCCCAGCTGAGAGTCAGGTCCAAACCTGGGTGGCAGTGAGCCTCTGCCAGCCGCGACCCGGGCCACCAGTCATTCTGCATGCCTGTGGTACCAGAATGAATGGAGACTGACCAGCTCTGTGGGTGGGAAGGAAAAAGCTGCAGGATGACAGCGCACTCATTTTCATGGGAAAAAGTTTATCCCAGGCCTTACTTCTGGTTCTTGAAATAGTGAAGTGAGAAAAGGTTTTTTGAAGACGAATTTTAGCTAAATAGCCATTCAAGGGGGTTCAGTTCCTGAAAGCATTCACATCCCCCATCTGCCTGGGTCTCTGCAGCTGTGTGGGGCAGGAGGGGGCCAGTGTGATCTCGCACAAGTTGTGGATGGATTAAGACAAGTAATCAATATTTCATTTCTATATTTATAACTCCATCGTAATGCAAGTCTGACAAAGCAAATGTCCATAAAGAAAAAAGAAAGAAAGAAATTGGCACCAAGGTGTTTCGCATGGTTTCCTGCATGTATTCACACTAATGTACTGAAGCCGCATCCTCAGAAAAGTTCATTATATTCAGGTGGGCCCTGGTTGAGTGTAATTTCATTTCACTGCACACCTCAGCCATTAGTACCCAACTTACAGAGTTACTGACGGGAGCTGAAGAATCAACGAGGACTGAGCCCGTGCCAGGTGAAGAACTGTTGTCTGGAGTTTCATTTCCCCCGCAGCTTAAAACATTTAGAGGATGCTTAATGGATTCATCCTTCATTTTGATTTACTAGTCTCAATATTTCAATATATCTTTTTCAGAGGCTTAAGGGCCCCATTTCAGCGCTGTGATGGCAAGAGCCGTGAGCAGCTTGTAGTCCTGGGTTTTTCTAGGTTTCCTTTTCTATAGAATCCAGACATTTCAAAAAGAAAAAAGAAATTGACACGTAGCAAGTGGAGTGAAAATGACTCAAGGTTTTGTAGTTCTTTCTCCAGTTCCTGTTGCTCAAGAGTGATCAGAAGTTCTCCAGGATTCATCTTCCTCCATGCAAACACCCAAACTTTTTTTTTTTTTTTTGAGACGGAGTCTTGCTCAGTTGCTCAGGCTGTAGTGCAGTGCCTCCATCTCAGCTCACTGTTACCTCCACCTCCCGGGTTCAAGCCATTCTCCTACCTCAGCCTCCCTAGTAGCTGGGATTATAGGCGCCCACCACCACACTCGGCTAATTTTTGTATTTTTAGTAGAGACAGGGTTTCACCATGTTGGCCAGGCTGTGTCAAACTCCTGATCTCAGGTGATCTGCTCGCCTCAGCCTCCCAAAGTACAGAGATTACAGGCATGAGCCCAGCCACACACGAACTCTTTTCAGCTCTACCTGAGACAGGTGTTGTGTCCTGGGCCAGGTCATGTTGAGGATTGCCTTACTCAACATAGGGCACGTGATCAGTTTTTATCAGTGTCACTCTGCCTTCTTTCTGTTCCTCACTCCTGATTCTATCCACTCCCACCAGGAATACATGTTTATATAAGTTTATAGAAATTGACATTCTCTTGTTTGTTTGTTTTATGCTTTGTCTGGTATTCCCACAGTACTTTCTTTTCTACGCCCCCTTTCCCTTGTATCTGCACTCTCCATTCACTCCTTTCTTCCCTCCATATGTCTCTCCTGAGAATTTCTTAATTCTTTCCGCTCATCTGCAGGGGAGATGAAATATGCTCTAAACAAGGACCCTGTGACACCTGGCCATCTCTGTTTTGGGCAGGTTCTGAGTTCTGGCCAGTTCCGGAAGGCTGAGGGTGGGGGCTGGCTGCAGACTTGGGCAGAAAGAGGTCGCCCTGCTGCAGTCACTCTGACACCTCGCTTGCTTCTGGATTAATCTTGATGGTGGCTGGGGCAGTCACCCCCACAGTGTCTCTCCCTGAGATGGGCCTGACTGGCCTGGGTGCCTCAGCCCTAATTAAAGAGCAGGACAAGGGAGGTGCCAAGGAAGAGAGTCAGAGTCGATTTGACTGTCAGAATTCTTCATCACCTTCCAGATCTCTGTGTAGCTTTCCAGCTTCCCACTTTTTTCCCTGAAGTACACTTCCTGGTATTTTTTTTCTTTTCTGTATATTTAGAATGATAGACTCATCATACTTTGAAATTCAAGTAGGGCTGAATTTAGAGCTAATCTAATCGCCTATTTTGATAGAGGAAGAAATGAGACCCCAAAGAGGACACAGGAACATGAAACAGAGTGACAGAGAGAGTGTGAGGTTTAATGTCAGAAGGGCTGGGGTTCACATTTGGCTCCATGTACTTAACACTGCTGAGCCTCAGTTTCTCATCCGTAAAATGGGAGTGATGACATTGGCTATAGGAACTTCTGAGGACGAAATGCAGTAATGTGCATAGAGTGCCTGGCACAATCACTGGCACATAGTAGGTGCTTAAAAATTATTTTCTTTCTCTTTTCTTTCTTTTTTTGAGACAGAGTCTTGCTCTGTTGCCCAGACTGGAGTGCAGTGGTGCAATCTCAGCTCACTGCAGCCTCTACCTCCGGGGTTCAAGCAATTCTCATGTCACAGCCACTCGAGTAGCTGGGATTACAGGCATGCACCACCACACCAGGCTAACTTTTATATTTTGGGTAGAGACGGGCTTTCTCCATGTTGGCCACACTAGTCTTGAACTCCTGGCCTCAAGTGATCTGCCTGCCTTGGCCTCTCAAAGTGCTGGAATTATAGGCCTGAGCCACCATGTTCAGCTCCTTTCTTTTTTTTCAGCACCTTCTCCAACCTCATCTTTGAATTCCTCCTTGTTTCTCCCCAGCATTTTCTTCTTAAGTGACTCTCCCATGAAACCACCTTGCTTGTTTGTTCTCTTGCTTTCCGCCACCTGGTTCTGTCTCCTTCCCAATTTCTCTTCTTGAGGGATCCACGATCCCACTCTTGGCTCCCTGCAGGTGTTCACTTCTGCCCATCTACCAGAACCCTCTCCACCAAAGTAACTTCTGGAAGCATTTCTTGATTCCTACAGCCCTCAGGCGACTTCCCGCTTTGAGCTTGCATCCCACTTCCCATCTCCATCTTGCTCACTGACTTGCTTCCCTCTGCCTGGTGTCATTAATTCCACATGCATGCATGTGTCATATCTCCTGAGCTAGACTGGAAGATTCTTGACAGTTGGAACTACTCTATATATTATTTGCATATTCCTTACCAGGTCTCATAATAACCTCTCTCACCTGGTAGATATATAATAAATATTGATTGATAGATTGATAGATTCCTATTGTCTTTTCCCCAAGACACCTTCTCTCCAACAGTTTCTTTAGGAAAGCGAACACATTTACATGAGTTGAATGTTTGCTTGCATATTATAGCTAGCAGAATGTGTCTAGGTAACAACATGCTAAGTAAAGGGTGCAATCCTTGCTTTTGGTGGCGTGCAAACTTGCACTGCCATGGCTAACGGCAACAGAGACGCTATTGCCTCTGCAAATTGCTTCTTCCATGTTTGCATCAGGGAAGCACAGAAGCTCGTGTCTGTGCTGATAACTCTCCCTTCCTTCTTGGAACACAAAGCCATTTCGTATTTACCTGTGGGCTATCTCAGAGATGTATCCATCTTAAATCACGCAGGCTGTCCCAAGGAGGGGCTGGAGACTCCTCGCTGTGAGTTTTTCCAACCCTTCATCCCTTTCGCTTGAAGCCTTTCAGACTGAATTTACAAATGAGGTTTTAAACTGGATCACCTCAAGATGAATTTCCGTGCTCAGTCAGATGTTAGCAGTGCATTATTTGGGTTGTATAAAATGGGAGTTTAGTAAGGTTAATTTCTCCCTCCTCCCCACTTTAGGCTAATTATTGGAGAAAGTGTTTGCAGACCTGGAACTTCTCATAATTCATCCTGCCTTCTGTTTCTTTAGCATTGGGGCTCATAAATCTCTGTTTGCGATGACATAATTGGTTACCAGAGGAATGCGGTGGTACTGCCAGCTGAAAGTTACAGCTCCAGACTCCGAGGAAACCCAAACAGACTCATTCCAAGAGATACGACCTACCCTTTTCTTTCTTTACTGCAAGGGTTGTTGTGTCCAGATCCTCTCATGAGCAGGGGTAGCCACAACACACCAAATTAAGAGAAATTGAGCTGGGCACATTGGCTTGTACCTGTAGTCCCAGCTACTTGGGAGGCTGAGGCAGGAGGATGGCTTGAGCTCAGGAGTTCAAGGCTGTGTTGACCCATGATCATGCTACTGCTCTCCAACCTGGGTGAAAGAGCGAGATCTTGTCTAAAAAATAAAAATAAAAAAATGAAAAAAGCACAAACTCTCTAAACTTCAGGATGAAAATCGAAAATGAGAATACCCCAAGAGGAATTACGTGCTTCAGAATTTATCTATTAGAAGGCACAACGTTAAGAAGTATCGAATCAACATAATTCCCCTTAGAGTTCACTTACCTTTGAAACATAGCCAGAAATAATGTAATCTTCCATTTCTAATTTCTGCTTCCTTCCTCTCTTTATAGTGTCTGTGAATTTGCATATCTATGACATCTATATGTATTATGCATTTGAAAAATTTATATAAAGAAAGTGAGAATCGCGGCACATTAGAACTCTAAAAACACTTAAAAGATTTAGTCCAATCCCTAGTTTTAGAGATGAAGGCACTGAGGTCTAAAAACATATCTGAGGTCCATTTACTGAAAGCGGAGTTATTGTCCCAGAAGGGATGGAATCCAGGCTCCTAGCCCCAGCCAAGCCTTCCTCGTGCCATGCTGACCAGCCTACACATTAGCTAGACATCAGACCAAGAGACAGTTCCATTCATCTTGGCACATTCCCATTAGTGGTTATGAGAATTCTATTATTAGAAAACAGCTAGTGTAAGTATTCTCATTTCAAACTCAGGAAATAGAAATGAAATTGAAAAGTATTTAAGTTCACTAAATAGAACATTTAGATGGTTCTAATGTCACCATCCTCATCTTTAAAATGAGGGGGTTAACTGGTCATCCTTGGGTCATCCCCAACCGAAATACTCGAGAATTCTAAATCAAGCTGAATGTTTTCTGTGAGATTTACTCCTTTCCTCTCCCGGTCTATTCCTCCTTAACAATCTGAAACTTTTAATTTCCCCAAATATAAAATAGAGCTAATAATAATTTCCAAGCAGTGGTGACAGCAAATAAGATGATACACATAAGCACATTTGATCCCTTGAATAAAAAGCAATGTGAAGATGCACAGTGAACTACTTGCAGCAGTTCAAAAATAGGAAGTAACTGTAGAATATGATCATCTCTAGATTAAGCACATGTGGGTTATTGTTTGTTTCGTGGATTATTGCTAGCAAATGTTCAATTTCAGGTTGACTCCCCTGCCACTCAGAATGCATCGGGATCCGTCGGGATGAACTCAGGGAAACACTAGCCACTTTTCATGTTTTTATTAGAAAGGTAATCGGCTACTGTTTTGGAAATGCAAATTCCAAAGCACATCAGAACTATGTCATCATGGCATTTTGCCTGCTGTTTTGGGTCATTTACATAACAGTTTCCTTCATTAGCAGGGGTCATCAAGGGCCAATCATAATACAATCTACAGAATTTAGAAAATGCCTTTCTTGTATTATCATTGGTTTCCTCTTTATCATCTCGCCTGCAAAAATATCTGTAAAAAATTCTTAACATTGGTCCATGCTCTTAAATGAATGTGCCCTGGCTAGCTTTTGTTATCTATTAAATAGATATGTTAGTTGCCATTGCGGACATGGCTGCAGTAGAGCGATCTATTAGGTTGGTAGGAAAGCAATTGCAGCTTTTGCCATTACTTTAATTCGAGGCAAAAACCCCAAATTAAAGGTTAAATTTTGCCAAATTCATTGGCAAAAACCGCAATTACTTTTGCACCAACGTAAGGAATCTGACTCAATATATCCCCATTGTCAGCTGATGGTTTCTAATGTATAACTCCTCCGGCAAAGCATACACGGCTAGTTGCAATGAACAAAGGCTTGCTTTAGGAAGAAACTCTCACGGACAGCACACAGGGTGATTTTGAAAGTGTAGGCAAGATCCTTTTAGGAAGCAAGGAAAGCGTGTGTATGGATTTATGTCTGTGTGGGAGAACACAGCTGTAGATAATAGTATCTTCATGTTATTTCTCTTGCCTATCATCCCTTGCCCATTTAAGGGAGTTAATGTGATATTGTGTAAGGAATGGAAGTTTAAATGACTTAATATATAAAGTGAAATATTATTAAAATATTATGTTCAATTCTGCACTTGAATCTTTAAAGGGGATAAAAACAAATGGAAGCTTTTTTGGAGCAGGGCAACCAGACCAGAAGAAACCACACTCTCTGAGGAACATTAAAGGAAATGGGAGAAGTTGTGTCTGGAGATGAGAGGCTCGGGAGGGATATATTAGGTGTCTTTAAATATTCGAGGCATTGTCATAAGGGAGAAAGACTTTAATTATTCTAGTTAATTTTTAGGGATACGGAAGGACAGATCTCAGCTTATAATAAGGAGTTTTTTGTTGTTTTTTGTTTTGTTTTGTTTTACTTTTTGGTTTGTTTGTTTGAAACAGGGTTTTGCTCTGTCACCCAGGCTGCAGTGCAGTGGCTGAATCTCAGCTCACTGCAACTTCTGCCTCCTGGGTTCAAGTGATTCTCCTGCTTCAGCCTCCCAAGTAGCTGGGGTTACAGGCACATGCCACCATGCCTGGCTAATTTGTGTGTCTTTAGTAGAGATGGAATTTCACCACGTTGGCCAGGCTGGTCTCAAACTCCTGACCCCCAGTTATCCACCTGCCTCAGCCTCCCCAAGTGCCAGGATTACAGGCATGAGCCACTGCGCTCGGCCTAAGGATATATTTTCTAAGGATCAGAAAGATGGGAAGATTTGGTGGTCCGTGAGCCTCCAGCTGTGGAGGAGTTTGGACCCCATGTGGCTGATGGCAGGTGAGAGAAGCCAATGCTGGCAAATGATTGGGTCAGGTGATCCCCAAGGGCTCTCTCAGTTTAGGGAGGTTATGATGTTAACAGAGTGACTTTGGCTAAATTACCACCTGGGCCTCCATTATCTCACCTATAAAATGATAGATCTAGACTAACTCAGCAATTGTCAACTACTTTTTTCATAATGGTTCAACAAACTTCCTTTTCCTCTCCCTCCACCCCTGCCTACCTGCTCCTAAATGAAATCTTATATAGAATTCCAACATAAAGAAAGTTTAAGGGAAACTTTAGTCTCTGGAAAAGGGAATTGAAAGCCCGGAGCTCTTTCCCCTCGGCCTCCGGCCTTCCACTCTACCTTTTCTTCCTCTTGGGCAACCTCTGAGTACCTCTGTGGAATCTGAGAATTACAATCTAAAAAACACAAGATTAGGCCCACCACGGTGGCTCACCCTGTCATCCCAGCACTTTGGGAGGCTGAGGTGGGCGGATCACTTGATGTCAGGAGTTCAAGACCAGCCTGGCCAACATGGTGAAACCCCATCTCTACTAAAAATACAAAAATTAGCTGGGTGTGGTGGCGTGCACCTGTAATCCCAGCTACTGGGGAGGCTGAGGCAGGAGAACCGCTTGAACCCAGGAGGCGGACGTTGCAGTGAGCCAAGATCACAAGACTGCACTATAGCCTGGGCAACAGAGTGAGACTTTGTCTAAAATAAATAAATAAATAAATAAATAAATAAATAAATAGATAAAAACTACAAGATTAAAAGCTTTCTAATATTCTTACCAGATCTACATTTTTACTATTGTCATATAATTCTACTATTATTCTTTAGCCAGATTAATAAACATTAAAAATTTCTTTTTCTACCTGTTGCAAGCTTGAGGCTTACAGAAAAGAAATTATGTTGCACAGTGGTTAAGATTACGAACTTCACTTAGAACCATAAAAGCTTGGGTTCAAGTTTCTACGCTGTCTTATTAGTTTGGTGACAAAGGGCAACTTGATTAGACTTTTTAAGCTTGCCGTTGTAGAGGTAGAACGAATACCCCCACCTTATGGAATCTGGGGGAGGAGTAAAATGATCATTATGTTTACAATGTGAAATAAGCCCTCAACAAGGTGGTTATTTCATTAATAAAAAGACCAACTAAAATGGAATGAAAAAATTCTCACACATGGTGACAATTTCTTATCACTGGTAGTAAAAACTAGAAGTCAAAAATTTTATAACTATCTTCCAAAACTTGGCATAAGCCCATCTAAGGGAGGAAATCCGATGACATTGCTATCAGACCCCTCTGACTCTTCTGTGTGGCCTTAAACAAAATCCTCAGCTGGTTTAGGATGCTGTCCCATTAATCAAATGAGACTGCAGTATTAAAAAGATGCCCTCTGGGGAGGAGCCAAGATGGCCGAATAGGAACAGCTCCGGTCTACAGCTCCCAGCGTGAGCGACGCAGAAGACGGGTGATTTCTGCATTTCCATCTGAGGTACCGGGTTCATCTCACTAGGGAGTGCCAGACAGTGGGCGCAGGCCAGTGTGTGTGCGCACCGTGCGCGAGCCGAAGCAGGGCGAGGCATTGCCTCACCTGGGAAGCGCAAGGGGTCAGGGAGTTCCCTTTCCGAGTCAAAGAAAGGGGTGACGGACGCACCTGGAAAATCGGGTCACTCCCACCCGAATATTGCGCTTTTCAGACCGGCTTAAGAAATGGCGCACCACGAGACTATATTCCACACCTGGCTCAGAGGGTCCTACGCCCACGGAGTCTCGCTGACTGCTAGCACAGCAGTCTGAGATCAAACTGCAAGGCGGCAACGAGGCTGGGGGAGGGGCGCCCGCCATTGCCCACGCTTGCTTAGGTAAACAAAGCAGCCGGGAAGCTCCAACTGGGTGGAGCCCACCACAGCTCAAGGAGGCCTGCCTGCCTCTGTAGGCTCCACCTCTGGGGGCAGGGCACAGACAAACAAAAAGACAGCAGTAACCTCTGCAGACTTAAGTGTCCCTGTCTGACAGCTTTGAAGAGAGCAGTGGTTCTCCCAGCACGCAGCTGGAGATCTGAGAACGGGCAGACTGCCTCCTCAAGTGGGTCCCTGACCCCTGACCCCCGAGCAGCCTAACTGGGAGGCACCCCCCAGCAGGGGCACACTGACACCTCACACGGCAGGGTATTCCAACAGACCTGCAGCTGAGGGTCCTGTCTGTTAGAAGGAAAACTAACAACCAGAAAGGACATCTATACCGAAAACCCATCTGTACATCACCATCATCAAAGACCAAAAGTAGAGAAAACCACAAAGATGGGGAAAAAACAGAACAGAAAAACTGGAAACTCTAAAACGCAGAGCGCCTCTCCTCCTCCAAAGGAACGCAGTTCCTCACCAGCAACAGAACAAAGCTGGATGGAGAATGATTTTGACGAGCTGAGAGAAGAAGGCTTCAGACGATCAAATTACTCTGAGCTACGGGAGGACATTCAAACCAAAGGCAAAGAAGTTGAAAACTTTGAAAAAAATTTAGAAGAATGTATAACTAGAATAACCAATACAGAGAAGTGCTTAAAGGAGCTGATGGAGCTGAAAACCAAGGCTCGAGAACTACGTGAAGAATGCAGAAGCCTCAGGAGCCGATGCGATCAACTGGAAGAAAGGGTATCAGCAATGGAAGATGAAATGAATGAAATGAAGCGAGAAGGGAAGTTTAGAGAAAAAAGAATAAAAAGAAATGAGCAAAGCCTCCAAGAAATATGGGACTATGTGAAAAGACCAAATCTACGTCTGATTGGTGTACCTGAAAGTGATGTGGAGAATGGAACCAAGTTGGAAAACACTCTGCAGGATATTATCCAGGAGAACTTCCCCAATCTAGCAAGGCAGGCCAACGTTCAGATTCAGGAAATACAGAGAACGCCACAAAGATACTCCTCGAGAAGAGCAACTCCAAGACACATAATTGTCAGATTCACCAAAGTTGAAATGAAGGAAAAAATGTTAAAGGCAGCCAGAGAGAAAGGTCGGGTTACCCTCAAAGGAAAGCCCATCAGACTAACAGCGGATCTCTCGGCAGAAACCCTACAAGCCAGAAGAGAGTGGGGGCCAATATTCAACATTCTTAAAGAAAAGAATTTTCAACCCAGAATTTCATATCCAGCCAAACTAAGCTTCATAAGTGAAGGAGAAATAAAATACTTTATAGACAAGCAAATGCTGAGAGATTTTGTCACCACCAGGACTGCCCTAAAAGAGCTCCTGAAGGAAGCGCTAAACATGGAAAGGAACAACCGGTACCAGCCACTGCAAAATCATGCCAAAATGTAAAGACCATCGAGACTAGGAAGAAACTGCATCAACTAATGAGCAAAATCACCAGCTAACATCATAATGACAGGATCAAATTCACACATAACAATATTAACTTTAAATATAAATGGACTAAATTCTGCAATTAAAAGACACAGACTGGCAAGTTGGATAAAGAGTCAAGACCCATCAGTGTGCTGTATTCAGGAAACCCATCTCACGTGCAGAGACACACATAGGCTCAAAATAAAAGGATGGAGGAAGATCTACCAAGCCAATGGAAAACAAAAAAAGGCAGGGGTGGCAATCCTAGTCTCTGATAAAACAGACTTTAAACCAACAAAGATCAAAAGAGACAAAGAAGGCCATTACATAATGATAAAGGGATCAATTCAACAAGAGGAGCTAACTATCCTAAATATTTATGCACCCAATACAGGAGCACCCAGATTCATAAAGCAAGTCCTCAGTGACCTACAAAGAGACTTAGACTCCCACATATTAATAATGGGAGACTTTAACACCCCACTGTCAACATTAGACAGATCAACGAGACAGAAAGTCAACAAGGATACCCAGGAATTGAACTCAGATCTGCACCAAGCAGACCTAATAGACATCTACAGAACTCTCCACCCCAAATCAACAGAATATACATTTTTTTCAGCACCACACCACACCTATTCCAAAATTGACCACATAGTTGGAAGTAAAGCTCTCCTCAGCAAATGTAAAAGAACAGAAATTATAACAAACTATCTCTCAGACCACAGTGCAATCAAACTAGAACTCAGGATTAAGAATCTCACTCAAAGCCGCTCAACTACATGGAAACTGAACAATCTGCTCCTGAATGACTACTGGGTACATAACGAAATGAAGGCAGAAATAAAGATGTTCTTTGAAACCAACGAGAACAAAGACACCACATACCAGAATCTCTGGGACGCATTCAAAGCAGTGTGTAGAGGGAAATTTATAGCACTAAATGCCTACAAGAGAAAGCAGGAAAGATCCAAAATTGACACCCTAACATCACAATTAAAAGAACTAGAAAAGCAAGAGCAAACACATTCAAAAGCTAGCAGAAGGCAAGAAATAACTAAAATCAGAGCAGAACTGAAGGAAATAGAGACACAAAAAACCCTTCAAAAAATCAATGAATCCAGGAGCTGGTTTTTTGAAAGGATCAACAAAATTGATAGACCGCTAGCAAGACTAATAAAGAAAAAAAGAGAGAAGAATCAAATAGACACAATAAAAAATGATAAAGGGGATATCACCACTGATCCCACAGAAATACAAACTACCATCAGAGAATACTACAAACACCTCTACGCAAATAAACTAGAAAATCTAGAAGAAATGGATACATTCCTCGACACATACACTCTCCCAAGACTAAACCAGGAAGAAGTTGAATCTCTGAATAGACCAATAACAGGCTCTGAAATTGTGGCAATAATCAATAGTTTACCAACCAAAAAGAGTCCAGGACCAGATGGATTCACAGCCGAATTCTACCAGAGGTACAAGGAGGAACTGGTACCATTCCTTCTGAAACTATTCCAATCAATAGAAAAAGAGGGAATCCTCCCTAACTCATTTTATGAGGCCAGCATCATTCTGATACCAAAGCCGGGCAGAGACACAACCAAAAAAGAGAATTTTAGACCAATATCCTTGATGAACATTGATGCAAAAATCCTCAATAAAATACTGGCAAACCGAATCCAGCAGCACATCAAAAAGCTTATCCACCATGATCAAGTGGGCTTCATCCCTGGGATGCAAGGCTGGTTCAATATATGCAAATCAATAAATGTAATCCAGCATATAAACAGAGCCAAAGACAAAAACCACATGATTATCTCAATAGATGCAGAAAAAGCCTTTGACAAAATTCAACAACCCTTCATGCTAAAAACTCTCAATAAATTAGGTATTGATGGGACGTATTTCAAAATAATAAGAGCTATCTATGACAAACCCACAGCCAATATCATACTGAATGGGCAAAAACTGGAAGCATTCCCTTTGAAAACTGGCACAAGACAGGGATGCCCTCTCTCACCACTCCTATTCAACATAGTGTTGGAAGTTCTGGCCAGGGCAATCAGGCAGGAGAAGGAAATAAAGGGTATTCAATTAGGAAAAGAGGAAGTCAAATTGTCCCTGTTTGCAGACGACATGACTGTTTATCTAGAAAACCCCATCGTCTCAGCCCAAAATCTCCTTAAGCTGATAAGCAACTTCAGCAAAGTCTCAGGATACAAAATCAATGTACAAAAATCACAAGCATTCTTATACACCAACAACAGACAAACAGAGAGCCAAATCATGGGTGAACTCCCATTCACAATTGCTTCAAAGAGAATAAAATACCTAGGAATCCAACTTACAAGGGATGTGAAGGACCTCTTCAAGGAGAACTACAAACCACTGCTCAAGGAAATAAAAGAGGACACAAACAAATGGAAGAACATTCCATGCTCATGGGTAGGAAGAATCAATATCGTGAAAATGGCCATACTGCCCAAGGTAATTTACAGATTCAATGCCATCCCCATCAAGCTACCAATGACTTTCTTCACAGAATTGGAAAAAACTACTTTAAAGTTCATACGGAACCAAAAAAGAGCCCGCATCGCCACGTCAATCCTAAGCCAAAAGAACAAAGCTGGAGGCATCACACTACCTGACTTCAAACTATACTACAAGGCTACAGTAACCAAAACAGTATGGTACTGGTACCAAAACAGAGATATAGATCAATGGAACAGAACAGAGCCCTCAGAAATAATGCCGCATATCTACAACTATCTGATCTTTGACAAACCTGAGAAAAACAAGCAATGGGGAAAGGATTCCCTATTTAATAAATGGTGCTGGGAAAACTGGCTAGCCATATGTAGAAAGCTGAAACTGGATCCCTTCCTTACACCTTATACAAAAATCAATTCAAGATGGATTAAAGATTTATACGTTAGACCTAAAACCATAAAAACCCTAGAAGAAAACCTAGGCATTACCATTCAGGACATAGGCGTGGGCAAGGACTTCATGTCCAAAACACCAAAAGCAATGGCAACAAAAGCCAAAATTGACAAATGGGATCTAATTAAACTAAAGAGCTTCTGCACAGCAAAAGAAACTACCATCAGAGTGAACAGGCAACCTACAACATGGGAGAAAATTTTTGCAACCTACTCATCTGACAAAGGGCTAATATCCAGAATCTACAATGAACTCAAACAAATTTACAAGAAAAAAACAAACAACCCCATCAAAAAGTGGGCGAAGGACGTGAACAGACACTTCTCAAAAGAAGACATTTATGCAGCCAAAAAACACATGAAGAAATGCTCATCATCACTGGCCATCAGAGAAATGCAAATCAAAACCACTATGAGATATCATCTCACACTAGTTAGCATGGCAATCATTAAAAAGTCAGGAAACAACAGGTGCTGGAGAGGATGTGGAGAAATAGGAACACTTTTACACTGTTGGTGGGACTGTCAACTAGTTCAACCATTGTGGAAGTCAGTGTGGCGATTCCTCAGGGATCTAGAACTAGAAATACCATTTGACCCAGCCATCCCATTACTGGGTATATACCCAAAGGACTATAAATCATGCTGCTATAAAGACACATGCACACGTATGTTTATTGCGGCACTATTCACAATAGCAAAGACTTGGAACCAACCCAAATGTCCAACAATGATAGACTGGATTAAGAAAATGTGGCACATATACACCATGGAATACTATGCAGCCATAAAAAATGATGAGTTCATATCCTTTGTAGGGACATGGATGAAATTGGAAACCATCATTCTCAGTAAACTATCGCAAGAACAAAAAACCAAACACCGCATATTCTCACTCATAGGTGGGAATTGAACAATGAGATCACATGGACACAGGAAGGGGAATATCACACTCTGGGGACTGTGGTGGGGTCGGGGGAGGGGGGAGGGATAGCATTGGGAGATATACCTAATGCTAGATGACACATTAGTGGGTGCAGCGCACCAGCATGGCACATGTATACATATGTAACTAACCTGCACAATGTGCACATGTACCCTAAAACTTAGAGTATAATAAAAAAAATAAAAATAAAAATAAAAAATAAAAAAAATAAAAAGAAGGAAAAAGAAAAAAGAAAAAAAAAAAAAAAAAAAAAGATGCCCTGTGGGTGGATCACCTAAGGACAGGTGTTCGAGACCAGCCTGGCCAACATAGTGAAACCCTGTCTCCACTAAAAATACAAAAATTAGCCAGACATGGTGGCGAGCATCTGTAATCCCAGCTTCTTGGGAGGCTGAGGCAGGAGAATAGCTTGAACCTGGGAGGTGGAGGTTGCAGTGAGCCGAGATCACCCCATTGCACTCCTGCCTGGGAGTGCAACAGAGTGAGACTTGGTCTGAAAAAAATAAAAAATAAATAAATTTTAAAAGATGCCCTGAAGAAGGATCGGGGGTTCAGTTTATCCAAGAGAGCACTAACTTTTGGGACTAATTTTCCAAAAGCCAAAAGCCAAAAGCCTTCTTGGCAAAATCTCAGCGCTACCTCTTATAACCCTGCCAAACAGTCTTAGTGCTTTATTTTCTGTCTAGGGACCATCTATACTTTTTACCTAAAATGGAAGTGTATTTGTTCAGCAAACATTTGCTGCACACTTACTCTGTATAGAGTTTTAGAGGAAAACAAGGAAACAGAAGAAATCACATCTTTAAAAGGCTCACAGTTTAATTCAGAGACTTGCAGCCGTACCTTAGAGTTAGGCTAAGAGGGTTCACAGTGACCTTGGTTCCTGCTACTCATCTTCCCTTCCTAGTTATTTCTCTTTGCATCCCTCCTTTGCTAAAGTCTGGAGCTCTCTTGCTGCTCTCTGTCCATCTAAAGTAGCCTTTTGCATTCATTTACATAGACACATCTTTTGATGTTCCATGCTCCAAAACGAACTCTCGTGTTTTTTTCCATATCCCTAATAAGGACTCCCATGCTACAGAGTCTGACCCTAAATGTCTAAAGAAAACAGTCTTACGTGGGGATAAGGTGAACAAGATTAATAGGCTTAATTCTCCCCTTTCCCACCTCTCACTTAGGGAGGATTTATGTTTTAAATAACCTTTACACATGTAAATTAATTAGTCTGAAACAGTGTCATTGGTGGGATGTGTGAGCAGGGTGCTTGAGTGTCGCTTTCTGTTCTGATCGTGTGCTGACCTCCATGCTAAACTCTGAAATCACACATCAGTATGGACTCATTGAATAGTTACATAGAAGGGCCTATCTAGAAACAAACAAATGAAAATTACGTGGAGTATACATGGCTTCATAACATTTGAGGGCAAGCAAAATACAGAGAAACAAATCAAGGAAAAGGTTTGTTGAGACAGACTCCCTGGGGTAGGAATGTTTTCATGTGGGTTTTCAAGGGGGTGACGTCATATGCAAACCCGATCCCACTTTTTCTCCTTTCTTAGAAGTTCTGAAAGAGAGATGAGAGTGCAGATATAGATGAGGATAGTCTGTCTAAGGATAATACCAAAGGTAAGTGTGCTTTGAGGTTTAAAATATTTGCTGGAAGCTATTTACTGACTGGTTACTAGGAGACAGCATGACTCATTGCTAACTTCCCCTCCGGGGCCAGCGTTCAGTCATTTATCACCTAGCACATTGGATCAAGACTGATAGAATCTTTAGAAAAAATTATGGAGTTCTCTATTCTAGTAAGGAGGCACTAAACTGTGGAAATAAAATGATCCCTGAAGATGAGGTCCACTGAGAAAGCATCCCGACATGTGTTCTGTATGTACTAACAGTCCAAGGATTAATGTGTGGTGGAGAGATATATACAAGATAAAATACAAACAACGTACATATTAAACAACTGTACAAAGCAATATTAAACCAACGTCAATAGTGAATACTGTATCTTCCCTGAGGACTTCCCCCCCGACCCCCACCCCAGTTTCTGAATGAATATATTTACATTATAACTCGGTATTCCTAATTTCCATGAAACAACACACTTAAATATTCCTTTAATAATCTTTCTAAAGATTCAAATAAGTAGAATAGATGAGGGTAGATTCCAAACAATCAGGTCTTTCAAGATAATTCATAAATTTAAATATAAATTCTAAGATAAATTTGGAAAATATTGAGGGTTGAATTGACATATGGGAAAAAATTAGTCAAATCATTTATACATTGCCCACAACCACAGGGGCATCACTATAATGTAAAGTTTATTGGAAAATTTTTTTTAGATAGAATCTCACTGTGTCACCTGGGCTAGAGCACAGTGGCATGATCACAGCTCACTGCACCCTCAACTTCCCAAGCTCAAGCCATCCTCCCACCTCAGCCTCCTGGGTAGCTGGGACTACAGGCATGCACTCCATGCCCAGCTAATTATTATTACTATTATTTGTAAAGATGGGGTCTTACAATGTTGCCCAGGCTGGTCTTGATTCCTGGACTCAAGTGATCCTCCTACCTCAGCTTCCCAAAGTGGTGGGATTACAAGTGTGAGCCACTGTGCCCAGCCTCATTGGGAATTTTTACAAAGAAATGTCTTGACATATTTCCAT
Source organism: Homo sapiens (assembly GCF_000001405.40). Taxonomy (NCBI): domain Eukaryota; kingdom Metazoa; phylum Chordata; class Mammalia; order Primates; family Hominidae; genus Homo; species Homo sapiens. Next base: position 33,508,358 of record NC_000010.11, on the reverse strand, counting down.
AACAACAACATCAGAATTGTCAGAGACAAAGCCTAGATAATATAAACTTCATCTGATAGGAGAAGGAAAGTATTTAAACATCAAAAGAATGGGAAATGATGTTTGTGCAGTTATGTTTGTGAGTGTGAGAGTGAGTAAGCGTGCAGCATATTGTAAAAATAAGCGAAAGGTGATGTGGCAAGAGTGTGTTTTGAAATATTTATTGAAGCTTTCACTCTGTGTTTTGCCTTGACCTTCGCCTGTTCAAAGAGGTATCAAGGTCCGTGCTGTGGTAGGGTTCCCTACTGTAAAAGCTGTCAAAATTCTGAGTCCATTGAGAAGATCGGTGGCTTAAGAAAGAGTGCAAAGTGCAGCTCTCTCACGGGGAGAGAAGAGAGAGTAAAAGACAGAGAAGGAGGGAGGGAGGAAAGAAGAGGAGATTGCATTTTCTCAGAGCAATTAAGATTTCCCTAGTCCAGGCCAGACACAGTGGCTCACGCCTGTAATCCCAGAAATTTGGGAGGCCAAGGCAGGTGAATCACCTCAGGTCAGTAGTTCAAGACTAGCCTGGCCAACATGGTGAATCCCCGTCACTATTAAAAATACAAAAGTTAGCCAGGCGTGGTGGCGCATGCCTGTACTCCCAGCTACTCTGGAGGCTCAGCTACTCTGGAGGCTCAGGTAGGAGGATCACTTGAACTTGGGAGGTGGAGGTTGCAGTGAGTCGAGATTGCGCCACTGCACTCCAGCCTGGGCAACAGAATGAGACTGTCTCAAAAAAAAAAAAAAAAGAAAAAAAAATTCCCTAGTCCAAGAGTATGAGGATCTGCTCCTGCTCCCTGAGGCCATGGCGGGACCTCAGGGAAGGTGAGTGTGTGATACACCTGGGGAAGTGCCCCAAGACTCTTGGTCCCAAGCTTGGTACAGAAGCCCACAGAACAGAGATTATCACGTGGCCAGGGACAATGTGCCTCTCAACAGGCATCAAACAGAGGGGCCTAGTCTATCCAATATCTTGACATGTCAGGCAGATCCCCAAGCCCTGCTCAAATCTGCTGAAGATGGTGATAGAGAAACCTCAAGAATGGTCAAGCTTTTATTTCCTCCAGCCCAGTGGGAAAAGGGCTTAGAGAGGATATTACATTGATTTATGGAAAATAAAGCATCTGAGTTTATAGACTAAGATTTATACCTGCTACAAAAGTATGAATCCTTTTATCCTATACATATATATACACATATATACTAGAGGGCACATGCTACTGAGACATATTGCTTGGGTTCAGATTTTGCAACACTAACTAGCTGCGTGTGATTTTAGGAAGTTTCTTAACCTCACTGGCCTCAGTTTCTGTGAAACTGAAATTAATCATAGCACCAATTTCACATGGTTGTTGTAAGAATGAGATGAGATCATCTGTATCTTTGGCACAGAACAAAGGCTGAACAATGATAAGCTATCATAATAATTATTATTATTATTTATTTTTCTTCCATAAATGTCCCAGTCACTACCTAAATGTGAAGGAGAGATCTAGTCCTAAAAAAAGGTTTCCATTGACAGCTCAAGTTATTCGTGGATTTTCTTTCATGATAGCCTTAAGAAATAAACAAATAGACAAAAGTCTCTGTTTTTCTTTGGCCCCTAGGTGACCACTAAATTACATGTGAAACAAAACATGTTCAAGAGAAATGTCCCTGGAAGAAAGGAATTTTTCCTAAATCTTAAATAGCAAGTTTCTTGAATCCTAAATAAGGGTAGTGTCACGCCTCTGCCAAGTAGGAATGTCAGTATGGGGGTAGGAAGTCCAGCTGTATCCTCCCATCAAATGGAAATTAGTTGGATTCCTGATGCTAAGGGTTCCCATGGGCTCTTCATATGACAGATAAGAGGACGAGGGGGGTGAAGAATTATTATTTATAAATAACACACCAGAGTGCCTGAGGTTGGCCAACCTTAAATTCAATGTTCAAAGTTTGGAGCAGGTGTCTACAAACTTTTATCCCTAAGCCACACTAAGAGGACTATTTATGAAATACATCTGTATCCTTGGATGGCTATGACAATTGGTAATGGTCATTGGGGTATTATACGAAATATGTTTGGTCTTTGTTCCCAGTTCCTGACATGGGGTTCCTAAAACCCCTGGAATCTTCTGAGTGATAGGACTATTTTTGTTATTTATAATGAAGCCACTTGATCACTTTCTGAGTTTATGGTAAAGAGATTACGTAGGGTGACACCCCTAGATAGTCTCTGTATGGAGCCAGTCAACAGAAAGACAAGGTGATTAGAGGATTAGAAGGTTGGAGCTGTCAGCCCCACCTACTGATAGCTGGTGGGTTGGTGGGGGGCAAATAGAAATCAAGCTTCACAAAAACTTGAACAACAAGATTTGGTGAGTTTCCAGTGGCTGAATACAGGGAGGTACTGGGAGGGTGGAGCCCCAGAGACGGGGTGGAAGTTGTGCACCCCCATAACTCACGGTATCCATCTCTTCCTCAGCTGTTTATCTGTATCCTGTGTAATATCCTTTATAACAAACTGGTGAACATAAGTAAGTGTGTTTCCCTGAGTGCTGTGAGCCATGCTAGCAAATTAAACCCATGGAGGGAGTAGTAGGACCCCCGATTTATAGACGGTTAGTCAGAAGCACAGGCGACAATGTACTAACCTTGCAATTGGTGTCTAAAGTTGGGGAAGCATTGTGAGACTGAGCCCTTAACCTGTGGGGTCTGACACCATTTCCAGGTAGATAGTGTCACATTGAATTAAATTATAGGACACCTAGTTGGTGTCCACTGAAGAATTGCTTAGTGTGTGGGGAAAAATCCTCACACATCTGGTCCCAGAAGTATTCTGGGTTCACTATGAGTGGATGTATGTGGAAGGAGACAGGGACATGTGACCACCCATCCATGCAACACAGCACACTAGGTGTTCACTGAGATACGGGCGTACCTCGTTTTATCGTACTTTGCATTATAGTGCTTCATAAATGTTGCATTAAAAAATTACGAATTGAGGGTTTGTGACAACTCTGCACTGAGCAGCACATTGATCGGCACCATTTTTCCAACAGCAGGTGCTCACTTCATATCTCTGAATCACATTTTTGCAATTCTCCCAATATTTTAAACTTTTTCATTATTATTGTATCGGTTATGGTGCTCTGTGATTAATGATCTTTGATGTCAGTTACTATTGTAATTGTTTTGGGGTTCCACAAACTGTGCCCATCTAAGATGGTGCACTTAATTGATAAATGTTCTGTTTGTTCTGATTGCTTCACTAACTGGCCATTCCCTGTCCCTCTTCCTCTCCTAGAGTCTATTTCAGAAGACACAACAATACTGAAATTAGGCCAAATAATAACCTTCCAGTGGTCTCTAAGTGTTCAAGTGAAAGGAAGAGTAACACATCTCTCACTTGAAGTCAAAAGCAGAAATCATTCGGCTTGGTGAGGAAGGCATATGGAAAGCTGAGATAGGCTGAAAGCTAGGCCTCTTGGGACAAACAGCCAAGTTGTGAGGGCAAAGGAAAATTATTGAGGGGAATTAAAAGTGCTACTCCAGTGAACCCACAAAGGATAAGAAAGTGAACTGGTCTTATTGCTGATATGGAGAAAGTTTTATTTGTCCGGATAGAAGATCAAACCAGTCACAACATTCCTGTAAACCAAAGCCTAATCCAGAGCAATGTCTCAACTCCTTCAATTCCATGAAGGCTGAGAGAGGTCAGGAAGCTGCAGAAGAAAAGCTGGAAGCTAACAGAAGTTGGATTGTTATGTTTAAGGAAAGAAGCCATCTCCATAACCTAAAAGTGTGAAGTAAAGCAGCAAGTGTTGATGGAGAAGCTGCAGCAAGTTATCCAGAAGATCTAGCTAAGATCATTGATGAAGGTGGCTACACTAAACAGCAGATTTTCAATGTAAACAAAACAGCCTTCTATTCGAAGATGCCACTGAGGACTTTCATGGCTCGAGATGAAAAGTCAGTGCCTGGCTTCAAAGCTTCAAAGGACAGGCTGACTCTCTTGTTAGGGGCTAATGAAGCTGGTGACTTTGAGTTAAAGCCAGTGCTCATTGATCATTCTGAAAATCATAAGACCCTTAAAATTATGCTAAATTGACTCTGCCTATGTTCTAGAAATGAAGCAACAAAGCATGAATGATACCACATCTGTGTACAGCATGGTTTCCTAAATATCTTAAGCCCACTGTTGAGACCTGCTGCTCAGGAAAAAATATTCCTTTCAAAATGTTATTGCTCATTGACAATACACCTGATCACTCAAGAGCTCTGGAAGAGATGTACAAGGAGATGAGCGTTGTTTTCATTCTGGGTAACACAACATCCATTCTGTAGATCATGAATCAAAGAGTAATTTTGACTTTCAAGTCTTACTATTTAAGAAATCCATTTTGTAAGGCTATAGCTGCCATAGAGAGTGATTCCTCTGATGAATCCGGGCAAAATAAATTGGAAACCTTCTGGAAAAGATTCACCATTCTAGATGCCATTAAGAACATTCATGATTCACAGGAGGAAATCAAAATATCAATATTAATAGGAGTTTTGAAGAAGGTGATTCTAACCCTCATGGATGACTTTGAGGGGTTCAAGACTTGAGTAGAGGAAGTGACTGCAGATGTGGTGGGAATATCAAGAGAGCTAGAATTACAAATGCAGCAAGAAGATGTCATTGAATTGCTGGAATTTCATAATCAAATTTGAATAGATGTCAAGTTGTTTCTTATGGATGAGCAAAGAAAGTGGTTTCTTGAGATGGTATGTACTCCTGGTGAAGACGCAGTGAGCATTGGTGAAACTACATCAAAGGCTTTAGAATATTCCATAAAGTAAGTTGAGAAGCAGAGACAGAATATGAGAGGATTGACTCTAATGTTAAACAAAGTTCTGCTGTGGGTAAAATACTATCCAACAGCTTCTCATGCTACGGCGAAATCTTTCATGGAAGAAAGAGCCAATCGATGTGGCAAACTTCACCATTGTCTTATTTTAAGAACTTGCCACAGCCATCTCAAACTTCAGCAATGACCAGTCTGATCAGTCAACAGCCATCAACATCGAGGCAAGACCCTCCACTAGCAAATAATTACTTGTTGAAGGCTCAGATTATTATTAGCATTTTTAACAATAAAGCATTTTTTTCTTTAAGGTATGTACATTGTTTTTCTAGACATAATGATAATGCACACTTAATAGACCACAGTACAGTGTAAGCATACATTTCGTACACACTGGGAAACCCAAAAAATTCACGTGACTCGCTTTATTGGGACAGGTTGAGACTGCACTTGCAGTATCTCTGAGGTATATTCATGCATGGCTTTTTGACCCCATTTCTTTAAGTGGTCTGTCTGAGTTACACAAACTATGGGTTCTCAACTCTGCTTGGAGCAGTTAGGATTCTCTTTAACGTACCCCTACTTTGCTCCATCCCTGCGGCTTCTGCCTGTCTCTTGATCTCTCAGCGTCTCTTACTTGGCATCTGTAAGAAGTATTGGGGCATGACGTCTTGCAGTTTGGGCCTATTGAGCTGTCTAAGCTCTTACTTTCCCACCATGTAGGAGACTCCAGGCCGAAGCAGAAACACAGGACCAGCCCACCTTCCTTGGACAGCTCTTGTATCCTTCCATCAAGCAATATCACTATTCAAAGAAACATTACATCTCAAGATGGGAAATGTGGTCCTGGCACCTTGGAAGATAGAAAGGTGACAAGGTTCTGTCCTTGGTAGAGGTTAGAGCCTCACCAGGGAGATGGCTGTGACATAAGGTGTCTCAGTGGCAAATGGCACAGAAGGGTTAAAATTGATAGTCATAGTTTGTACGAGATGAACTATGAGGAGGGAGGCAAACTCAGAGGCTCAAGGAGAAGCCTCTCTGAGAGAATTAGGCTTGGAAAAAGAAGTAGGATTTTGCTTCTCTGGGTCAGGGGAGGATGAGGGTGAGGAAAACCATGAGGTTGTAAAAGAAGTGTCTGTGAGGCTTAATTCCTGTCTCATAGTTCCCACAGAAAATGATAGCAGGGGAGAAAGCAGCTGAACGGTAGTCAAGACATCGTCTACTTTTGGGTTCTTTGAAAACAGTGCATGATGTAGAAATACACCCACATGGTAGCCTAGAAGAACAATCCCAGAGGGGTGGGGCCTGAGACACCGGGAGCCCCAAGCCCACTGGGACTCGTTACTTTCCGGTGGTCACTGCAACACATTACCACAAACTAGGTGGCTTAAAATAACAAATACTTTCTCTCTCATAGTTCTGGAGGCCAGAAGTCCAAAAAGCAGTTTCACTGTGTTGAAACCAAGGTATCAGCAGGGCTATGCACCCTACTGAGCTCTAAGGGAGAATCTGTTCCTTGCCTCTTCACACTTCTCGAGATGGCTGGCATTCCTTGGCTTGTGGGGGCATCTGTCTAGTCTCTGCCTCCGTGGTCACATCACCTTCTCTGTGTGTCTGTGTGTAGAATCTTCCTCTGCCTCCTTTTTTTTTTTAAAGATGGAGTCTCTCTCTGTCGCCTAGGCTAGAGTGCAGTGGCCTGATCTCAGCTCACTGCAACCTCTGCCTCCCGAGTAGGCAACAGGCGCATGCCACCACATCTGGCTAATTTTTGTATTTTTTGTAGAGATGGGATTTTGCCATGTTGCCCAGACTGGTCTCTAACTCCTAGGCCCAAGTAACCCTTCTGCCTCCACCTCCCAAAGTGCTGGGATTACAGGGCTGAGTCACTGCACCCAGCCTCTGGCTCTCTCTTACAAGGAAATATGATGGTATTTAAGGCTCATATGGAAATTGAGTGCAATCTCCCTTTCTCAAGATCATTACTTAATCAATCCGCAAAGACCCTTTATTTATTTTTTTTAATTGTCATATAAGGTAACATTCATAGGTTCCAGGGACTAGGATACAGATGTCTTTGTGAGGGGTGCATTTTTCAGCCTACCACAGGTCTTGTCTTTATACAGAGTGCCTTGAATTTCTCAGCAGTGATTCAATGGTGCTTACTTACCCCACAGGGTTCTGATCCTCTCCAACTGGTACTGTCCCATCCTTACCTCTGGCCTGTCTAAAACTGGTGCAGATGCCAGCCACCAGCCTTGACAAAGTTTTCTTCTCAAACAAAAAGAAATGGTTCTTCTTCCAATTCTTACCAACTTCATTAAAAAAAGGTAGAGGAACTGGTTAGAAGCTCTTTGTAGACAATCCGTGTCTGATTGTGCATGAGAAAGTACTAAAGCTTTATGAAGGGATAACCATTTGGAAATGCTTTTAGAAATTCAAATACAAAGACTTATGATTGCCTGACATTGATTTCATACCCCCATCGACCAAGTCCCACTTTCATCTTTGTTCCTTGTTTTCTTCATTTTAATGTATTCCATCCTACAATTGTAATAAGGTACCCAAGCTGTGCATTTCAGGGTCATTATTGCATTTCTTAGGAAGTTAAAGCCCCCATCCTTTGACCTTATGCTTTCTGATACCACCCAAGGTGTGACATAATTGCCCGCAAATGCGCTGTCTGTCATGTCTTATTGCTCAAATGAAACCCACTTCCACAGTAGGACGAAAAGAGAGGTGGGTAGAGCTCCTGCTATTTGCATCAGCACTTGTCCTCAGGAAATGCGGAATCTTGGCACTGAACGAAAGTGTAAAAATGACAAATTTGCCATCTAATATGGACCACTGCACTCACAAGACTGCAACTCCTTACATTAATGGAGATTAGGATATAACTTTTTTAATTTGGAGCCTCATTACACAGTATAAATAAAAATACAGCCCCAACTATATCATCTTTAATTGCCTCTAGACAGAATGCTGATTATCTACTGAGGATCTTGGCCATGTGTTTCTGAGGAACCAGCAGAGTTTGTTCCCTGCTTTGAAAGCAAAATCTGAAAAGATATGTGGGTATCATTAAAAGAGGCCAGGAGGCTAGATGTTTGCAAACATTCCAGCTAACATTCCAAAGGAAGAAAATGCAGAAACAAAAATATGATGATACTGTCAAAGTGATGAGTTCATGGGTATGAAGGCGGAGTAATGATGAACATTCACCCATCTAAATGGAAAGAGCCATTTACTTCTACTTAGCGTTCTTGTTATTAAGAGTTTGAAAATAGCTGCAGTTTTCACTCCCAGCCTGGCAGAGACCCAGAGAGAGATGCTGATATTCAAAGCTGTGATAGCTGAGTCTTTTAGCATCCCTTGGTACAACTGATTAAAGCAATTGATCAATACCAAACTTTGCGAAAAACTAGTGTGGGTATGTTGCAGACGATGTCCCATGAATAAATAACTCAGATAATGGCATTTGTCTTACTAGCAAGCTCATCTATAATTTAGCAAGTATAATACCCGTTAAAAGAACACCTAGGATGATCACTGCCAAAATAAAGAGTTAATTGGTTTCTATCTTCTGGGAAGTCTCTCAAATAAGATAAGGAGGGAAAAGTGGCTACCAATTGTAATAATGAATGTAAAGTAGCCCCTAAGCCATTCATTCTCCTATCTGCAGCGAGACTTTCCTTCAATAGCATTTCAAATAGCATCTTTTGGATCCAACTCCTACCACTCAATAGAAAGTTTTAGAGAGGTCTTTTTCTTTTCCACATAAGGATCAAATCTGTTTTAGAAAAATGTAATTTAGTGCTTTAAATAAATTAATAAACTGAGCACTAAATACAGGGAATATAAATAAATTCCTCTTGGGATTTAAATTTTTTTTGTAATATAAATGAAACATTCTTATAATAAGTCACTCCTCTACATTCTGGCTGGTACCGGCTTCAGTTATAATGGGATAATAGTATCACATTCTCATGGCTTCAAGACTTTGGAATAGTCAAGGCGGTAAGAGAACTCAGGATCTACTCTAGAGTGAGAGTAATGATGAGACTACATCAGAAAAGGCAGGAAAATAGAAATGATGTGATTAAGGCCCATACTATCCCCTGGAGAAGGTATCCCTGCTTTACAGCTAAACAAATTAGACACGAGGAAATCAAAGAGATTTGAACAAGGTTCCTATGACAATCCCAGGCAGTAAGTTTACAACCAGATGATTTCGTGGTTTCTAAATTTTGAAGGGATAATGCTAGTCATAGGCCATGCATCTGAGGCTGAGAAGCTTATTACAGGATAAAAAACAAAAAAGATGAGATCCTTGTCAGAGTATCGATTGGCATCAACTAGTTGATCTGTCATTGGATTTCTTTGAGCACTTTCGAGTCACATGGATTGGGTTGGAGTGTATGAAAATCATTGTTGAACATTATCATCTACAAAGACTTATTTTGGAGAAAATAATGTCTTTCAAATAATGTCCATGCTTATAGTCCATCAGTAATTGCTGTATAAAATAAACTTGAGCATGTTCCTAATGTCCTCTAGAGATGCCGTAAGTACCGTTTGCTAGTATTTATGGTCTGCAATCAAACAGGAGTCAAGGCCATAAATCATTACCCTGAATATAATATTTTTGTTTCATGAAAGTCTGAGCTTTCAACCCCAAAGCAACAAATCAGTCCCCTCCTTATTGAGCCTGTCACAGCCCCATCCTTGAGTACGACCACATTTATTACCATTGTCAGCTGCCTCGTGTGAAAGAACAGGAAGGAGGGAAAGACAATATAAATATAAATTGAAAAGCAGTGCTTTTGGGGGATGGCCTGGCTGAGGGGGAGAGGTAACATAACATGGAGGCTTTCACCCCAGGGTCACATAGTTGATGGCCCGTGCACTGAAGTGGTGATCAAGTTTCCACGTCACCAAGAATCCGGCTGTTAACTGTCACCAGGGCTGCAAGGCTGGACACAAGGGCAAAGTGCTCAGAGGAGTTGAATGCTGAACTTTCAGCCTTTTGACTGACCCTTAAAGCACTTTGGGCTTCTCTGAGGACAAGCCTGTTTCTCAAGGACCTGCCATTTATTATCTTCCAAGGGAAGTTTGAGATACCAGAGATGAGGAGATATGAGCTTGCTTGTAGAGGAAGGATTTCACCTCTAGGGCTTTGTCTTTGACAGATGTGATGAAACCCTAAAAATGCTTCTTCTAAAATAAGAAACTGCTGCTTTCACTCACATAGAGAAAACACCATCAGAACTCAGCCTTCCAGACAGCAATGCCATAAAAAAAGTCCAGAAGCCAGATTTCCAAAGGGAAAAGCCAAGCCTCTATCTGAGACCTGGATGATGGTGAACAATATTAATAAGACACTGACAGAGACACAGAAGAAAGTATGTCCAAGTGTAGAGCTTTTCTTTGAAGTCTCGGTGAAATCACTCTCTTTTGGGGAATATCTTCTTCATACTTATATGTTTATAAGAATGTTTATAAAACCAGGAATGGTCTTATAGAATGTTTATAAGACCAGGAAAAGACCAAGACCTCTGCTGATAACCTAGATGTAGATGAAGTGAAATACCTTTTGTTTTCATCTTCCTCCTTCCAAAATAAACTCTAATGTGGGCATAGGGTTTTACTAAGTATTTACTACATAAATGGACATTAATGCAGCAGCACAGACAATATCAGAATGCAGAAGATAGACCCAGTCTATCATTCAGGAATTGCACACCCAGGGATTCTCTCAGAATCCTTTGCCCTATTCATTTGTTGTCCTTCTTTTTCAACCGAAATGGTCTTCAATAACATGGTAAAGGAATTAATTTCCTTTGATTCTGTTTTAAGTTATTTTGATAATAGTCGTTTAAAAGTCTCAAGTGAACCAGAAAACCCAGTCCTCACCAAAAACTTGAACAGAATAGTTTAACATACAAAACACTATTTGTACTTTCGTTTTGCTTCAATGTGGTTCTAATCATTGCACTTACAGCAAACTGCTCAAGGCTGATCTAGCCTTACCTATATAAAAAATTCAAACACCATTTATGTACTTACAAAACAAAAAGCCAACATCTTTCTCCTTCTAATCTTCCAAGGAACATGTTGCTCTTGTTTCTTCAAGAAAAAAAGTAGAGACAGAGTATTGGTGTTTAATGAAAATTGGATCAGAGCAAAGAATGCTAAATTGTTGCTGGATTTGTGTGATGTCAGTATACACCATTAATCTTCATGCCTCAGCTTCTCCATTTGAAATAGAGGGCAAGCTATTTCATAGCGATGGGTTAGGGATTAAAGTATAGGTATATGGCATGCAAAATGCACACACTAATCCCTCTCTTAAACTCGATGTCAGACAGGCCCTTATTAGGGAGCTGTGTTTTGCTTGGAGTTTAACTAAAATGAATTATGGAGAGTTCGAGCATAATTCAGAAAGGACAGTGAAGATGATTCAATGCCTTGGAAATAAGATCCATGCAAAAAAGACTAAAGAAATTGGGCATGTTGGGGTGGTAGAAAGATGACTGTGCAGGTGAAGGTAAGCCCTGGTGGCAAACAGAATTCATACATGGTATAATGTCATATGCAGAAATTCAACATGCATCATTCCCTCTTGTAGAGTTACCTTAGGAAATTGTCAGATGCTCTTCAGTACCTGATGACAGTTGAACAAACAGAGACTGGAGAGATTTAAGTTACTTTTCTACATTCGTGCAAGCAGTTAAATGGCAAAGCTAAGACATGGATGCAAGCTCTGTCTGACGCCCCAAACCATGCTCTATGGTGAGGATTAATTGAGTTAAAATATATACAACACTTGCTCTGGTGTCTGGAGCACAGTTCATGCTCAACAAGTGACAATGATTACCTTCTAGAACTTCACCATTTATTAGCCCCTTTAGTTTGGGGCATTACTTTTAGTAGGTGTCTGTCTACCTGACCATCCTTTCTGAGCGTAATGAAACTAGTAATTACAAAAGCCAAGAAATTAGAAACAGAAACGGAATGGACAAAGGTAGTTACTGTAGAATATTGGGGGAGACAGCTTGCTGCAAGACTTTTCAAGGCGGCATGTTCAGTTTGGCTAAGCTGTTGTTGTGGTTGTGTTCCCTGTTCTCTTTACAGTTGATCCTTCAACAACACAGATTTGAACTACGTGGGTCCACTTACACGTGGATCCACTTATACATCGATTTTCTTCTACCTCTGCCACCCCTGAGACAGCAAGACCAACCCCTCCTCTTCCTCCTCCTCAGCCTACTCAACATGAAGACACTGAGGATAAAGGCCTTCATTTAACAAATTGTGAATATGTTTTCTCTTCCTTATGATTTTCTTAATGTTATTCTCTTTCATCTAGTTCATTTTATTGTAAGAATACAGTATAGATTACATATAACATACAAAATACATGTTATTTAACTGTTTATGTTATTGGTAAAGCTATTACCAATAACAGTTGGCTATTAGTTATATTTTGTGGGAGTCAAAAGTTACACACAAATTTTTGGCTGGACATGGTAGCTCACATCTGTAATCCCAGCACTTTAAGAGGCCCAGGGGGGGCAGTTCACTTGAGGTCAGGAGTTCAAGACCAGCTTGGCCAACATGGTGAAACCCTGTCTCTGCTAAAAATACAAAAAACTTAGCTGGTTGTGGTGGCACATACCGTAATCCCAATTACTTGGGAGACTGAGGCAGGAGAATTTCTTGAACCTGGGAGGTGGAGGTTGCAGTGAGCCAAGGTTGCACCAGCTCACTCCAGCCTCGGAAACAGAGCAAGACTCCATCTCAGAAAAAAAACAAACAGTTACACACAAAATTTTGACTGAGTTGGGGGGTGGTATTCCAACCCATGCATTGTTCAAGGGGCAGTTGTACTTCTTTTAGTTATTGTGCTAAATACAATAGGTTTTTTTTGGGGGGGGGTACTTTAGCAACTTGCTGTGAATATTTTTATATTATAAGACAATTTACACTTTTTATTTACATAAGTCATATTTAAAAGTTTTTTGCATATATATATGTATACGTATGTATTTGATATTTCCTGGAATATTCCTCAAGAAACATGTAGACTAGAGTACTCCAAGCACAAACTTCAAAAACAAACAAACAATACCCCTACATGAACAAAATACAAGATCTTCAAAGGGCTGGGAGTTCTGTTCCTTCTCTCTGTTCTGTCACTGTGTATGTATTTTGAGCCCTGGATAAGATTTTTATGATTCAGCAGATAAAATCAGACAGCAAGAATAATTGTTCTCAATCTTAAAACTGTTTAGGAAATGAAAAGAAGGTGGTTTCTTAGCTAACAAAGATCCAGGCAATGGAGAGTCTTCCAGATTGAAATCACAGTACCCAGTAAGCCTGAGAACTACAGAGAAGATGCTGAAAGATCAGGAGGCAGTCTGTTATTCCAAGACTGCCAGCAATAAAAAAGTGAAGCCAAAGAAGTCTAAAGGAGCTTGTCAGTGGAGGGTTGAATGTTTTCCCCTTAAATTCAACACTTCTACAACTCCACTGGAAGTCCACTTTAATGGATTCATTCTTTTGAGGGTTGCCAACATCATACCAGTAACAAATGTGAAGAATTCCAAAGAGACTGATACTCAGCTACTCCAGATTTCTCCTTTCTCACTGAGGTCTGAGTCCCATAGCTAACTCCCTACTTCCATGATGATGCAATGGCTAAGTCTCCAAGCTGACAACACAATAGGTCAACTTATTCAATCAATGTAGTCAATCAACTTGAAAGTTCAGTGGGAACTGACACATTGATTGAATTCACCTGTAAATTCAGTCAAAATGTTCAAACATGTATATGCCTTCTGTTGAGGCTTTGAGTCTTAATAGATGAATGTCAAGGCTGGGTTCCAATTTTAATTTGCTTCTGAATGAAGGTTGGTGCTCTTTCAACATTAAGTGATAATAATTATTGAGATTGCAGTAATTATGCTTTGCACAGCTTAAAAGTTATGAGAGTATCATTTTATTTGCTAAATAGTGTTGTTTTATTCTGCATGTTTACATTTACCAGAGCAAATACAGAGAGCTTTGAAGGTACCTGATATCTCTTGGGACACCCATGGAAAATGAGGTACTGTGTCTCATAAGACATTCTTGGCAAACTCAGAACGTAAACCAAAAAAAAAAAAAAATCCATATGGTGCACAACATCTCTCAGATAAAAAATAAGGCTTCTCAAGGAAGGAGCCTTGGGGGATTCTGAAGTCAAATTGCAAGGAACAAATGTGCTATTTTAATTTTGGCCTTAAAACTTCCTCTCCTGGAATGGTCTCAATATCACAATCTCTGCTCAACAGCACTCTCTAAGCTACAAACTCCCGTTGTTTTCTGGTTTGCTGTTCTTCAGAAAAAAAAAAAAATCATCAGAGCTCTGCATGAGATCTGCAACCCCTCCCACATCAATCTTAGGAAGCCCAAAAACATTCTATAACTTAGTTCCCAAACAGGCCACAAGCAGATGGAATTCTCCATAAGAAAGATGGTTTCTTTTCTTTCTCTCTCCCCTGACATCCTCCTTCTTTTTAACTTCAGAGGTGTTTCCCTGGGCTTCCCACTGCTCAGATATGTGTGATTCTCTCCCAGCACCCTTTCCTCCTCAGGCACCTGCTTCCCCCATGGAGGGGGATGCTGTCCAGTAGCTTGGAGTGGACCTCTGTTGTCCTCTCACACCTGGGAAATGCACGTCTCCTTCCCAATGCCTGGTGCGGCCAAGGCCGTGGGAGGAGTGCATTGAAAGTCTACATCCAGTGAAGACAATTTGTCAGTCTTCATTATCAAAAGCTGTGTGGCAGCAACACTGGAGTTAAGGGTCAGTGTGGCTTCCAATTAAAACTCCCTATTGAAGATGGATTTATGTTTGGTCCATTTCAAAACACATTGGACTGCAACTTATCATTGAAGTTGTCAGACTGAAAGCACTTTCCTTTTTTAGTGCTTCAAGGGTTTAAAAGCCATTAATTCATTTTGTTTAAGATATAAAGACATAAACGAGTGAGGGTTTTTTTTTTCGTTTTTTTTTTAAGGAGGAAAAAACAACCCACCTTGGTCCAGATGTGTTCTGGATACACTGAAACATTTCGAATGTGGGTCAAATTGACAGGGTTTTTAACTTATATATTGAGCATTTCTGTTTTTAGTGAATTTACCGTGGGAACGTTATGGTGAAAGACCAGGAGAGACTCTTTTAGATGATCCTCAAAGTCACATGTTGGGAATTTTGAACAGAGCCCAAGTTTTTCAGGGGTGAGTTACTTTACTAAAAAAAAAAATGACTTTCTGTTTTTAAGGGTAAGAAATATGTATTCTTAAACATCTTAGACATGAAATCAAATTCATGTTGAGACATTTTGATGATGTCAGCACAAATAAATCAATTACTTGAAGGAAGGAAATTCCTATTACATACCTATAGTTTAAAAAAAAAAAAAGAGAAGGGAAGCAGTGGAAAAGGACAAAATGTTGGAGGGGAGTATCCTGGCAAAACAGATTCAAGTCTGAGGATAATCTTTGTTTATAATAAATAAAAATTGAAAAGGAAAGGAGACACTATCAAGATAAGAGTATGTCTCTTGCCAAGAAAGACCCAAATGTTTCAAATAGAACATGTCTTAGCTCATTTATCTTAGCTCGTATCATCCTTTGGGACTCCTCTAATCACAGTTTGTTGCTTTTTAGAGGGAGTCCCAGCTGAAGTCTTGTTTAGTGAACAATGAAAATCTTTTAGATTTCTTATCGCATGTTGACAGTGGTAAGTTGATTCTTCACTACAAACCCATTCTTGCCTCTTTACCCCAAGTCTCAACTTGGGGAAAAATCAATTAAGCCCACTTACTCCATCTATTTAGCCAGATCCACTAACTGTGAAATGCAGAGTCCCGGCATTCACAATTCCCACTGGGCAACCTTGAGATGGAAGGAGGAGGACATGGTTAATGCAGTTATTAGAGTCATGAGCCAGCACTACTTTGCAGCCCGGGCAAACCCTGAGCAGACCAAGAGCCCCGAAGCCCAAAATGTAGCAGTAGGATGTGGGGCATGTAACCCTACTTTCTTGTCCCAACTCAGGATCCTTGACATCACTTGGACAGACTCTGGAATAATAAAGATCCCCAGTTCTTGTCCTCTAACCACGTAGGTGTTACAGGGAGTATAAAAATGATCTCTATTGTGTTAGGAGAACTTGGAGATCTTCCCAAAGCCTCAGAGAAACAACTTTAAATGTCATAATGCGAATGGAGAAGTTTCCTTTTGAAACCAGCTTTAAGACTAGAAATGCCACTGAGTTTTACAGCAGCCTCTCAAGATTAAGCACATTTAGTAATAATAAAATGATAACAATAGATAGTTTATTGAATCGAATTTACCACTTGTGCAATGCACAGAATGCGAGCCACTTGACAGAGTTGATCTTGCCTAAGCCTCACTGCGGATTCTATTTTATAATTATTTTTATTTTTATTTTTTTTTGAGACAGAGTTTCACTCTGTCACTCAGGCCGAAGTGCAATGGCTTCATCTCAGCTCACTGCAACCTCCACCTCCCAGGTTCAATCAATTCTCGTGCCTCAGCCTCCCAAGTAGCTGGGACTACAGGCGTATGCCACCACACCCGGCTAATTTTTGTATTTTTAGTAGAGATGAGGTTTCACCATGTTGGCCAGGCTGGTCTCAAACTCCTGACCTCAGGTGATCCACCCACCTCAGCCTCCCAAAGTGCTGGGATTACAGTATAATTATTTTTAAAATGAAGTAACTAAGGTTTTGAGAGGCTAACTAATTTGCCCACATACATAAAATAATAAGCTAGGCTTAAAAGCTGGAGTTTCATTCTTGAATATGCAGGCTTAATCCCTCTACCCTAAGTATAGCAGATAGAATGTCTGATAGTTCCAAATGTATCTAGCAAGTTACACTTCAGACACCCCAGTTGAAATCTCTGGTTAGACTTTCCTGTCCCCACGTGAGGTTGTCCACTCTGAATCAAATGAAAATGACTTATTTTCCATTCTTAAAGAATAAAAGAGCATTCTGTATGGGCAACTGGCATGCAAGTTTTCAGTGTGGAATGCCCATTTAGAAATGAGAAAAATCCACTGAATATCGCACTAGGGATCAATTTTGTGTCACCATTTAACCAAATACTATATGAATTCACAGCCACAAAAGAGTTGCCAGTAAGTGGTCCATGCGTGCCAGGGGTGACTGCTAAGGCCTCCTGTTACCTAGGTAATCAGGTAACTTGATTAGAGACAACACATCGCTAACGTCATGATTGGATGGTTCGAGTTTCTTTCTGTAGAATTCTGTTGAGCCTTTCTATCTTCTTTTTTTTTTTTTTTTTTTTTTTTTTGAGATGGAGTCTCGCTCTGTCGCCCAGGCTGGAGTGCAGTGGCGCGATCTCAGCTCACTGCAAGCTCCGCCTCCCAGGTTTACACCATTCTCCTGCCTCAGCCTCCTGAGTAGCTGGGACTACAGGCACCCGCCACCACTCCCGGCTAATTTTTTATGGTATTTTTAGTAGAGATGGGGTTTCACTGTGTTAGCCAGGGTGGTCTCGATCTCCTGACCTCGTGATCCGCCTGCCTCGGCCTTCCAGAGTGCTGGGATTACAGGCGTCAGCCACCACACCTGGCCGAGCCTTTCTATCTTCTAAGCCAAGTGTGTAAATATTAACAAGCAAAGGCTATGAGTGAATATTAACTAAAACTGGGTTTTAATATGCACCATCACTGACAGATCATAACAATACCATAGATTTCCACATACACTGCATTTGTGAACAGTGCTTGGAGAGTCCCAGAGCAGAAAAAGTACAAGAGGTCTTGGTCAAGTATTGCTTTTGTTTGTCTGTTGTTGTGCTCAAGTTATTTTGATTCTCTTTCACATGTGAGACACTTTACATGTTAGCCAAATCACTGAAATGAATCTCGGACTCTACCTAAAGTCAGAGAAGAAGGAACTTCTCGGGGCACAGGTTTTGGGGAATGTCACTAAATAAGCTTCACAGAACCTGGAGAAATGCCCAATTCATTGGCTATGAAAGGAAGCACCGTTTTGTCCAAGGAGTCCTTGTTTCTCCTCTGGGCAGAGGAAATGAGTTACACTCGCAGAGGTGCCGAGATGGGGTGTATTATCCAAGTTACCCTGCAAAATACAAGGGCCCAGGAGAGTGATTGTGTTTCTGCCTTATCAGCATCAAAATTGCTCATCAGTCCAGAAATCCAATGGAGAAATTGCAGGATTAGTGCTGTGACAAGGCAGGAACTTCTAGCTAACCAGGCTTCCCAGATCTCCCCTACCTCCGTCCCTCCCTCCACCCTGACCATTAGGAGCCAGGAAAGCCAGGGTAGTAATGAAGTAGCCTCAGAAGGCTGGAAATAGGCTTTTCCAGGGGGTATAGCCTTGGTACATGTTAACATCAGCCTGTGATTCAGAACCTGCCTGTGATTACTGTCATCTGAGAGAGTTCTTCAAGAGGTAAACAGACGGTTGGCCAACTGTGGCGTGATTTTTAACGTCTTCAAGGGTTGATGAGAACTGCTAGGACTTCCCATCTAAGTACAAACAGACAATTCCAATCTGTGGTCTGTGTTTCTATCACGCAAAAAAAAATGTTGTTTAGACTGATGGGGTGCAACCTCTGAATGTTGGAGGCTCAATCCAAATGGGAGGGGTTGCCCGATGTCCAGCTCCTTTAGCCAAGCTTCTCTGGTCCAGAAAGCAGGCTGGAAGATTTGCAGAATTCTGTGGGAAGAGCTATTTGAAATAGTTTTAAATCATTCCTTATTTTAATCAGGCTAAAAATACCCAAACACAATCTTTCAGTATTCTGCCTTTGGTCTCTGACTCTTCTGTCAGCACAAACACATCAACAAAAAGAAAGAATTAATGTCCATCTAAATATCTGGCCTCTTTCATATATATCATGGATTGGATTTGGGTGGGTTCCAGTTTTGGAGAAAGATCCAGATTAATGATTTAGTTACTCTGATCCAAACCAGATTTCTCTAGTTGGGATTTGATTTTCCAAGATTTATGTTTTACTAGGCAGAACCCAGAAATGTTTCTTTTTAAATTCTAAGTTGGAGGAACACAGTTCAGGAGATCACATAGCAATAAAAGAACAATAAAAGACGGTGTTATCCCATGTAACGATGTGATCTCAACCTAGCGTTGAATGTCAGGGGAGGAACGAGCATGGTGCCTGCATGTTGACTACTGTCTAGGTTTTTCAACTACATGGAACCCCTTTTTCCCATCAACCTGGGCATCCAAGCAAATCATTACATGAGTAAAATAAGCAAGATGCTAATGAATGCCAACTTATATTTTAAATCAGTAGGTAGTTATCCTGAGGGTTTTGTTTTGTTTGTGTTTTGCTTTTTATATAGGGCAACTATTCCCTAGCCTAGGTGCACACTGGAACTAGCTAGACATCTTTTTAAAAACAGTAAAGTTGAGCCAGGCGCAGTGGCTTACACCTGTAATTCCAGCACTTTGGGACTCTGGGGCAGAAGGGTTGCTTGAGCCCAGGAGTTCAAGACCAGCCTGGGTAACATGGAGAAACCCTGTATCTACAAAAAATACAAAAATTAGCCAGGTGCGGTGGTATGTGCCTGTAGTCCCAGCTACTCAGGAGGCTGAGGTGGGAGGATCACTTGAAACCGGGAGGCAGAAGTTGCAGTGAGCCGAGATTACGCCACTGCACTCCAGTCTGGGTGACAGAGCCATATCCTATCTCAAAACTAAACTAAACTAAACTAAAAAAAACTAAACTACAATAAAATAAAATAAAATAAATACTGAAGCTGGATGTAGTAGCTCATGCTTGTAATCTCAGCACTCTGGGAGGCCTAGGCAGGAGAGTTGCTTGAGGCTTGGAGTTCATGACCAGCCTGGACAACATAGTGAGACCCCATCTGTATTAAAATAAATAAATAAATCATAGAAAAATTAATACTGATACATGGGCCCCTCCCTCAATAAATTCTGCTATGATCAGCCTGGTGTGATTCACTGATGTAGTAAAATGAGAAAGGGCTTTGGAGTTAGCCCGAGCTGGGTTCAAATCCAAGATATACTCCTTATTATCATATAACCGTAGGCATAGTACTCATGCCTTTCAGTGCTCATTTCCTGGTATGTATTATAAAATGATAATGGAATAGTTCTTACCTTGCAAGATTGCCACGGAAATATGCATGCAAAGATTTTAGAACAGTGTCAGAAACATCAAGTGTTCAGTAAATATTTCTGAATGGATAAACAGAAAACCTCAAAAGCCCCAACTACTCTTTGTGTGTAGTTAATAAATCTGAAATGTCTTCAGT
Source organism: Homo sapiens (assembly GCF_000001405.40). Taxonomy (NCBI): domain Eukaryota; kingdom Metazoa; phylum Chordata; class Mammalia; order Primates; family Hominidae; genus Homo; species Homo sapiens. Next base: position 33,488,144 of record NC_000010.11, on the reverse strand, counting down.
ACCACTTTGGATCTCATCTTTACCTATTTCTGGTTCGAGCCATCCATGGGGCATCATCATTTTTTTGTTTTGTTTTGTTTTTTGAGATGGAGTCTCTCTCTGTCGCCCAGGCAGGAGTGCAGTGGCGTGATCTTGGCTCACTGCAGCCTCCGTCTCCCAGGTTCAAGCGATTCTCCTGCCTCAACCTCCTGAGTAGCTGGGATTACAGGAGCCCGCTACCATGCCCAGCTAATTTTTTTTTTTTTTTTTTGTATTTTTAGTAGAGATGGGGTTTCACTATGTTGGCCAGGCTGGTCTCGAACTCCTGACCTTATGATCCACCTGCCTCGGCCTCCCAAAGTGCTGGGATTACAGGCGTGAGCCACCATGCCCTGCCGGAGCATCATCCTTTTGTGCATCATCTCTGGTTCACTTTGCATAACTTGACCTCAGTTTCCTTCATTCCCTGCCACTGGATTGTAGAGTTTGAGGACAGATACATGGTGTGCCTTATTTATTGCTGTAGTCCAGTGCCTACAACAGTGTCAGTTAATAATACTAATAATCAACATAACTAATAATAACTAATAATTTGTTCATTATTAATAAATTACCACTAAATATTTGTTGAATAAATGGATGAAAGCATGAATTCTTCAGGACCTTAATAAATGCTATTTTCTCTATTCACTGCCAGAAATAGACAACTTACCATCTCTGTTTGCCTGAAGAATTTGTGCTCACTGTTCAAGGCCCAGTTCAAATGCTTGTGAAGCTGCTTTGAGCTCTTAGGGAGAGTTGGTCTCTGCATCCTCTGTACCATCCCCTGCTGGCTCTTGCATTCATAACAACACCCAGCATCCTGCAGGACAATGATGTCCTTCCTCCAGGGTTAACAAAGCATCGTGTCTATGGAAGTAGAAACAGAGAGCCAGTAAAATTTAGAGACTTGCTCAAAATTCTAAAACCGAAACTGAAACCCAGACTTCAATCTAGAGCTTTTGCCATTTTAACATATACTTCCTGAAGTGCTGTGTCTAAAAGGACTATCTTTCCAAACCTGTCTGGATCGTTTCCTAGATATCCTGGTTTCTCTCAAAACTTTCTTGCTGTCTGAATGCAGAGATGGTTAGAGGCCACTGGTATTTTTCTCACCGACTCTCTTTGGTATCTGGTCAAATATACAGTGCTCGGTACACTGTAAACACCCAGAAACTGTTGAAATAGATACATACATGTGTTATTGTCTATTTTTTTCTGTACTTATATGGCTAAAATTTTAGCATTCTCCATCACCACCTAAGTCTTGTTTTTGAGTTCCACCCTATCCTCCTTCCTGTCTTAGCTCCCACTTTCCGACCCTGTGTATTGAACTCATATTCTCCAGATCACATTATAAAAATGCATGTTCTAGGGTACAAGGCTAGAATGTTCTATGTTGCTCATGGCTGGACTTGCAAGTGTCCTGGCTGCACTTACTGCCCATCCCAAACAGTCTTATGCAAAAGAATCCAGGAGGCTACTTTTGGGAATAATGTCTTGCAAATCTCAGGTTTTTTATATTTTGTGTTTTCTTGACTCCCTGGACAGCCATGGCCCTATGCTCGTGCTGATGCAATGCTGTCTGAGAAGGGCTCTGTTCTTGTGATATTGGTCATTGCCAGGGAAAGCTCTAGAAAGGAAGGATCCATTTTTTTTCAGACAAAGGCATTGGAATTAACCTGTTCCTTGAAGCTCAGAAGGACTGAGTAAATTCCTCAGCAGAACTTCATGTGCTAATGTGGGTGATGTGCTTTAAGATTAGATATGTCTTATATCCAAAGCTTCCAGATGGCCTTAAAGATCTCTGAAAGTTGGAAACTTTGCAGTAATCTATTCTGGGAATTTTAAAAAATGAACAAATACAGGAAGGGGGTCTATATTAAGTAGTGGAGGTTGTAAGAAATATACTTTTTCAATAGAGCCCTTTTAGCATTCTTTTTTTTTTTTTTTTTTTTTTGAGACAGAGTTTCACTCTGGTTGCCCATGCTGGAGTACAATGGTGCAATCTCAGCTCACTACGAACTCTGCCTCCCGGGTTCAAGCGATTTTCCTGCTTTAGCCTCCCAAGTAGCTGGGATTACAGGCACCCACCACCACACCTGGCTAATTTTGTATTTTTAATAGAGACGGAGTTTTACCATGTTGGCCAGGCTGCTCTCAAACTCCTGACCTCAGGTGATCCACCTACCTCAGCCTCCCAAAATGCTGGGATTACAGGCGCTAGCCACCACACCCAGCTTAGCATTCTATTATATTCCCATCATCATCAGCCCTTATTTTCAGTCCCTGGGCTGCAAATACAATGAAAATGACTCCTTCCACAGCAGAAATCATGTCAAGGGCTTTTTCACAGAGGCTGAATTACAAGCTCTGTTCCACATGTCTCATGAGTAGAGTCCTAGATGCCCAACAGCTTGCTGACCCTCTGTCTTTCTTTGACCTGGGAACTTGTGGCATTGTGTTCTTTCCTGGTTGCTGAACCTCTGTCTTACTTCACCTTGATACCCTTGCATTCTGACTTTTGACTTCTCGCCTGTTAAGATTCTACCGCTTTCTAAAAACCCTGCTTCTGCAGATTTCAGGTTCTCACTTCCTGCCTGGTCTGTGAGGCACACCATTATCCAAGGTTCACCATTGTATCCACAACAATGAAAAGAGAACTACATCAAACTGCCTGGGAGTAGTCAGAGAGTTCAGAAGTCAGAGACTTCACTGGGAAAGAATAAATGGGGACTTTCTTTTTGAAGGAGAGAAACCTGCCTTTTTGTATTATTTTTGTATACTTTGTACTTTCCCTAGGATGATCATCTTCGTGTTGTTCTCAGCTGAGATTCAGCAAATGTTTTCTTTTCCCCACTTCCTAAATTAGCTGGGACTCCCAGAAAACGACGATCATAAAACAAGATACAGTGTTTCTAGAAAATGCAAGGGATATTTCAATCCATTACCCAGAACTGCCACTCATTTAGGAGAAGTCTTGAGGGCTTAACAGGATTATTGTACACCTAATGTAAGAATCCCAAGGAGATTAAGAAGAATAAATAAGAATTGAATGACAAAGTCTTAAAGCACAGTTAAAGCTTTTTAAACTGGAGAGCAAGAGACCTCCAACAGACAGAAGATTGTTTCCTAAGAAAAGGGGCGTGCGTCTCCTTTATGGTGTAATGAGCTCCTGGAAATTGCATCATCCCAGGCAGAAAATCCCAGAGGAGACTAAGCCTGTCCATGTACATTGTTAGGCTGAATCTTGAAAATGCCCAGCATCATTGGTAAAAATCATGGAATGAGCAAATAAACACCATGAGAAACAAGGTATGGATGTTTGCCAGGCTACATTGAATGAGCCAAGAGGAAAACTTTAAAGTAGTAACAAATTAATAAGCAAATAAGGATTGCCATGGTGACCCTGAATTATGGCATCAATTTTTTTCTTCTAAAAACAGTACCGATTGCATTAATATCTTGATTATATTTCAATCATAATGTTTGTGTCCTCCATCACGCTCATCTGATCTTAGACAAATGGTCTGTCTTCTTTTTGAAAAAAAATAGATACTGGATGGGTTTCTGAATGGAGACACAGATTCCGAGCAATATCACAAAGAAATATATAAAAACAAGCTGGTCCTTCGAAAAGGAGTTGTTAGAAGCAGGCAGTTTGGTTCTGCCTGGGCCTCGATTCTTATACTAGGACCCTGATAAATCACTTCTAAAGTGTTCAGACACTCTGTATGTTGAACTCAGATTCTCCAGGTCACATTATTAAAAGGCATGTTTTAAGATGCAAGGCTAGAATGTTCTATGTTGCCTGTGGCTGGACCTGCCACAGTGTGAAGGGTACAGTTACTGCTTACCCCAAAGAGTTTTGTGCAAACCTATCAGGGAGACTGCTTTTGGGAACAGTGTCTTGCAAATCCCAGCTTTTTGGATTTTGTGCTTTCTTGACTCTGTGGACTAAAACTTCAGCAGCCGTGGCCCTGTGCTCTTGCTAATATTAATATAACGCTCTTGGAGAAGGGGTCTGTGTCAATTGCCCTGACTGTGAACCAGTCACATGCTCTCTTTTTAATGAAAATATATGGGCCACTGTTTTCCCTGAGTCTGTGTCATTTCCTGGGAGTCTGAGTGACACAGTGGCCCTGACATATGGCAAAATATATTACCGCCTCTCCCTGCCACATCTGCTTGAGTCTGAAGTGGAATGGTGAGATTGGAAATGCAATGTGCTTCCATGGAAGATCAGATCATTCTCACACCCCTCCAAAATGCTGCAGCCACTGGGCTTCCATAAACATTTCTAGAGAACCAGTTTCTAATAGAGGGTCTTTGGCTTGCACGAAGCAGCAGCTAATTCTCATTCAAATTAAACAACAGAATGAGTCTATTGGTGGCTTTGTTAGAAGTCAGATCACTCAGGCATGGCATTCAGCTTGAGTCCAAAATGAGCTGTCTCAAACGGAGTGGCTCACTTTAGCACAGTAAACAATGACCACCTGCTATTCTCTCGAATGCATCTAGAGGCTAAGGAGCACTTTATTATTTTAACTAGCACGCAGCCTCTGGAGGCTGCCATGTAGACATCAATCACCAAATTTACAGCTTGTAATGATATCTAGGATATGAGAATGCAATGCCTTTAAGAATCCCTTCCACAAAATATGAAGTCAAATTGAACTTTAATCTTTAGAGCAAAGGAAATACATTCTTTTCCCTGGGGAGTTAAGAAATGTGAGCAAATTGTAAGTGACTTTTAAAGTATACAATAAGACTGCCAGCCCTATTCATGGGGAAAAAATAATTGGCACTTTATGTCAGTATTTTCCATGAATTATTTGAAAAACAGATAAAATGTGTCATTTATACAGAACTACTTCCCACCGTTCTTCAAAGCTCCTTTCTACTGAATAAGTAATCACCCTTCACTGGTGATTGGCACATGTGTATAACTCCAACTTGGGCAAAATATGTCAGAAAACCCTTGGGTTGGTTTATATGTAAGATATCCAGAGTCTTTGGATGTAAGAAAGAAATTGAAAAAAAAAAGATGCTAAGCTCTGTCACCCTTGGGTTACACAGACAGGTGTCTATTCCTTCCCTGGACACTGAATCCTGGGCACTAGAAGATCATTCAGGGCAGATAAAGACCCCGTGCCTGAAGGAGTTACAAACTGCATTTCTTACCAGCATTTAGAACTTTAGCTCCTTACTTCCAATAAAGGGAAACACTTCTCTGACATTTACCCTTAAATTACATGGAAAATAGTCTCAAGACAAGCTAATTTGTTGGAGAATGATGGGTGTTCCTGGTGTTTCTCATCTTTGTAAGCAAAAAGATTACCATCCTTTATAGAGGAGAAGGGGGTTGCATATAGCTTGCCAATGCAATGTGTTGTGGACTGTGTATGGAAGAGAGGTTAACTATCCGAGAGACAAATATTTTGTTCTTTCTTGGCAGGAGAATCAAAAGTGGGCGTTTGATGTTAAAGCCCTGAGTCCTTCTAAGTGTTTCCATGTCCCTCTCTGCAGCCACGTGACATTAAAATCTTCAGCAAATTAAGCAAATGAGTAAAACATGTACCGCACTGAGATGCACGCAGGCTTAATGTATTATTCCTTCTATGCATGAAAAATATCACAAAGTGACATGTAGGAGCGATGCTTGAAATTGTTTCCTGGGATCTTTCTTTAGAAATCTTTGTAAACTGGCCAGGCTTGGTGGCTCACGTCTGTAATCCCAGTATTGTGGGAAGCCGAGGTGGGAGGATCACCTGAGGCCAAGAGTTCCAGAACAGTCTGGGCAATATAGTGAGACCCCAGTTCTACAAAAAAATTAAAACATTAGCCCAATGTGGTGGCACGTGCCTGTAGTGCTAGCTACTCAGGAGACTGAGATGAGAGGATCCCTTGAGCCCAGGAGTTCCAGGTTGCAGTGAGCCATGATTATGACACTGCACTACAGCCTGGGTGACAGAATAAGACCCAGGCTGAAAGAAAGAAAGGAAGAAAGAAAGGGAAGAAGGGAGGAAGGGAGGAAGGGAGAAAGAGAGAAAGAAGGAAAGAAAGAAGGAAAGAAGGAAAGAAGGAAGGGAAAGAAACAAAGAAAGAAAGAAAGAAAGAAAGAAAGAAAGAAAGAAAGAAAGAAAGACAGAGAAAGAAAGAAAGAAAGATTTTTATAAACCCTGAGACTACAAAAGTGTTAGCATGGAAAGTATCTACCAGTTGCGTTAGTTCATTTTCAACACATAACTCTTTATTTTGGCCCAGGCCTTACGTATTACTGATGCCTGATAGTTTTCTCGTTTCATGGTTCACTCACCGTGTTTGTTAGGAAGGGTCAAGGGAGACACCACCACTGTGCAAGAGAGAACATAAGGCACATTCCCTCTCCACAAATACCATTCAGAGCAAGCAGAAGCTCTAATGACCCTTTTGATCATTGTGGCCTTCTAGTAGACGCCACAACCTCATAGGAAATTCCCCTCCTCCTGCAGGCTCCCCTAGCACTCACACCCAGAAAGCAGAAGGCAATCTTGCTCTGGTCAGAGGTTGGGAAGGCCTAGGTTGGTAGCTCATGGGATTCACTGTCCCAATAATCTTGCTGCTTCTTTCCCCTGACCCCAGAGCTCAATTAGGATAAGAATAAGGCTTCTGTCTCCTTCAATTTCTGTTTATTTAGAGGCCACTCTCCTGGTTTCCAGTTCTTTCCAGATGGAGGCCTGCTCTTCCTGTCAGCAGAACTAGACCTCAGACTCTGCACCTTGGCTAAGCTGCCCCCAGGATTCAATTATCTCCACCTGGCTCCTCCCTTGACACAGGGAGATTATTACAATTCGATGTGAGATTTGGGTGGGGGACACAGCCAAACCATATCACTGACTCTCTGCTTTCCCATGCTGTCTGGAGTCTTGGATACTACCCTGATCCTTGTGGGCTCCCCAGATGGTAAAACCAGTGCCTGTCCTGAACTGACCACTGGGAGTCATGGTGCTCTGTACCATGCTCAGATGCCCAGCTTGGTGAGCTATGCTTCCTGCAGCTCAGTTGGGCCTGTCTCGTTCTAGTATGTATGTGTGGCCACTGCCAGCACAGCGTATTGAGAGGTGACAGTGTGCTGGTAGTTCTCACAGCCCTCTTTCGCTCTTGGCTTCTCCTCTGCCTGGGCTCCCACTTTGGCGGCACTTGAGGAGCCCTTCAGCCGACCACTGCACTGTGGGAGCCCCTTTCTGGGCTGGCCAAGGCCGGAGCCGTCTCCCTCAGCTTGCGGGGAGGTGTGGAGGGAGAGGCGCCGGCGGCAACCGGGGCTGCGCGTGGTGCTTGCGGGCCAGGACGAGTTCCGGGTGGGTGTGGGCTTGGTGGGCCCCGCACTCGGAGCAGCCGGCCCTGCCGACCCTGGGCAATGAGGGGCTTAGCACCCGGGCCAGCGGCTGCAGAGGGTGTGCTGGGTCCCCCAGCAGTGCCGGCCCACCGGTGCTGCTCTCGATTTCTCGCTGGGCCTTAGCTGCCTCCCCGCAGGGCAGGGTTCGGGACCTGCAGCCAGCCACGCCTGAGCCTCCCCCCTCCCCCATGGGCTCCTGTGCGGCCCGAGCCTCCCCGATGAGCACCACCCCCTGCTCCAGGGCGCCCAGTCCCATTGACCACCCAAGGGCTGAGGAGTGCCGGGGGACGGCGCTGGACTGGCAGGCAGCTCCACCTGCAGCCCCGGTGTGGGATCCACCGGGTAAAGCCAGCTGGGCTCCTGAGTCTGGTGGGAACGTGGAGAACCTTTATGTCTAGCTCAGGGACTGTAAATACACCAATGGGCACTCTGTATCTAGCTCAAGGTTTGTAAACACACCAATCAGCAGCCTGTGTCTAGCTCAGGGTTTGTGAATGCACCAATCGACACTCTGTATCTAGCTACTCTGGTGGGGCCTTAGAGAACCTTTGTGTCACACTCTGTATCTAGCTAATCTGGTGGGGACGTGGAGAACCTTTGTGTCTAGCTCAGGGATTGTAAACGCACCAATCAGCACCCTGTCAAAACAGACCACTAGGCTCTACCAATCAGCAGGATGTGGGTGGGGCCAGATAAGGGAATAAAAGCAGGGTGCCCGAGCCAGCAGTGGCAACGCGCTGGGGTCCCCTTCTGCACTGTGGAAGCTTTGTTCTTTTGCTCTTTGTAATAAATCTTGCTACTGCTCACTCTTTGGGTCTACACTGCTTTTATGAGCTGTAACGCTCACCGTGAAGGTCTGCAGCTTCACTCCTGAAGCCAGCGAGACCACAAGCCCACCTGGAAGAACGAACAACTCCAGACGCGCCATCTTAAGAGCTGTAACATTCACCGCGAGGGTCCGCGGCTTCATTCTTGAAGTCAGTGAGACCGAGAACCCACCAATTCCAGACACAGTATCAGTAGTTTCCAAATTGCTGGGGGCCTGACCAGTTCTTCTTCTCTGGAAACTGACACTTAAATCATAGCCAGCCATGTGTCTGTCATATGACCCTGGGCCTCCCTCTTCTCTCTACACTGCCACTTCCAAGCCCCCAATGTAATTGATGGGCCCTACCCAACATGGGCCCATCAGATTCTTGTCCTATGGAATTTAGAAGTGCACAGGTGTGTTTAAAGGGAGGGAGGGCTAGGTGCGGTGGCTCATGGGTCTAATCTCAGCACTTTGGGAGGCTGAGGTGGGTGGATCACTTGAGGTCAAGAATTGGAGACCAGCCTGGCCAACATGGTGAAACCCTGTTTCTACTAAAAGTACAAAAATTAGCTGAGTGTGGTGGTGCATATTTGTAATCCCAGCTACTCGGGAGGCTGAGGTGGGAGAATCACTTGAACCCAGGAGGTGGAGGTTGCAGTGAACCGCCACTGCATTCTAGCCTGGGTGACAGAGACTCTGTCTCAAATATATATATAAATAGAGAGAGCGAGATCTGATAACCACCATCCCAATTGTAGTCCCTTCCTCAAATCCACATGCATTGCTCCTCTGGGTCCATGAGACCATTATTAGAATAACCATCATTATTTTCCTGGATGTAATTCTCACTCAGATCGAATTGTTTACTTTGCAACCAGAGAAGTCCTAACTCATGCATTTTCCCCAAGACCTAAGTGTCTGATAACTCCCCACAGAGAAATTGCAGGGAGCTGGAGAGCAGTGCCAGGTGGATGAGGGCCTCTTCTCCACCTTCTACCCAAGCATTTCCATTCTGTGTCAATTATAGGTTGGGATTTCATCCGCTATTTTACATAAAACGTGTTCTGCTGGTATTCTGTTGCTAAAGAATAAAAACCCCTCCCTGTGGACCTGTCGGATTTTCTCCTACAGATGCCACTCATCTCTGAAGCTGGGGCAATTGGATTCCTCAGCTGTGGGCCTCACCTCATCTCTGACTGGGAGAGCTTGTCTGGTGCAGATAACTCCAGAGGTCACGTCAGATGTTAAGATGTTATGATTGACTGTGCCCAAATCCTAATTTTATCATTTTTAATCCTTCTTTTCTGTCTCAGACTTGCAGTAAACCTCTGGCATTTCAAGTCTGGAACCAAGTATTAGGTATTTGATAGAAGTACAGTGTCTTTTTACAATTGTTTAGATTTCCTAAAGCAAATATCACATGACTACCATTACCATTTATCTCATAATTCTGCTGTTTGACACGCACGGTGATAAAAGGCAATACATAATAAATTCTCTTACGAGAGCCTATAAAGTCTTGTTAGAATTATTTTTGGAATGATATTGTTTTACAACATGAGATTTTAAAAAGGAACTACCTACTGCCTGTTTTGAAAAGTAATTTTTTTCATATAAAGATGGCCTTTTATCCAGAGATCGAATGGAAGTTGTTGCTAAAAAATTAATGGGCATACAAGAACTGCCTTGAATGTTTTGGAAGATGAGGAAGATGTCCAGGTTTTGTTCACTTGAAATTATCCTTGCAAAATTCTAGGACTAAATTGACATTCACAGAGGGCTGCCCAAATCTAGCAAGCTCATTTACAGCGTTTGTAGCTTACCCATTAGCCCTGGAACTTGGAAAAGTTCATTATAATTGGGGTTGGAGGGTTAGTTCATGCATTTCATTAACTTGCTTGCCAAAAATCTCTTCCCATTAATGATATCTCCACCCAAGTTATTACATTTTTCTCTGAAAATTATTGGGCAATAAATGTTTGAACATAACTCACGTGATACAATTATGGAATTAATCTAAGTAGAGATGTAATGGCTTCTTTGATTAATGGATTCTTGGACAACGCAGCTGACTGAGAATATAATACCTTTTAATTACAGGCGAGAACAATTTTCTCTTTCAAATATTGGTAGTGCTTACATGGTTTATACCTAACCACAGGTGAGAATTTATAGTCTAAGTGAAAGTATTAGGTTGGTGCAAAAGTAATTGCCATCAAAATTAATGGCAAAAACCACAATTACTTTTGCATCAACCTAAATAGTTAGCCAGCAAACTGAAAGCTGGATGTTGGTTCATTTCTCCTTTCTGTACATGACATAACTTGTTTACTTTTTCTTGTCTCATTTAAAGAAAATGTCCCCTATCCCATCCCCCTCTTCCCCAAATCCTTATCTCTCTGTACTAAACAAAGCAAACTTCAATTTCTACTTTTTACATCCCTACCCCATCCGTATCTCAACCCCCTTTTAATTTTATTTTCATAATTTAGTCATCACTAGAACCACAGCTTTTCTCCTGGTAGATTACGTTTTTTCAGAAACTCCTCACGGACTTTGGCTAATTCCAAACTCACTCATTTCTTTTTCTCCACTTAACAATCGATATTTGTAAATACTTTCAGATTTTTATCTCTGTTATTTTCCAGACCATTTCATGGAAGGAAATTGGCATTTTGATCTGAGTTTTTTCGATATGGAATTGAGAGGAACTCAGAAGTAATAATCTTATTCAAGAAACACAGGGCTCAATTGCAAAAATTAATTAAAGCTATCATGTCCTCTCTTTAGTCATTCAGCTGTGACTGGGTTTAATGACCTGGTGTCTGCCATTGGCCACGGTCCTGGAAATGCGTTAAGGGAACAGGAATATTCTTGCTGTGTCAAGCTGTAGGACAAAGTGCTTGGGGAAAAGGAGGCAGGGCTGTGTGGCAGTAGATTTGGAGTGGCCAGCATTAGGAACTGTTCAAATTTCCCTGCATGAGATTTGTTGGTGGGCAGGGAGTATTGGTGAAGTTCGAAGTCCGACTACTCGAAATGACTACTTTGGATCATTGTCTGGAAGACATAGAGAATAATGATTAAAAATACAAGCTTTTGGCCTGGCGCAGTGGCTCACGCCAGTAATCTCAGCACTTTGAGAGGCCGAGGCGGGCGGATCACGAGGTCAGGAGTTCGAGACCATCCTGGCTAATACGGTGAAACCCCGTCTCTACTAAAAATACAAAAAATTAGCCGGGCATGGTGGCAGGCGCCTGTAGTCTCAGCTGCTCGGGAGGCTGAGGCAGGAGAATGGCGTGAAACCGGAAGGCGGAGCTTGCAGTGAGCCGAGATCGCGCCACTGCACTCCAGCCTGAGCAGCAGAGCGAGACTCCGTTTCAAAAAAAAAAAAAAAATACAAGCTTTTAAGCTGGGCTTGGTGACTCACACCTGTAGACCCTGCTACTACTCAGGTTGAGGCAGGAGGATCTCTTGAGTCCAAGAGTTCAAGGTGACACTGCACTCCAGCCTGGGCGACAGAGTGTGACCTTGTCCTGAAAACAAAAACAAACAGGCCGGGCACAGTGGCTCACGCCTGTAATCCCAGCACTTTGGGAGGCCGAGGCGGTGGATCACTTGAGGTCATGAGATCGAGACCATCCTGGCTAACACGGTGAAACCCTGTCTCTACTAAAAATACAAAAAATTAGCTGGCATGGTGGCGGGTGCCTGTAGTCCCAGCTACTCCGGAGGCTGAGGCAGGAGAATGGCGTGAACCCGGGAGGAGGAGCTTGCAGTGAGCCCCGAGATCGCGCAACTGCACTCCAGCCTGGGCGACAGAGTGAGACTCCGTCTCAAAAAAAAAAAAAAAAAAAAAAAAAAGCAAGCTTTGAAATCACACAAATGTAGGCTTGACCTGTGACTCTTACCACTTGTAACCCATGTAATTCTTGATTAGTAAGTTGCATAAATTCCCTGTACCTCGATTTCTTGCTCTGTAAAATGGCTTAATGGCACCTACCTGAAGCCGCAGTTAGAAGGATTAAATGAGGTAAGGTGTATAGTGCTAATTCATAAAGACAGATTAATCAAGGATGAGTATTATCACTATTACCTTTATGGTTGTTACCTTATTTCTTAGTCCATTCAGTACTTTTGCAGAATTAGTCAATTATATCCCAATTCTGAGAATGCCATCTCCCACGACTCACCAAATCTCATGGGAACTTCTACCTTCTACAATTGAACTCTGCAGTAGAAGAGGACAAAACCCTGGCTGTGAAGGGAATAGCCAATGCACACACATGGATGGCCGAGGACATTTCTGGCTTCTGTTATCTCTCCAAGTCTAACATTTGGTAGGATCACCCCCACGGACTCCACAGTCCCGTTCCTCTGCCATAGGACAGAGAAACTAGTAATAGTCTGGTCCCAAGAGTGTCCAGCAAGGTCCTGCAAGGATATTCCAAAGTCTAATGGCCTTTTTGGAGAGATCCTCTGGTCTTTGTTGATTATTCGGAGTTAAGAGTTCGTGGCTCTTAGTAATAGTGGTGGTAATAGTCACTGAAGATTCTCTTGTTCCTGTAGTTTTTGATAATTTAATTGGCATCATTGGTGCAGCATCTCAGGGAAGGTACCCACGCTTCAAGGCAAGAGGCATTTTCAAGGATAGTGGCCTTGGGCTGTCCCATCTTTTAGGTAAGTTAGGGAAATTCAATATCCCAGTCAAAGGCAGCTGAAATAGGAAAGCAATGTTCCATGCCAGCTGAGGTCCCTTAATGGACAGTGAAAAAATGAGGAAGGCAGGAGAAGGGATGATAATAAGTATCAAACTTAAATAAACTGGAATATTAGAGCACAACTTCATTCTGCTCTTCATTTTTCACTGAACCAGGTCACCCCTTCCTAATTATGACGGAAAACTATTCAACCATGGAATTACCACAGCATTTAAAGACTGTTGCGTTTAGGGGCTGCCATTGTCCTGTAAAAATCTGCATGTGGAATTGAGCTCTAAGCCAAGGATATTTGACCTCTACTGTACCAAGGGCTCCATTTGCAATCTCCCAGAAGCCCAGTGGTGGTACCTGATTTGCATGGCTATTTACATAAATCTACATATGCATAGTTTGCAAGTTTGGATCATGAGTTGATTATGTCTTGTTTGCTCTAAAAGTTTACAATTAAAAGTAAGGGTGAAGGTCATAGCTATTCAAAGGAGAAAACATTTGTTGTCCAAGGAATTTAAGAGTCTCTTCCTGAATATGCCTTTTACATATGAGGATACAGTCGCTTCTCATCCTTTTAGATAACTAAGGTCAAGTGTAGTACATATGAGGATGTAACTAAAACTCAAGTTCTTTGGGAACTGAAAAGCCCTTTGACACTAACTGTGGTCAGTATTCTGACTTCTGCTTCTGCAAGGCCATAATGTCTTGTCTTACAGGAATGAGAATCTATCAATTGAAGGTTGAATATTCTTTTAAAAATATTATTATTATAGACTGAACACTTGCCCACAAAGTAAGAACTTACAACCTACCACACGTAGATCACCTGCCACACATTAAATAATTAGAGAAAAATAGAAGAGAAACTTTAGGTTTCCTGGCCCTCCCTATCATTTGGGAATTCGAGGCTGGATTCCATTCTAACTAAAGTCACCCCTGAGGATTCACTCTTATGTCTCAACTCCACCCCACCCCTGACATCAGGTGGCCAGTTTTTAGTTTTTTCTAATATGAGAGATTTACATGGGATTTTTTCTTTAACACAAGAGTCTTCCCTTGCCTTTGTGTCATTTTCTGGAAGAGATAGGACATAGTAATTTTAAGAATACAAGGTTTGAAATCACACAAATGTAGGCTTGAATTCTAACTCTACTACTTGCACCCTGTGTAATTTTGATTGTAAATTTCCTTAAATTCCTGTGTCTTGGCTTTCTGCTCTGTAAAACGGCTTAAAGGTACCTACCTCAAACAGTAATTAGGAGGATTAAAGGAGATAATGTGTATAGTGCTGATTCATAAAGAGAACTCAATCAGGGATGAGTGTTATCACTATTACGTTTATGCTTGTTACTTTGTCTTTTAGTCAATCCAATAGTTTTGCAAAATTAGTCAGTTTTATTCTAATCCAAAGAATGTCACCTCCCACTGCTCACCATATAGATTAGAAACTTCTACCTCGCCAATAATGGTAACAATTTTTTTGGCCTCTGAATAGTAATCTTATTTTTTATGTTAAGAAATCATTTTTAAAGGACTTAGACTACATTTCCATAGAGCAGAACTCTGGAAATTTCTATGACATGATCCCACTTCTCCTGCATGATCACCTCTCCTTCTCTGACATTTCTCCATGACTGAATATGGAACTCTTTCCCACTGTCTCTCACAGGGTTCAGAGCTGGGATCCTTCTTCATCCTTTAGTATGAGGGCACTCTCATGGTGTTTTCTTCATCTTGTAGAATTGGTAGAGTTATTGGACCTATTATTGTGTACTGACCCTAAACTCCCCAAAACAAGTTTTTCCCATCAATTTTTTGGCTTAACTAACCAGGAACTGTCAAAATGAAGTTTTAGTGTATTTCTCACTGTCCGAAATGGTCTTCTATGTAAATGGAAGAACCAGAAGCATGCCATGAGATTCCAGAATTCCTAAGGAAGAGTGTTCAGATTATAGCCTTTCTAGACTCTGATTTATATTGTAAGATAGACTTTAGGTACAGTAGATCCTTGAGATTTGCCAGAGATACAAACTAAGAAACTTGAAAATTCCAAAGTTTATGTTCAGATGTTACTGCATGCACAAAGATGCGTAGAGAACAACAAATCCTCATTAAACTGTAGATGTTCAACAGTGGCCTAGTTTCTCTCACCAGGAAGTGATTTCCTCCTGCATGTCATGGGATCTAATTCATGCCCAACAAAAGTAAAAATAATTGAAATCTCTTGCAAACAGTTGAAAGTATGGATGTTAGATCTATAAATTCCAAAATTCTGCTTTATTGAAGGGGTTTTTCAAAGGTGAAAATTATTTAATTTCAATATGGTGGGACTTAGGTTATGCCTTGAAATAGGTTAGGGCATGAAACCAAAAAAAAAAAAAAAAGGGCAGTGTGCATGGAACAATACAGCGAAGATAGAGGAAAGAAAAGAGTGGGATAGAGAATGGTGCTGAAATGGACCTCAGGAATAGAGTTTACTTTCTGAAGCTCTCATTTGGCATAAACCATTCTAGTGCTCAACAATTATTTTATTCTCCAGATTTCATATAGATAACTAGCCAGAAATTCAAATAATAAAGTTTAAATTCATCCTCTAGTGTTCCTAGCAGAGCCAGATCAGCATACTTGTACTAGGTGTGGAGTAGACATTCAATTATATGACAATGGTGGCAATCAGTCATCAACCTCTGTGTAAATGTTACGTGTGTAGATTGTTATGAAATTATTTTTCAGCCTCTGTCCTTCAGAATTAAGCATTTCAGTGCCTTTTAATCTTTTTTCCTGGGTTTCATTTTCTACTTGTTAACTTACTTGATTCCTTACTGAAACTACATGGACAGTACTTGCTCAGATGGCCAGAAGTAATATGACAAAAATATACTGTTTCTCAACCTACGTATCCACAAGCAGATGAATGGATAAAGAAAATGTGGTACTTCTACACAATGGTGTACCATTCAGCTATAAAACCAATGAGATCCTATCATGTGCAGCAATATGGATGGACCTGGATGTCATTATGCTAAGTGAAATAAGCCAGGCACAGAAAGACAAACATTGCATGTTCTCACTTATTTGTAGAATCTAAAAATCAAAACAACTGAACTCACGGAGACAGAGAATGGAAGGATGGTTAGCAGGGCCAGGGAAGGGTAGTGGGAGAGTGAAGGGGAAGTGGGGTGGGTTAGAAGTGGGGTGGGTTAGGGGTGGGGTGGGTTTAAATGTACAATTTAAATGTATAATTTAATTGTACATTTAAAAATAACTAAGAGTATAATTGGATTGTTTGTAACACAAAAAATAAATGCTTGAGGGAATGGATATCCCATTTTACATGATGTGATTATTACACATTGCATGCCTGTGTCAAAACATCTCATGTACCCTGTAAGTATGTATACCTACTAAGTACCCACAAAAATTAAAATTAAAAAGTATATATATACACATATACTGCTTCTGAGGGATGAATGATTGGTTTGTGTATGAATGTGCATGTGTGTGAGCATGTGTGCATGTGAGTGTATACATGTAGATGTGTGCATGAGCAAATGTGCATGTGTAAAAAGTGTATGTGTGACATGTTGCTTGAAAACTTTTTTATTTTCTTGACAAATACAGGGTTTTTTTTCCTTCTGTTCCACTTTCCTTGCCAGAAAAACTCATTCCTCTGTTAAGTGGAACAAGATGGCAAAAGACAAGGATGCAGTGACTGGTTATGGACATTGGTTAGATGATCAGGCCCTAGCAGCTTGAATGGTGGATGTGGGGTTGGATGGGGCGGTCTAGGCCAGAGCTGGTCATCCGGGAATGAAGAGTGATTCTTCTCACCTCTCTGTGCTTCATTTTCCTATCCATTAAGTTGAGATGAAAATTCCTTCTGTCATCCCACAATTATGATATCTGGTGAAATGAAATGGTAGACTCTATTTGTAAGGAAGAGAATCATGTAATTCGTTGTCTGCTGTATATCCTCAATTTCCTTGAATGGTCCCAAATTAAACAATATTGTTCCTTTGTCTACAGAGAACTACGAACATTTCCTGGAAAATCCAATATTTCCATGTGCAAGTGACATTTCCTGTACTGCCTCACATGCACAGAAATGCCACAAAGATCCTTTCTTTGGCCATACTCTCTAGATTTTGGGTGCTGAAAATATGATATATTGACATACAGTTCAATGGAATATTTTTCTTTTTGTGTGTATTTCGTATGCTTAACCATCCATATCTTTATTGGAAGCGTTAAGGATTTCTTGGTGTGTCTAAATCGCCACATCATGGTCTTTCTTCTCAGCTGTATTTATCTTTCATTGCTTCAACAAGATGCTCCCACTTGCCTTACCCCTTATCATGTGTCTTTATCTCATGTGATTTGCCTCTTTTTTTTTTTTTAATTTCAAAAGCTTGCATAAAATCCTTGTAGTCTAACTAGGCTTAAAAAGAGGATAAAAAAGTAAATTTCATAGCTAACTATGTGAGACCTAATTTGCAGAATGCTTTTGTTCAGGATTCTTATTTCTGAGATTGAAGCATTGCAACTCCAGGACAGAACCCATGAGGGAATCTCCACGTCAATGAGATGCAGAGGAGGAGGTTTCCAGTGACGTGACTTGTTGACATAGTGTTATTTTCACTAACACTTCTTGCTTGCCTAAACTGCTGAAAAGGCCTCCTAACCAGCTCCCAGTTTCCTCTCTTTCTTCATTAAAAAAAACACAATTATCTTTATTTTTATTTTTTTTAGACAGGGTCTCACTCTGTCACCCAGGCTCGAGTACAGTGGCATGATCACTGCTCACTGCACCCTTGAACTCCTGTGCTCAAGTGATCTTCCTGCCTCAGCTTCCTGAGTAGCTGGGACTACAGGCACGTACCATCATGCTTGGCTAATTTTTGTAATTTTTGTAGAGACAATGTCTCACTACGTTGCCCAGGCTGGTCTCAAACTCCTGGGCTCAAGCAATTCACCTGCCTTGGCCTCCCAAAGTGCTGGGATTACAGGCATGAGCCACCATGCCCAACCCCCAACAATCTTTTAAAATATAAATCAGTTTACATCACGCCCTGTTCAAGTCCTCAATGCCTTGCCATTGCACTTAAAATAAAATTAAAACTTCACCTTGGCTTAAAAAGACCTACTCAATTTGGACCGTGCCCTTGCTCTGTGCATGTCTCTGCAAGTCACCTTCTACCTGGCTCTGTGTGCAGTGTCCATGCTCACCGCTTGGACTTTTTATACAGTTATATAATTTATTAATGTAATTTCCATGAGTGAGTCTATTCTGTGTATATGCACTTTTTAATCACTGAGTGTTCAGTGGAAAACTATTTGTCACCAAAAGTTGTGTACTTGGCCAGGCGCGGTGGCTCACGCCTGTAATCCCAGCACTATGGGAGGCCGAGGCTGGCAGATCATGAGGTCAGGAGATCGAGACCCTCCTGGCTGACACGGTGAAACCCTGTCTCTACTAAAAATACAAAAAAATTAGCCGAGTGTGGTAGCGGGCGCCTGTAATCCCAGCCACTTGGGAGGCTGAGGCAGGAGAATCGCTTGAACCCAAGAGGTGGAGTTGCAGTGAGTAGAGATCATGCCACTGCACTCCAGCCTGGGCAACAGAGCAAGACTCTCTCTCACAAAAAAAAAAGTTGTGTACATTGCATCCTGAAATGCAAACTCTCTCAGGTGGGTTTCTCCTTAATGGAAGTACTCCATTTTGCCCAGTTTTATGACCACGTATTACCATGTGGCTGTGGAGGGTCTTCAGGTCTCCTGCCATTAGAGAGTGTGCATCTCTCATGTTCCTCTTCTTATCCTTCAGGGTGTGTCCAGAATTGGTGGGTTCTTGGTCTCACTGACTTCAAGAATGAAGCCGCGGACCCTCATGGTGAGTGTCACAGCTCTTAAGGTGGCGCGTCTGGAGTCTGTCCCTTCTGATGTTCAGATGTGTTCGGAGTTTCTTCTTTCTGGTGGGTTCGTGGTCTCGCTAGCTCAGGAGTGAAGCCGCAGACCTTCGCGGTGAGTGTTACATTTTTTAAGGTAGCGTGTCTGGAGTTGTTCGTTCCTCCCGGTGGGCTCGTGGTCTTGCTGGGCTCAGGAGTGAAGCTGCAAATCTTCACGGTGAGTGTTACAACTCATAAAAGCAACCCGGACCCAAAGAGTGAGTAGTAGCAAGATTTATTGCAAAGAGCGAAAGAACAAAGCCTCCACAGTGTGGAAGGGGACCCCAGCGGGTTGCCAATGCTAGCTCCGGCAGCGTGCTTTTAGTCTCTTATTTGGCCCCACCCACATCGTGCTGATTGGTAGAGCCGAGTGGCCTGTTTTGTCAGGGCACTGATTGGTGCATTTACAATCCCTGAGCTAGACACAAAGGTTCTCCATGTCCCTGTCAGATTTAGATACAGAGTTTCCACACACAGGTTCTCCAAGGCCCCACCAGAGCAGCTAGATACAGAGTGCCGATTGGTGCACTCACAAACCTTGAGCTAAACACAGGGTGCTGATTGGTGTATTTACAATCCCTGAGCTAGATATAAAGGTTCTCCACGTCCCCATCAGATTAGTTAGATACAGTTTCCACACACAGGTTCTCCAAGGCCCCACCAGAGCAGCTAGATACAGAGTGTTGATTGGTGCACTCACAAACCTTGAGCTAAACACAGGGTGCTGATTGGTGTATTTACAATCCCTGAGCTAGATATAAAGACTCTCCACGTCCCCACCAGACTCAGGAGCCCAGCTGGCTTCACCTAGTGGATCCCACACCGGGGCTGTAGGTGGAGCTGCCTGCCAGTCCTGCACCCTGCGCTCGCATTCCTCAGCCCTTGGGTGGTCGATGGGACTGGGCTCCGTGGAGCAGGGGGTGGTGCTCGTCGGGGAGGCTCGGGCCGCACAGGAGCCCATGGAGGGGGTGGGGGCTCAGGCATGGCGGGCTGCAGATCCCGAGCCCTGCCCTGTGGGAAGGCAGCTAAGGCTCGGTGAGAAATCGAGCGCAGCGCCGGTGGGCTGGCACTGCTGGGGGACCCAGTACACCCTCCACAGCCGCTGGCCCGGGTGCTAAGTCCCTCGTTGCCCGGGGCCAGCAGGGCTGGCCGGCTGCTCCGAGTGTGGGGCCCGCCAAGCCCACGCCCACCCGGAACTCCAGCTGGCCCGCAAGCGCCGCAGGCAGCCCCAGTTCCCGCCGGCGCCTCTCCCTCCACACCTCTCTGCAAGCTGAGGGAGTGGGCTCCAGCCTTGGCCAGCCCAGAAAGTGGCTCCCACAGTGCAGTGGGGGGCTGAAGGGCTCCTCAAATGCCGCCGAAGTGGGAGCCCAGGCAGGGGAGGTGCCGAGAGCAAGCGAGGGCTCTGAGGACTGCCAGCACGCTGTCACCTCTCAAGGTCTTCACTTCGATGTTGCTCTCTTAGACAAATGCACATCCTTACTCTCTGCTTTTCTTTTTCTTCATAGCATCGCCTGGAATTATACTAAATTATTCACTTATTTGTTTTTTAAATGTTTTCCTTTTATGAACAGGGACTTTTGGGGTCTTATTCACCACTGTATCCTCAACAACCAGAACTATGCCTGGCACATAATCAGTGCTTAATAAACAGTTGTCAGATAAATAAATAAATTCTTACACACACACCCTATAGGTTTCTCATAGCTTGGCATAATTATTCTTCAGAGGTGTAAATAATTCTTCAAGAGTAAACAACTTTCTCATTTTAATGAATGAACTCTTTCGTGAAGATAAAATAACTTTGAGTCATCTGCTTATCTGAAAGGTGTCCATCCACTTTGTGGAAGGAGTTTTCTAGGTTATTTTCTTGGTATCCCCAATGAGGTTGAGATTCTTAAAGCCTGAAAATTAAAGTGATGTTCTTCCACCCACCCAGAAACCGTTCCCTAACTTTTGACACAAGGAAGAGAAATTGAGATCTGGATACTGACTGCTGAAGTCTTAGGTATATAGGAAAAAGAGGGGGAAAGAAAAAAGGCGAGGTAGCATATAAATAGATCACTTTTGTCCCTCCTCCCTCTGACTCTAAAAGAAATGTCAAGATGCTGGCAGAATCACTAATAATTGAATCCAGGATTGCCATAGACATGACTGACTATGGTTGAGGGGAAGAATGATGTAGTTTTCCTTTGATGCCAAGTTTATTTCTTGCAAAGTAGATTTGACCGCAATAATATCTCTTATTTTAGAAGGGCTTTTTAAGAGACATCGAGGGGAAAATCTAAACTTGAACTTTCTTGGAAATGACCCTCAAAGGAGGGGATGATCTGTAGCTATAATAATGTAATCTAGGAAAAACCAATGAGAAAAAAACAAAAATGCTGTCTTCATTTTCAGTGAACGTAACAGAACATTTTTCTCTAGATATCCTCTTGTTGGCATTTGATGAGAATTCACCATACCAGGAAATCACAAAATTTTAGGTCTGCCAGGACCGATCTGAATTGGTAAAGAGATTGTGTAGAGAATTTTCTTAGATTTTTTGTGGATTTATAATTATCCATTAGGGTTATGCTAGGAGGCCAGTTTCCGAATGGAACTAACACAAGCTTAAGTTGGCATTTTACAAAGGATCAAGATAAATCATGAGACATTTGCAAGCTCCATGCATTTACGTGATAGGATCCCCAAATTCTTGATTCTCTTATTAATTCATTAATTTGATAGCCTTATTCAATGAACATTTAGTGAGTATCTACAGTATCAGGGATCATACCAGGTGCAAGAGATACAAAGACTTTTTTTTTCCTCATGTAGCTTAGAGTATAGTTTATTTTGAGCTTTCCTATGGTATGACGGAAAGTCTGTGTCAGGAAAAGAAAAATAGGAATTTTCCTCAAGGAGAGAAAACAGAACATTTAGAACTCTTGGCAAAAATCAGTAGAAAATGGCAGCTACGATACAAAGTTAATTTTGATCTCATACTGCAGTATGGATTTAACAAAACCAAACTACAGACCCAACCTGTAATTTAACCAGTTAGCGTTTCTTTTCTTCCAAGTCTTCATACTTCATCCCTGAATTCAGGCCAGCATTTTCCCAAATGTTTATAGACTCAGGATGTAGGAGATGTATAAGTAGGGATAGTCATGTCTAAATATAGCATTATTACTAGATGATAGCACACAACAAAAACACCAGAAGCCCTTCTCTTTAATTGAGTGAATTGTTATACCCATAATATTCTAAATGCTTGGATACATTTAGTAGACTTCTTGAGTCCTGGACCTTCCCCAAGTTGGGAAACTACATTTGCTCCTTTCTATTGCAAAATAAGAGGATGCAGATTCCAAAGCTTGGAGTGGACAGTGTTTGGGATTGCCACAGCCAGTGACCCAGGCATCCAGAGGTCTAGAACTTTTGACTTGCAAACTCCTGAGGGTAATTGCTAACTCTCTTAGAGATAACTGCTGTGTATGGATTTCCATCATTTTATAGAGCAGAGTTGAGAAACTATTGCAATGCACACTGCTTGGACTTTTCATACAATTTTATAATTTACTAATGTGATTTCCATGAGTAAGTCTATTCAGTGTGCATGTATGCACTCTTTAATCACTTAGTGTTCAGTGAAAAAACTGTGTTTGTCACCAAATGATGTGTGCATTGCATTCTGAAATGCAAACACCCTCAGTTGGGTCTTTCCTTCATGGAGGTATTCCATTTTGCCCAGTTTTATGATTTAGAATCTTTGAACTAGAAGGATCTTTTAAAAAGACTATTTAACCTCATCTGTCTAAATGCCCAAGGCCAGGCAATTAATTTGCAGCAGAGCTGAGACTAGAACACAGAGCTCTTGGGTACCAAACCATTGCTTATCTTTGGATGAGGACTGTATAAAATGCTCCCTGAGCCCCCCTCACTACCCATTGAAGAGTCAAACATCATGAACCTAAAGAATTCACATACGGTCTTTATTTTCTATAGCTCATCTGAGGCCTTAGGGAAAGGTTTTCATTACCTTGAATCATGGTGGAATCTAATACTTTAATTTGCTTAAGCCCCATGAAGTTCAAAGGTTATAAATGGAAGAGAGGATGAAGGGTTAAAAGGGGACTCTTTCCTCAATCCTCTTAAGTAGGTAAAGTTTACACAGGAGAAGACACACAGTGATCTTCAAGGGCCCTAAGCTGCCACTCACCAGCTTTGACATCTTTTTAGGAATCTTTGTGTCTAGGACAAAACAAGAAGAAATGTTTGTAATTAAGAATGAAGACTTCATTTCAAAAGTAAGCTAAATTCTCACGTTTGGCATTTGGAATAGATTGAGATGGAAGGTGCCCTTTCTCTAAACTTCCAACACACAATTTATACTCTCCAAGATGGGTATTTTGCGATTGAAGGGTTCCCACAAGATAGGGGAGCTGTGTTGACTCTCATAGGTACTCATGAAGCCAGGGAGAATAGTTTTTAGTTATTTAAATTCTGGTGTGTCGTCTATGCTTGTTTTTTTTAGTAGCAAAGAAACAAACAAACAAACAAAAAACTACGGCTTAGGTCTCTGAGTTTCTGAGAAGAAACCATGGATACTAATATTTTAACTAATTAGATAGACTTGGTAGTTCATGGAGAGACCTCGAGTACATTCAGGTTAGGGCTCATATCAAGTAAGAAACGCAGGTTACATTCAAACACGTATTACCTTGGAGAGAACAGACATTAGGAATCGTTCCCAGACCTTAGTGTGAGAAAGGGAGTCTGGAAGGCCTTTTTCTCCACACACTTCTGGTCCATCTCCTCTTTCATTTTTCATTCCTGTCTCAGAGAAAGAGACAGTCACTCATTTTCCCAAGGCCAACTAACTCTCCTAGCAATCTTGACTTGACCCTTCTTATGAAGCCCAGTTGTATCAAGTATTCCTCTTCGTACGGCACTACTTCCCCATCTCATTAGTTCCTTCTCTTCTGCCTACATTCATGTTTAAGCCTGATTTGAAAGGCAGTGTGATGCTGCAGTCATATAGACCTTGATCTGAATCCTTTCTTTTATTTGACAGCTGTGTGTCATAAGACAAATCGCTAACCTCTCTGAGCTCCTTTTTCCTTCTTATAAAATGAGAACAATAATAGAATCTGTGCTTTAAGGGTTTTTTTTTTTAAAGATGAATGATTATGGATATATAGTATCTGCAATATTAGTAGGCATTTAATAAACACTAGCTATTGATATTTTTGCTATTATGTAATATATATTATATTACTAAAATATTATTATATTCATCTTCTTATAGACAAAAAGCTTCTTTAATGTAGGGGAGAATTTCTTCATTATTTTAGAGTATCTGTCATGCTTTTGTGTATGACATATCTTCATTAAATGTTTGTTGAGGCTGGGTACGATGGCTTACGCCTGTAATCCCAGCACTTTGAGAGGCCAAGGCTGGCAGATCACTTGAAGTCAGGATTTCGAGACCAGCCAGGTCAACATGGTGAAACCCCGTCTCTACCAAAAATTACAAAAATTAGCTGGGCATGGTGACATGCACCTTTAGTCCCAGCTACTTGGGTGGCTGAGTTGGGAGAATCGCTTGAACCTGGGAGGCGGAGGTTGCAGTGAGCTGATATTGTGCCACTCCAGCCTGCCTCAAAAAATAAAATAAAATAAAAATAATAAATAAATAAATATTAGTTGAGTAAATGTGGCCACTGATTTGTTACAGTTATTTAAGAAGTGTGAAAATTTGCTTAGGATGTCCAGAGATTTACCCATTTGTGCTTTTTGAAATTTGTTTAGTAATTAAGGAAGGCTTAACCTAATAGTGGTGATTTGCTAGCGTCCCAGAAGTTGTAGTGACTTAAGAAATTGTGGTCCTTAGTGTGTGGATAAAATTTATGACTTTTGGTGTTCACGGAAACTAAAAAAGTAGGAAAAATAAGATATTATTAGGAAAAGTAATCAGAGATTAATGCATACATAGAATTTTAAATTTTTTTCTCAAAAGAAAAATGAGACACAGCTTTTCATCATCTTGTGTTGAAAACCAGGGACCAGGCGCACCCAGTTGAATATCCTGCCAGCATTTCCTAGCGTGTGTTCCGAGTATGTTGTTACAGAAAGAAAACAAAGGAAGAGGTCCATGGCCAAATAGCTTTGGGAAATTTTGGTATAAACCAAGATAAGTAGGTTCTTTTACTGCAGGATTCTCATAATCTACCAATGTGCATCTTAAATATCCCATAGTGGGCATAACATATGATAACTTCCAAATTCAGTTGACCAAGAAGCATTTTTTTTGCAGAGCGCGTCTCAGTATTACCACCAAATGTGATCTACTTCTAGCCTCTTTATTTCATAGAGGCAGAAATCAAGCTCCAGAAAATTAAAATCATTTGCCAAAGATTGCTTAGTAGTAGAGCAAAAAGAACCTAGATGTTCTTATCCTTATCTAAAATTAGTCTTTCTGTTTATTTTTGCTTTCTTGGAGAGATAATAAAATTCACATAATAATTATATCTTTTTTTCATATATTTTCCAAGCAACCTTACACTAAAAATATCACAACTAACTTTTGAGAATTAAACACATTAATAATGAAATGACTTCCCCATAAAATTGGGAGTACAATTATTTCTAAGGCTCTGTTAGAAAATTACTAGCTTTTTTTAAACTAAAATTTCCCAAAGAAATTTTTTTGATATTTTACTCATTCATTTTTTATAATTAGGCATAAAATGAGTCACAGTATATTCATAATTTAACAGATCTTTCTGGGTATTTCCAAATAAAATTAGTATTTCTGGGAGTTATAGATAAGAAGTCAGTCATATGTGACATAAATCTCTTTTTAAAAATAATTAGGTTTGCAACATGATATATAGAATTTCTCAACATCTGATAGAAAAGAATAATTAAAAATGTATAAGAAATATAAAAATCTGTTGTCAATGTAATGAAGCTAAAACAGCGTAAAGTGAAATTATCGTACCTCAGTCACTGAAAGACTATTTCTCTAGCTGTAAGGTTTTCAAATTTTTAACTGAGAGTGGCTAATGCTACCATCTTCTTGTTAGGTTCAAAAAAAACAAAACAAAGCCAAAGCAAACAAAAATATAAAGATAGTATAGGTTCTGTGTCCAAAATTACCTTTTTTTTTAAAAAAAAGTCATTGTATGTTGTTATTGTTGATGCTGTAAATGCATTGAAAATGGGCCACTGAAGCAGATGATAAGTATTTTCACAAGTTCACGCTTCTCCATGCATAGCAACGAATGACTAGAAAACCATACAGGAAAACAGTCAAGTGATAAATGCTACTTGTGCATTTGCTATTGCAACAAGAAGTGAACTTTTATTACCTTTTTCTATTTTTATTATGGGATACCATTTTCATCCTCATAGTTAGGAGAGCATAGGTTACCTTTCCAAGCAATTTCATGCTAATGACCACAACGTGGGAAGGCAAGGGCCTACCCTGTGACACTGTGCAGACAAAGTGAAAGCTCAGTTCCTCCAAAAATCTTCATTCTTTTCTAGGAAGTTGTACTATTATTGGCTAAATGAGGAATGACCAGATAACAAAGCTAAAGAATCTCTCTTAAGATTTAAAACAAACATTTGACAATAGAAGTTTTTATATCTGTTCCATTGGCTAGAAAAATATATAGACATTGTAGGATTTCCAAGAGGGTTCAGAATTGATATTTGTTCAGACTCCTTTTTTTTTTTTCTCTTGGGACAGGGTCTCACTCTGTCAGCCAGGCTGGAAGGCAATGGCACACTCATAGGTCACTGTAGCCTCAAATTCCTGTGCTCAAGTGTCTCAGCCTCTGGAATAGCTTGGACTCCAAGTGCATGCCACCATGCCCAGTTGATTTTTTTTTTTCTTTTTGTAGAGACGAGGTCTTGCTATGTTGCCCAGGCTGGTCTCCAACTTCTGATCTCAGGCAGTCCTCCCACTTTGGCCTCTCAAAGTGCTAGGATTGCAAGCGTGGGCCACCACACCCCACCAAGAGACTTTTTAAAACAAATGTGCCAGAAAATGTGTCTCTAAAAATAGAACTCGAGATCTGAGGCATGAGAAGTTTATGAGCCTTGTAATTCAATATACTGGCCACTGACTTCAACAATTTCCTTCATCTATATTTAAGGTCACCTTCCAAATGTGTGACCTGATGCCACGTGGATTATTTCACTGGGGTAAGCCTGTTTGACCTGTTAGTAAATTTCCCAATGAATTAAACACAGTTAGACAACTTAGGTCTTACACCTCTCACCATATGCAGTTACTGTGGCATCCAGTATCCTGTATGGTCACAATAAATACTTGTTAATTGGGTGATTGATAAGCTTCTGACCTCATCCATTAGCCCCAACCCTAAGCTTCTCTCAATTTTCAGGGCAACTTCTAAACTCTGCATAGTCTCCATACTTAGCATTCATCTGATGTCTCTTCATTCCATTCTGTCATTTCAGATACTGCCTTAGCATAATGTCTAAGTACTGAAGAGTTTTTTTTTTATTTTAATTTTTTTAACAACTTAGAAGGGAGATTGAGAGTCATAAGTACACCGCCAGCCCTGGAACGTTTGCCTAGTGACCTAACTTCATGGGAATTCGCCAGGCCTGCTCTGTGGAAGAAATCCAGGCCTGTTCCTTGGGTCCTCATGGGTTATTCAGCTGACACTCCACACTGCCAGGCTCTTCACATTGTTGTGACCTTCAAGGGACTCTCTCCTGCTAACACTGCTCTACTCTAATTCTGCTATCCAAAACAAATGATAAGAAATGAAGTTGTAATCATTTACAGGGCTTATACGAATTTATACAATGCAAAGATCTTACCTTTGCATTGCTATTTCTTACACTGAATTATGACATGCGTTTGTTTCTTATTACTCTAGACTTCTAGGCATGTATTCTGAGTGATTCCAGACATTTCTTAGTGCCATTTATCCAGTATATTATCAAGACCTGTTCACTAAGCGACAAGTTCCTTATCGCCCAACATGGACCTTCGTGTAACTTATTTCTCTCTTTTCCCATTAGCTCCTTCTAAAGGCAGACCTAAAGTTATTTTAGACATCACAGTCAATTTGACTTGGTGGTGTATTGATCTGACATTCTCTTCAGTAAACCAACACCAAAATATTGTATGCTGGTACATTCAGAATTGTATTTTAATTCTGTTCTGTCTACAGGCTTATAACCTTTCTGAAAGAACACTTTGTCTCTGTTTTTTTTTTTCTTTTTCTTCTTCATCTGCAAGTACCGCAATGGCCTTTGGCCAAAAGCAGTGAAGTTGTGACTTTCTAACTCCTATATAGCCTGCTCAGGGACATTAATGAAAGGAAAGTAAACCTACTCTATTATCCCAAATGGCTTTTCAAATAATTAGAAGATTTTAATCATCATGTCCAGCTGATGCTTTCAGGATCCCCACAGGCATCCCAGCATTTTCGAGGTGAGTACAATGGCACGATGATTCAGGAGAGAAGACCTTGTACTCACCACAAATGACCTTCAATTCGTGCAAATACTGAAAGTGTCCCGGGGCATGCCATGATTAAAATGGATTGCTTGGCATCAGTGTTTTGCAGTTTTGGAGTTGAACACCATCTCGCATTGCTATCTTTAAGAACAGAAGTGAATCAAATTTTTAAAGAGGCAGATTTTTTTTTTTTAATTTTACAAAGTTAGATTTTTGGCATTTTGATTGTTTCCATGCTGGCTCCAAATTCAGTGAGTCACCTGTGACTGATTTTCTATATAGAAAGTGATGAAAATACATGCCAAGACACCAGAGATCTTCAGAAGGGTAAAGGTACAATGTTAAAATGGCCTCAAAATGAATATGAATCAAAGGCCTTCAAGAATACGAAGTCTTAACTAGCAGCTACACTGCTGTCTTAGTCTGTATTGCGCTGCTATAACAGAATACCACAGACTGGGCAATTTATAGAGGACAATGATTTACTTCCTATGATTCTGGAGGCTGGGGCGTCCAAGATTAAGGGGCCAGCATCTGGTGAGGGATGTGTTGCTGCATCATCCCATGGTGGAAAGAGGAAAGGCAAGAGAGCAAAAGCAAGAGGGGGCTGAACTTGCTTTTTTATTTTTTTATTTTTATTTTCGAGACAGGGTCTCACTCTGTTGCCCAGGCAGGAGTGCAGTGGCATGATCATAGCTCACTGCAGCCTTGAACTCCTGTACTCAAGGAGTCCTCCCACCTCAGCTTCCCAAGTAGCTGGGACTACAAGTGTGCGTTACCATGCCTGGCTAAATTTCTGATTTTTTTTTTTTTTTTAGAGAGGGGGATTGTGCTATGTCACCCAGGTTGGTCTCAAACTTCTGGCTTCAAGAAATTCTCTCACCTTGGCCTCCCAAAGAGCTGGGATTATAGGTGTGAGCCACCACACCCAGCCCAAACTTGCCTTCATAACAAACTCACTTAAGAAAATGAACCCATGCCCAAGATTAATCCATTAATCCATTTCTCTAATCACCTCTTAAAGGTCTCACCTCCCAACACTGTTGCATTGGGGACTGAGTTCCCAACACATGAACTTTTGGGGATGCATTCAAATGATAGCAACTACTACAAGTTTATCTTCTGTAGTGTAATCAATAATACATACACATTTAAATGTACGGTTATCACAGTATTCTTTATAATACCGAAATTTTAAAACAAATATCCAGCAATAGGGAAATAGCTAAACCATGGAATACACCATAACTATAAAGCATTTTGTAGAAAAATCATGTTTATTGACTGTCACAATATTTTACTCAAAATAAAAAAGCAGGTTATAAAATGACTTCTGTCGAACACTTCCAACCAACTTGACCTGATGAACATTTCTTGAACTCCATCATTCCTAGAAACTCACTCACCAATTACAGAATACACATTTTTAAGTGCACAGAATATGTTCACCAAAATAAGTCATGTGCTGGGCCATAAAATAAATCTCAATAAATTTCAATGCAAATTGAAATCTTGCAAAATAATTAAATACATAAAAGTTTAAAAAACTGCTTCTATCAAGAGTTTTTTTAAAGAAAAAGCAACATAGTAACATGGTTGATGTGTCAATGATGGTATTAAAATTGCATCTGCATTTTCTAATTGCTCTACAGGAAAAGTGTTGTATTTTTACAATAAAAAGGAAAGGAGAAAAAACTAGGCATTAAAATCATATTAAAATATTTTCTCCTCTTTCTTTTGAGGAAGGCTTGAAAGGGGAGTGTAGCACAGTTGCCACAAAGGTGAACAGAAATACTCTGATCAGCCTGTTGCATCGAATAGGAGGGAATGGGGAAGGAAGTGCTGCTTCCAGGTGAAAACTGGAGCAAGTGAGCAACCTCTTAATGTTCACACAGAGAGATCACACTTGCACGTACGTGTTCACATCCAGCCACACAGGGTGGGACGTGCCCGGATTGAAGGAGAATGGGGAAGAGCTGGCCAGCTCTGAATACCATCAGCAGGCTCATTTTCAAGATGTTGGCTTCTAGAAGAATTTCTAAAAGGAATATCAATGCCCCATCTCTCAAGAAGATAGACACACTACAACATAGACACATATACACACCACACACATACACTACACATGCACATACATGCTACACACATAAACTACTCACACACACACTACACACACACACGTAGACACATACGCACACTACACACACATATACATACTATGCACAAACACACCTACATACTGCACACACTACACATACACACACGACACACACTACACACACACTATACACATGCACACACACCACACATACACATACTATGCATATACACGCTACACACATGCACACACACCACATATATACACACTATATACACACCATATATAAATATATATATATTTACACACATACACACTATACACATGCACACATGCATACTACATACACATACTACACCCACACTATACACATACAGGATGCACACATACAGACACTACAAACATACACACATATACACACTACAGACATCTACATATACTATACACACCACACACACACACACACGCACACACTACAGACACACACAAAGAGGTGATGGCACCTCAATAGAGAAAATGGAGACCATGAGATTGGCACTTTACCAGCTTGCCTCTGTGCCTGTTCTTTTGTGCTTTTCTCCTGTACAAAAGGAGGATAGTCTCCTCCTCCTGAAGACTGGTCCCTTCACTCTGCTGTCATGGCAGGAACCCTGTTCTTTAGAATTTCAGCCATTGAACAATATAAGTAAACTGCCTGGGACTGGTGAACGAGCCAAGTACCTGTAGACATTTTTGCATCCAGAAAAAAGAATATTAAATTCAAAATGTGAATAATGAAAATCACATGTAATAATAGAGTACATATAAAATGTAATATTATGTCAGCATTGTAAACATAGTATCCATAAATGTCTTACTACATTTGAAAACAATTTATTAGTTGGATGTTCTCAGTTTTCCCAAATTCCCAAGTATGTGCGTTGATTACTGATAAGTCATATTGAATTATAAATTGTGAGTTATTCACAGCCAACTAATTTTGCAAACAAAATTATAAAAACCCTTTTAATTTTTTTGTTGTAAAACATGTAGTTGATGTGAACTCGGTATGCATTTTAATATTTAACCTGAGGTCAAGGACACCCTCTAAAATTACAAGTGCTGGAGGTACAAGTCCTGCTTCCTTCATAAATGATGCGCTCTCCATCCTGAACTCTTTCTCTTCTCTCTTCCTTGCCTTCTCTGTAAGCAGTTAAATGTTTTCGGCTCTTTCGCATTGTAAAATCGTCAGCTATCCACCCCTCCTCACCTTTCAGCTAATACCATGTTTCTCTCCTCCTCTTCCCAATTTCTCAAAAAAGGTCTACACGTGTTGTCTATATTTTCTCACTCTTCAGCTCCCAGACGTATGGTTTATTTTATAACCATTCCACTAAAATGAAATGTCCTCACTAGAGACACCAACAACCTTTTTCCTAAATCCTGTTCATATGTTTCAGTTCCTTATTGATTCACTTCCTCTTGTCCTTCCTGAAGCACCGTTGCCTGGGCTTTTGTGGTATCTTTCTCTCTTGGCTTTCTTTGTACTTCTCGGGCCATTCCTTAGTCTTCCTTGCATACTCCTCTTCGCCCCTTATATGACAATATTCTTCAGTGATTTTATCCAAGGATCCCCTCTTTTCCTCCCTGGGGCAATTTCCTGGTTCATCTACTATCTTTATAGTAATGATGCCCATACCCATATCCCCAGTCTCTCTCTCTCTCCTAGACTTCACACAAATGCATCCAGCTGTCTACAGGCCATCCCCATAGGCAGTTTAGAATTAAACTACCAAATGAAATTTTCATTTCTCATCCTCATTTCCTACTCTCATCTATTCTTCCTTGTGCTCCTAATATCAAGAAATAGAACCAACATCAACCCAGCTGAAACCTGGGAGTCGGCTTTGACTCCGCCCTCTCCTTCACCTGCCATAGTCAACAATCTGAAAGTCTTAATTTTAACTCTTGTATCTTCTCTAAGTCCATTCCATTTTCTCCGTTTTCATTGCTACTTTTCTGGTCTAGGCCACCATCATGACATATCTGCGTTACTACAGCAGCCTCTTGAATGGCCTCTGCCCAACAATCTTTCTCCACTCTGCTCTACAAATGATTTAAAAAGATTTTTTTTGAGAGAGGGTCTCACTCTGTCACCCAGGCTAGAGTGCAGTGGTGTGATCATGGCTCACTGCAGCTTCGACTTCCTGGGCTCAAGCAATCCTCCCACCTCAGCCTCCCCAATAGCTGGGACCCCAGGTGTGCACCACCACTCACAGCTAAGTTCTTTTTTATTTTTGTAGGGATGAGGTCTTGTTGTGTTGCCCAGCTGATTTTGAACTCCTGGCCCTAAGCGATCCTCCTGCCTCAACCTTCCAAGTGGTGAGATTACAGGTGTGAGCCACTGCACCTGGCTGATATTTTAAAAGATACAAAACCAGTCCTGATATGCTATTGCTCAAGCCCTTCAAAGTTTTCCCCATTACTCTCAGGAAAAAGTCCAAAGTCCTTACCATGGCTTACAAAACCAGCAAAACCTGGTTCAAGTATATATATAGCTGCATCTCCTGCCTTCTCTTTTCCTACCTTGGTCCTGATAGAGTGAAATCCACTCACCCCATCACTCTGCACACTCTGTTGCTTCCAGGCTTTCATGCAAGCTACTTCGTTGGCCTGCAGCTCTCTTTTCTGCCTCTCCCTCTAGCTTACTAACACATACTGCCTTTCAGATCTCAGTGTAGAAAGCAGTTACTGTCCCATATCATCCCTCATGCCCCAAACTGGAATGGAGTCACTCTCCTAAGTGTCGAAGCAGCATATTTTATTCTAATAGGGTTTTATACATTATTACTTGACTATCTCATATTCTTACCAGGCTGTAAACTCTCGGAGGGCAGGAAGTATGCCTGTACTGTACCACATAATAAATACATGATAAATATGTGTTGAATATGCAAAGGAACAAGCAGCAGGCACACATCTGATTGGCTGCTAATGAGGCTGACCTTGGGAGGAGATCTGCTGAGTCAGTTCTCCCATCTAAAAACTTTGTTCTTAACCATTGTTCAGATGTCTTCTAAAACCATGGAGAAAGTTCTATAATATATACCAAGCACTTTGAAATAGTGGGATAAATGCTCCAAGGGAAGGTGGCCTACTTTAAGCAAGACTTGGGTCTGGCTGCACAGAACAAAATGGGCTGCCTTTATTGCAATGAAGCCATTAAAGATCATTTGTTACAAGCATTGAAATTTACTGCTGGCAGGGAAGGAAACCACCAAGTACATTCAAGGCCAGATTCAGACAAACGCTTGTTGGTGTTCACATGAATCGGTGGATGTCTCTGTCCCACACACTTTATTCTCAATAGCCTGGCACACAATTGTTGCTACATTCATAAAAGTAAGCAAATAAATACAAGAGATTACCAGATTCCCTTCCTAATTATAAAAACCTCATGACTGAACTGGATAGCAAATACTCTTTGTTGATAATGAAGAAGTATTATTTATGGACTTTTACACAGAGGCAATAGTAATGTTAGCTTTTCACTTGTGATCTCTAGATTGATTCATAAAGGAGGCAGCAAAAGTGAAGGACATTCCAAATTATTAGGGTGAATTAATTTGGAGGCAGGGGAATATTAAATTTAGGCTTAACAAATAAAGGAGCTTTGGCAGAGTTTAGTCAGACACTCAGATAGCCTCCGTATCTCATTGTGCAGATGACCTGATTGCTGGGATGAGGAAGACCTGCAGCTAGGCACTTGCAGGCACTCTTAATTTTTATGCTCACTGACATAACTGTGGCCTGTGCATAGGTATTCTTGTTTCACCATAAGCCCTAGGAGAAGCCTCTTTAAAATATGAGGTTAATACCATTCCAAGCATGACTCAAGATGTGGGGCTTAATTCTTTAGGTAGAAAGGAATATTCAGTGCAAAACTTCAATAACTCATAAAAAGAAATCCTATCATTTTAAAGTAACCACATTTGTCATGCACGTTCCTTGCAAAAGAAAAGTTAGGTTAATGATTCCAGGAAAGTGTTCTGTTGGAGGTATGTCACCCAAGCCCATGTGACGAGAGCAGGTTCTAGGTTTGATTCCCACTGTCTTTTGTGCTACCCTAATGAGCTCTGAGCTTCAGGTCTTTTTCTTACCCCTCATTTCAAAAATGAGGCAGTGCTATTTGTTTGAGGACCTCAAGAGGAGCATCCGGGGTCTAATTAGTTAATGTTTGCCAAGCACTTTGCAGATGAAAGCATCTATATTAAATTCAGAATTATGACTATTATTATCGCAAAGCTCAGATGAGCTCAGAAATTTAGGAGTGATGATTCAAGAGCCCACATTGAGAATGCTGGCGAGATTACTTGTGGAAACAGTCAAACCAGTTCCTGCAATGATTGGCTCTAAAGATTTATGTGGTTCAGCATGACTGTACCCCAAGTCATGCATGACAATAAAAATTAGACTGCACTCTTACTAATCATTTAGAACACAAATGATGGAAGGAATCCCAAGGAGCTTTACGTCTGTGTTGTCTCTGAGGCCAAATCCCCAGACAGTTAACCTGAGGAGAGACAGCCATCGGCCTCCCTAGTTAAGGGTGGTGCAGGCTAAAGACGAATGAATGTAGACTGGCAGCAGGAAGCGCCAGTTACACTAGATAAAGCATTTCACAAAACCCTAGCCTAGGATCTAAAAAATTTAGTAGGCACAAAACCAAATCAGGCAGCTGACGTGAGCTCTACTTTCTCAAAGACCCAGGGCACCATTGCTTGCACTGATCTCATTAATTTTCGAAACATTTATTAAAAGAAGATATTAGCTATAGATTTCTCATAAATGCCCTCTATCAGGTTGAGAAAAATCTCTTCAATTTTGAGTTCGCTGAAATTTTTTTTTTTTGGAAAAACAAGAATGGATGTTGGATTTTTGTCAAGTGCTTTTTCTATGTCCACTGAGATGATTTTATCTTTTTTAGCTCATTAATGTGATGAATCACATTAATTGACTTTTGAATGTGAAATCCACTTAGCATTCCCGGGACAAACTATCCTGTTCAAAACATATTATGCTTTTATGTATTTACTGTATTTGCTAAAATTCTGCATTTATTATGCTTTTATGTATTTGTTGTATTTGCTAAAATTCTGCACAATTTTGCATGTATGTTCTTTAGGGATATCATACTATACTTACCTTTTCTTGTAATGCTTGCTTTTGGTATCAGAGTAATACTGACCTCAAAAAATTACTTGGGAAATATTCTCTCTTTTTGTAAAAGATTTTGTGTAGGATTGGTATTTTTTATTAAATACTTGGTAGAATTGACAAACAAAACCATCTGAGCCCAGAACTTTCTTTGTGGGAAGGTTTTCAACAACAAATAATTATTTAATAGATACAGGTATATTTAATTTCCAATGACTTGACTATTTTTCAAACATCTTTTTGTTATGGGTTTCTAATTTAATTTCACTGTGGTCAGAGAGTATACATTATATAACTTGAATCCTTTTAACGGTATTGAGACCTTTTATGAGACAGAATACGGTTTATCTTGGTAAATATTCTGTGTGCACTCTTTTATATCCCTTAATAGTCTTAGCCTTGAAATCTGCTTTGTCTAATACTGATATAGTCACTTCCACTTTTTAAAAATTAGTTTTAGCATGGTATATTTTGGTATATTTTTAAAAGTTTTAAAAGAACTTTGAAAGTAAAAGTTCTTTTACTTTTAAACTATTTTTGCCTTTATATTTAAAGTCTGTTTCTTGTAGGCAACTGTAGTTGAGGCTTGTTTTCTTTTCTGGTCCAAGCTGATGACTTATGCATTTTAACCATTTACATTTAATATAATTATCAGTGTGGATAAATGTGAATCTATTATCTTTCTACTTGTTTTCTATTTGTCCTGTATATTCTTTGCTCCCTTTTCCCTGTGTTCTTGCCTTGTGTTTGATCAACTAAATATTTTTCATTATTACATTGCATTATCTCCTCATCCTTTTAGGTAGTTTTTCCCCTCTGGCTTTAGGTAGTTTCCCCACGTGCACAGTTTGGTCTGTACTCAGATAAATACTGAAGGGGGACCCTCTGCAGAACTCCCAGAGTTTGTTCTCTCTTTCTCTCTCTCTCTCTCTCTCTCTCTCCTCCTTGGTCTCCCCGGACTCTCAGCTCCATCTCTCTCCCCTCCCTCAACATGGCTTGTAAGTAAGCTAGAGTAGTAGCTGGGACAATCACAGGGCCTACCTCATTTGTCTACCGTCTCTCAGGGATCATTGTTGTCATATGTCCAGTGGGTCTTGAAAATTGTTGTTTCATATGTTTTGTCCATCTGTTTTTGTTTTTGTTTGCACTGTGTCCTGAATGTTTGTGCCCAACCCCCAAAATGCATATGTTGAAAACTCATCCCCAGTGTGATAATATTAAGCAGTGAGGTGCTTTGGGGGGTGATTAGGTCATGAGGGCAGAGCTCTAATGAATGGAATTAGTGTCCTTATAAAAGAGGCCCGGGGGAGCTTTTTGACTCCCTCTGCCATTTAAAGATACATAGAAGATACCATCTACCAGGAACTGTCCCAGTCCAGACACTAAATCTGTCAATGCCTTGATCTTGGACTTCCCAGCCTCCAGAACTATCAGCAATACATGTCTATTGTTTGTAAATTACCCAGTCTAAGCTATTTTGTTATAGCAGACTAAACAGATTATAACAGGTTGTTTCAGGCAGGGGAGTAAATCTGGTTACTTTTACTGTGTCTTAAGCAGAAGTGATTCTGGGTGGAAGGTGGTGTTATTTGCAATTTTGAGTTATTCTGATATAAATTGGACATGTTTTTAAACATGAGTCAGAAGATTGTCTGAAACTATTTATAGAATGTTCTAAAATATTTTAAAACACTGGATGGAACTTTTTCTTATGTTAATTAGCTCCAAAATTTATAGCACCATTAAAATATTAAAGCAAAGTAAACCAGAAACAAATAGCTAATTCTTGTTCTAGTTTAACAGTCTTTGCAAACACTGATAGAACCTCTCTCTTTCAAGGGCTTAGTTAAAAGAAATGCCTGTTAGATTTATTTGATTTTCAGCAAAGAGAGGTCACTACCAGGGTTAATAATAACCCCTTGATTTAATCTTGATCTGTAAACACAGGTCTATGTTTTGAAGACTATTATACTGAATAAAACAAACTTATTATTGATATTGGTGGCTAAATGTTTACTGCAATGTCTGCAAGATGCAAACACAAAGCTAATTTGCCTCCATGTGTTATTATCTGAAAATATATGTCTTTCATACAGTGTAGACTAAAAATATTTTTGTAGTACTCTGAAACTAATGATTTTTGAAGAAAATCAAGTTTATAAATTTTCCATATTTTTTAAAGGACAGTTTTTTTATTTGTATTTCTTTCTGATTCTATGAGCTGTTTATCATATATTAGCTATTTTTCCTTATTCTTTTTTTCAAACCCTTCATTTTTCAAGAGCATCTGTTATGAAGAATGTCAGTGTCCTATATTTCTGTGTTAATGGTAATATCTGAACACTCTCTGGAGTAAATTGCTTAATGATCTTCCAGCTTATTTTGTCTGGACAGTCAGTCTTTGCTTTTGAATTAATTCATTTTCCTTTATTTATTTCTCAAATTCATACATATATGTATACATATATATAATCTATATGAATATGTATGTTATTTATACACATATTATATATAATTATTTTTATGTAGAATTAATTTCCTTGATTTTAAGGAGAGAAAAAGTAATATCCTTAAGTTTGAAGGAATAAAGAACCATCCTTACTTCCTAGGAGCAAGATAAACACCCGGATTTGTCAGATGTTGGATTCCATCCCTTTGAAGCCATCAGCCCCCTAGAAGTGATGAAGATGAGGGCCTTCATAAGTCTCTGACTCTCTCCATCCTATTCTTCCTACAAACCTGAATAGAATGTAGTTCCTCTAATTATTCCTTTCCGCTTCTACTTACAGCACCCTAAATTACCTCAGGGATGTCACAGTGCCTTTCTGGTTCTAAAACACTCTCAGGTTTCGCCATCTCTGGGCTCTGAACTTAGCTCCCCTAGAGAGCTCTATCCTTCTACCCATGATTGGCCTGCCTGCCTCTGTGCTCACATCCAGCTTCTGTGGGCTGACATTAGCTTCTACCTCGTCTTTCACTTTGATCTTCCTGGGTGTGTTGACACCAAGGGGGTAAATCTTCATTGTGACAATTTGTCCCTCAGTTTCCTGAATTCCTTCACCAAATGTATTTTCAGTTTCTCATTTTCTGTTCATGTGATGGTGTGCTGGCACACGGAGTTTGCCCATTTTTCTTTGGCATATCAACACCCCACTTTCAGTGGTGTACAGCTGTGTAGACAGGTTTAAGGAAATGGCCAAGGAGGTAGGGAGAAACTCAAAAGAGAAAAATTGAAGCATAGCCCAATAGAAGCTGCCTTCTCGCTAACCTATTTTGCCTTCACGGTGACCTTTTGCCAAAAAAAAAAAAAAAAAAAAAAAAAAAGGGAAGAGACATGAGGTTGGAGAAAATGGTGTGGAAATGGAATCAGGACAGGAATTATGAGAAGCCAAAGAATAGATTCTAGACATTTTGCAGGGAAATGGTAGAAAATTGAAAGTTGAATCCATTGAAGGGGAGGAGATTGGGGAATGAAGGAAGATACATTATAAAGGAAGCTGGGGAACTATATGCCGCGGGATTTTCTCACAGAAAGAAATCCTGTTTTGCTGGGACCAGATTTCATCCATGTTGGGTACATTGCAGCACTGAATTCTGTGAAATGTCTGGCAGCACTCTTCTTTTTTTCTTTTTTCCATACAAGTGTTTCTGTAGATATGTAGGTTTGCTATAAACTGCTTTCACCATGCAAAAGATTTTTCCTACAAAACTTTCAAACGTACCACGTTCAAAACTCTGCGTATGAAAAAAAATGGTAAACATGGGGACATTGTTATAAGATATTTTAAGTGGGCAGAGAAAATAAGGCAGAGACAGGTGCCGGGAGTTAAGCATAGACATTGCACACATTTTATGTAAGGCAGAGTCTAAATGTGACATCTTTCACAGAGTGCTGCATGCCAACTCCAGAAGATTCAGATACTGATTATTGTAAGAAATCACACATATCAAGCTTGATCTTGCAGTTCATATGTATGCAAAACACCTGTCAAAATGATGGGAGTTTTGCTTTTGTAGACATGGCAATATTGTACA
This sequence comes from Homo sapiens, assembly GCF_000001405.40. Lineage (NCBI taxonomy): Eukaryota > Metazoa > Chordata > Mammalia > Primates > Hominidae > Homo > Homo sapiens. The sequence goes on along the minus strand of NC_000010.11, from coordinate 33,448,467 downwards.
CAATTGATATTTATTTGCCTCGTAAATAGGATGCATTATGGAGTGAGTTGTGTCTTCCTGCAGCATTTCTCTGATTTCCTAGTTTAAATCTCCCCGACTGTCTCCTCTCAGCCCTGGTTTGCCAGCCCATTTAAGGGAAAATGGGTGAGTTTTGCTTATGCCACCAACTATACTCCTGTTATTTATTTATATTCTTTATTTAGGAATCAGGCAGCTATATCACCATGGCATTTAAAAGTTTATATCATCTATCTGTAATAATATCAATTTCCTTTGTAAGGAAAAAGATACCTCTCCCATTTCTCTATCTTCACCAGGACAACCACGGAGCTACTTGTGATTGTTTTTCTCAGAAATAATGAACCAGGGTTCTTCTGCCAGGATGAAGAGGGCAGATAGGATGAGGAGAGTTTGCTGGCTCTTAGCAGGGTCACATGTCAGCTAATCAAATCCTAAAGACAACTCCGTAGGTGTGTGATTTGTCTATTTCTATGTTGTAGATCCAATAGAAAAAAGTCAAACAGAGTGAATGCCTACTCCACCACCTGGCATCTAACATATTTCTTTCTTGTCATCCACCATCACTGACAAGGCTCAGAGGTCGGGGGACTGAATAGGACAGAAAATTGGGGAAAAGGAAAAAGTCTTTCTGGTTTCAAAAGGCCAGGCCTGAGGGTAGGATGGTTATAGGTGACTGAAGTTTTTAAGCATACTTTAAATAGGAGTCTCCTGATCATTCTCTCTTTCAATATATATATGGTACATATAGCATGTGTATATGTATGTATACACATGTACGTGCATGCGCAAACACACACACACCCCTATTCACAAGTATTTCAAAGAAAAGAGGAATTCTGTACCTTTCATAGAGTGTCTAAAACTATTTTTCATAACAGCTTGGGATTTTTTTTTCTTTTCTTTCCTTGTTTTCCTTTTTTTTTTTTTTTTTTTTTTTTTTGAGATGGTGTCTGGCTCTGTCACCCAGGCTGGAATGCAGTGGTGCAATCTTGGCTCACTTGCAACCTCTGCCTCCTGGGTTCAAGTGATTCTTGTGCCTCAGCCTCCCAGGTAGCTGGGATTACAGGTGCACACTACCATACCCAGCTAATTTTTCTATTTTTAGTAGAGATGGGGTTTCGCTATGTTGGCCAGGCTGGTCTTGAACTCTTGACCTCAAGTGGTCCGCCCAGCTCCACCTCCCAAAGTGCTGGAATTACAGGTATGAACCACGGCGTTCGGCCAGGGTTCAAATTTTTTCTAAATTTGGTCCAATTGATTAAGATAGGATATTAGATGCTTACTTCTCATTTTCATGGTGCGATTTAAAATTTCATGGACATCATTTTGGTAGAGTGTATGCACACATGGCCAGACACACACATTTCCCACTGGCAGAATGGTGGCATAAAATTACATTTGAGTAAGTGTCAGGAAACATAAGCTCGAGGCCTGATTTTGACATCAGCATGTGGCCTTGGGTCAGTCACTTAACTTCTCTAGGCCTTGTCATCCTGGGCTACAAAATGATGGTGAAGAGAAGGACCCGGGCTGAGAGGGGCCGTTAATAATGTTAGTAATGTCCTTTCATGGAAAACTTGCTTGTAAATCCTTCCCAAACACCTCTTGCACACCACAAGCCTTCCATTAGAGGAAAGAAACATCGCTGGAGGAGAATTAATTGGTTTTTATTTGTACCTGCCATCTCATGAAATGTTTGTCCAGGTCCTAAACATAACTTGTCTCCAGTTAGACTTCAAATAATGAATACCTAGCTACTCTATATTCTTCCTGAAAAACGAGGACCTGCAGAAAAATAATTAACTTCTGAATTTTATAAAACACTGTTTTCTGAGACATTTATCTCTCCAATGAGACATAAACATTTTTTTTCAGTATGTGGAAATTGACAAAAAGAGTTCAAGTATATTTAGTTTTAGATTGTCTTGATCTTGCCGCCACTGTCTTGAGTCTAAATGCAAATTATTTTGCAAGCAAATTCAGAGAACTAAAACTGAGCAAACATTTTTAAAAACCATATGTAGGGAACATCGATTCTTGCCTGGAATGTTGCTGCTGACGTATTGTCTCTCATTTTTCTCTTTCTCTACTACTGCTATGTTCAGTAGGGTCTGTATTTATCTCTGTATGAAGCTGAATTTCACTTTACTTTCTCTTTATGGTCTTATCACATCGTTTACAAACACTTTATCTCTGTTACAGAAAATAAATGAAATTCCAGGCTTTCGATGAAATGTCATGCTGAAATGGATGGTCCAAAAATCTATATTTGGATGACTGACTCCTGTTTGAGGTAGACATGGTAAATGTTGCATGCATATAAACTGAAGGATGATGGATTTAATGATCATACCCTAACTGGGGAATGCTATTTTGGAATAATTAAATGTTCCATCATTTGCAAGTCTAAATAGTCCATTGTTAGTTCCTGTTTTTGTCTGTCAACAGATCCTTCCATTTTCTAAAGGAAATTTATCATTAAAACAATTGAAGTGATGGCAACATACCACCGGAGTAGGTTAGCAATAGCACAAATCGTGGGACTCTTAATTCATAGCTACAGTTTAGGAAAACTTAATTTATGTATGAGTCTGCTTCATAATGACAAACATGACAAGCATTGTTTAAAAAGCTCCTGGTAGATATTTATCTTCGGGTATTGGAGAGAGCCTCTGCTTTAAGAGGTGGCTAAGCCCTTTGTCAGCTGAAAAGTCTCATGGAATCAAAGAGCATTTAAAAGGGATTTTCTAATTAAGTAATAATTTTGCAATGTATTTCTTTGTTGATCCATACATTTTAAAGGTTTTTATGCTCTCATTTTCTTTTAAAATCTGTATTATTTTTGAGGCATTTCAAATAATTTTATCTTTATTATCTAATTACATTATATGTATACTTTAATATATATCTTAATATTTAATTTATTATATCGAGATCTCTGTCTTTTGGCTACGAAGTGGTAGTGGAATGAAAGAGTGGGGCTCAAGTATATTATTATATATGTATATAAACCTATATAGATCTAGATATGTACTCATACATATATATCTGAATAAATATAACTTCTTTCTCATGAAAACTCTTTTTCTATAAAGCAAGGATATAGGCTGTTTTCCCCAAACTCTATCAAAATATTTGTCCACATGTTTAAGATCTCTAAATAACACTATTTCGATACATGTATATACATAGAATAACATAAAAATGAGAAAGCCATAGTTGCCAATTTAGTAAGACATGTGAATAACAAGTCACTCATTTGTTGAGTTAATGGCTTCTCACTCTTATCATTGGCAGAGTTATGCTTCTATGAATTATTTCCATATAGCTGAGTTGTATGAATATTTTTGAAAGCCTAGTTAAAACTTCACTACTTCTGTGACTGGGTCCTGAAAATCAAAACAAGTCGACCAATCATCAGGAAAGCCTGGACACATTGCTGACCAAACTGGATCATTGAATTATTGATTCAGATGCTACCCAATTAATTGTTAAGTTAGCTGAAAATACCAGACGGATCATCCCGTGACTAACAGATTTTGACTGCGTTGCATGGGCTGTGTGGTCCATATGTGGGGGCCTGAACATTTGCAGATTGGCAGGACTGGCTGGGCATGATGAAAATCATTGCAAGAAACATCGCAGGCCATTCACAACTTACTATGTATCAACGCAGTGACAGAGACATGTTGTGAAGTCCTGGCTAAACTGCTTGACTTGATTCAAGCAGCAGTAATAATGAAGCAAGTAATTCATTAGAAGTTACAGTCTGCTTTTAAGAACTCTGTATGGAAGTTTTTCAAACTGTGCTTGGACAGGGCTTCTTGCAATTCTTGCTTATTATTTTACTTAACTCAAGTATAATTGGCTGTCTTATTGATTTGGAATGGCCTAAAGCAGTTCCCAGCATCTGAACAAGCCCATTTGAAGATGGTAAGTTTCTGCATACAGGTTGCCATGAAACATGGCAGCCCAAGACCATTCATTCTGACCTGGTCAATTTGGCATTTCTAGACTCTCTAATGGCCAAATGTACTGCAGTCCTCAAAATTATCCTTTGGAATTTTAAACCCAATTTATACGTGATTTCTATCATTAAAGATACACTGAAGCCAAATCATCTGCAATTTAGGAGATTTCATAAAGAGAAGTATCAATGATTGAATAATTTGCCCCCAAAAAAGTAAGGTCTTATACTGAAAGTAAGCTTGTTTCAGTGAACATAGATAGATTTTTATGAGTTTCCCTGAAAGAAAAACTCTTTAAAGGATGTTTCAGTAATATTTTGAAAATAATTTAAATAAGAGAAAAGAAAGTGATTAATCATTGGAAATCAGAAGGATAAGGCATTGTATAAGCTATAGAAAGATTGATTGTTGGTTTGTTATTACCTATATTTTAAGTATTTTTAAAAGTATTTTATTAATCAAAGTGGTATGCATTAGGACTGGAAGAGGTATAAATATCGATATTATGCCATGACTCAAAATATTATAAAGAAAAGTCAATCCAAATATTATCATCAATGACGCACATGGATTTATTGCAGTACTTGTCTGATTAGCCAGAAGTTGGTTATTAAAGGAATCATGAAAGCAAAATATACCCTCAAAAATTCTGATTTAGTGAATCAATGTAGACATGGCTTTATCAGAGATTAATTGCACTTTAATCATAATCCTAACCATAAATGAACACTAAACCATAATTCAAAATTATGAGATTCTCACAGATAAAGTTGATTTAAAGAGGAATGGAAAGACATAACCCTCTTCATGCAGCAATGCTCTGTTTGGATTGCATGAAACACTGTGCACCCTGATGGAAGCTCCTTAGGGGAGAAAAAACATGTCTCATTTGTCTTTTTATTCTCTTACAGTACCCTTCTCATGCTTTCTTATAGAATTAATTATTTTTAAAGTTATTTAACTGTTGAAACAGTGCACAGTAAAAACAGAAAAGAGAGGGGAAAAAAACAGCCAGTTGTTTTTTTGAGACAGAGAGTTGCTCTGTCACCCAGGCTGGAGTTCAATGGCACGATCTTGGCTCACTGCAGCCTCCATCTCCCCGGGGTTCAAGCAATTCTGCTGCTTCAGCCTCCCAAGTAGCTGGGACTGCAGGCATCCCCCACCACGCCCAGCTAATTTTTGTATTTTTAGTAGAGATGGGGTTTCACCATGTTGGCCACACTGGTCTCAAACTCCTGATCTCAGTTGATCTGCCCCCCTCAGCCTCCCAAAGTACTGGAATTACAGGTGTGAGCCACCGCACCCGGCTATGCCAATTGTTCTTTAAAATGAACTTTCTTGCTGGCTCTGTCCCTTGCTTGTTGTTTTTTGTTATTGTTGCTGGTAAATCACTTGACTACTTGCTCCTGTATAAAATTAGGACTAGATCTTCTCTCTCTACTTCTTAAGATGGTTGAAATGATAAAACAAACAAACCAAATGCACACAAAAATGCTTTGCATATGGTGAGATACTAAAAGAATAAACTAATGATTTTGTTATTGGTATCTGTAATTCAAATTAGACAAATTCAATTAGATATCAAAAAATATTTTAGTGGCTTAAATGCCAATACTGGCCGCCCAGAAGTGAGTGGCTGGAATCCCCTTCTTTAGTATAGGAATCCGTCTCTGTAGGATGGTATAGATGGAGAGGGAAAAAATTGGATAAGAAAGGTAGAAATGTTTTAAGGTCTCTATCAATTATATAGATTCAAGTCTTACTCTTATGTTCAAGGGACAATAGAGCATTTAAAAACTTTTAGGGCCAGTCGGGCACAGTGGCTCACACCTGTAATCCCAGCACTTAGGGAGGCCAAGGTGGGCAGATTACCTGAGGTCAGGAATTCGAGACCAGCCTGGCCAACATGGTGAAACTCTGTCTCTACTAAAAATGCAAAAATTAGCTGGGCATGATGGCGTGCACCTGTAATGCTAGCTACTCAGGAGGCTGAGATAAGAGACTCACTTCAACCCGGGAGGCAAAGGGTGCAGTGAGTTGACATTGTGCCATTGCACTCTAGCCTGGGTGACAAGAGCTAAACTCCATCTCAAAAAATAAAAATAAGAATTATAGGGCCAGGTGCAGTATCTCATGCCTATAATCCCATCAGTTTGGTGGGCCAAGGCACACCAAAGGAAGATTGCTTGAGCCCAGGAGTTTGAGACCAGTCTGGGCAATTTAGTGAGACCCTGTCTCTACAAAAAAATTTTAAAAATTAGCCTGGCATGGTGGTGCACACCTGTAGTCCTAGCTACCCTGAAGGCTGATGTAGGAAGATCCCTTGAGCCCAGGAGTTGAGGCTGCACTGAGATATAATCACACCCCTGCACTCCAGCCTGGGTGACAGAGCAGACCCTGTCTCTTAAAAAAAAGAAATGCCACCATCTATGGATTTTAGTTTTAAAACAAAACAAACAAATACATTGTAAAAACATTGAGAAGCTGCTATGGACTAAATTACGTCCCTCCAAAATTAATGTCAAAAAGCCCTAATCCCCAATATGAGTGTATAGAGCCCTTAAAGAAGTAAATAAAGTCAAATGAGGTCATCAGGGTAGGGCCCTGATCCCACAGGATTAGTGTTCTTTTAAGAAAAAGGGGGCAGACCAGAGCTCTTCCTCAATCCTGAGCGTGCATCACAGAAAGGTCACATGAGGACACAATGAGAAAGCAGCAGTCACCAGCCAGGAAGAGAGCCCTCGCCAGAAATCAACCAAGCTGGCACCCTGATCTCGGCCAGCCCCCAGAACTGTAAGAAAAGAAGTTCCTGTTGTTTAAGCCACCCAGGCTAAGGCGTTTTGTTATGGCAGCCCGAGCAGACTAATACAGGGATTGCAAAAACAAACAAACAACCACCACCACAACAAGCTGGATAATTAGTTTTGAAGGCTTAACTGGAATCTCTAAAGACTACATGCAAGTTGCATAATTTCAGCCATTGTGATGCTTAGAAATGAAGCACTTCTTGTCTTTTGTTTTATTTTGTTTCCCTGGTCTCCCAAAAATTGATAGAACAAAGATGTCTGCTCATTTCTGTTCCTTCCCCTCCATTCCTGAGCAACACAGAGCTATTGGTAAATGGACAAAAGCATTTTGTCCAAGGAGTTTTTTAGAGTCAATGGCAGAGAAATTGAAGGAGGCAGGAGAGACTCCCTGGAAGTCTGGGAAATAATAATCCTGATCATCATTGCCATCTTTCACTGAGCACCTACTAAGTGAAAGACACTGTTCTAAAAACTGACATGTAATATCTCATTTTTCTTAGAAAATTATGCAAAATACATTTTGCTTACCTCCTCCCTCTGCACCTATTTTCACTCTAGTCTTTAGAATAATGACATCACTTGTTTTTGTAGATGTGGAGCATGATTGTTATTTAAAACTTATAGATAAGAAAGAAGAGTGAGGAAAAGAAAATCCTCAGTCTACTACCCAGAACTGACCTTCTTCATGCCATTCTAGACATGCATATGTAGAAATAGATGGATGATCAACACATAGAAAGATATACACATATATCTGTCTGTGTGTATACATATACACACATTCATATACATGCTAAAAGAAAAGGGGTAATTATATATACAACTATTAAGGTTAATTAAAATTCAGTAGGGGAAAATGAAATAAAATAAAACTGAAAGAATGAATTTGGTGAATTTCAGATATTCCTTCAGCAACAGAGAAATTAGTCCTTAAATGTTTCACATAAAGTAATATTGAAATAAAATGATACTTTTAAAAAAGGATTTAAAAGTTAGGGTCCCATTTTTTCTTTTTTTTCTTTTCTTTTTTTTTTTTTTTGAGACTGAGTTTCCATTTTGTTGCCCAGGCTGGAGTGCAATGGGGAGATCTTGGCTCACTGCAACCTCCGCCTCCCGGGTTCAAGTGATTCTCCTGCCTCAGCCTCCCAAGTAGCTGGGATTACAGACATGTGCCACCACGCCCGGCTAATTTTTGTATTTTTAGTGGAGATGGGGTTTCACCAGGTTGGCCAGTCTGGTCTTGAACTCCTGACCTCAGTTGATCCGCCTGTCTTGGCCTTCCAAAGTGCTGGGATTACAGGCATGAGCCACTGTGTCCAGCCACATTTTTTTATTTCCTACTTTTTTTGTTTTTGTTTTTGTTTTTTTGAGATGGAGTCTAGCTGTGTTGCCAGGCTGGAGTGCAGTGACACGATCTTGGCTCACTGCAACCTCCGCCTCCTGAGTTCAAGTGATTCTCCTGCCTCAGCCTCCCCAGACGCTGGGACTACAGGTTCACGTCATCACGCCCCGCTAATTTTTTTGTGTTTTTAGTAGGGACGGAGTTTCACCATGTTGGCCAGGATGTTCTCAATCTCTTGACCTCTTGATCCGCCCACCTCGGCCTCCCAAAGTGCTGGGATTACAGGCATGAGCCACCATGCCCGGTCCAATTTCCTACTTTAAAAATGCAGAAATTCGCACCATTATTCTCCTCCTCTCTCCTTTTCCTCCTCAGTGACATACTATTGTAACATTCACATTCTGGTCTTTGTCTATTATTCTCATAGTAGCCCAGATGTCATTCTGTATTTATGAACATCGTGCTAATACCTCGGGTTATTTTGGTTTTTGGTTTTGTTTTTGTTTATGTGTTTTTACCACAATTTCTCCTTTTTCCTAACTTTCTGTTTAGCACCTCTCTCGGCTAGATTTCCTCTTCCACAGGTTGTTGAAGAAGACCTTAGGGGAGAGGTGCTCCTTAAATCCTCACCTTCTTGAAGATGTGTAGCTCTTGCCCCTATACTTGGACAACTTCCCTGGGTATAACATTCTTTACTTTCTTACTTCACGTTTCCTTTTCTTCAGATCTTTTGTTTACCATTGCTCCACTCTCTTCTTACATTAAGTGTTACTGTGGTCAAGTCTGACTCTAACGATTTGCCTGCCTTAATATCATCTGTTTCAGTCTCTGATTCCATTCTTGCCCCTAGAATGCATTCTCTGCTCAAAAACTGGTGATCTTTTGGAGATGTAAATCAAATCATGTAATCCTCTACATAAAGTTCTCCTATGACTTCTATTTTATTTAAAACAGATTCCAGGCTGGGCACAGTGGCTCATGCCTGTAATCCCAACATTTTGGGAAGCCAAAGTGGGAGGAATGCTGAAGCCCAGGAGTTCAAGTCTAGCCTGGGTGACATAGTGAGAAAGTCTCTACAAAAAAATGCAAAAATTAGCCAGTCATAGTGGTGCGCACCTGTAGTCCCAGCTACTTGGGGGCTGAGGAGGGAGGATCACTTAAGCCCAGGAGACAGAGGTTGCAGTGAGCCAAGATCATGCCACTGCACTCCAACCTGAGCAAAAGAGTGAGACCCTGTCTCAAAAAAAAAAAAAAGAGAAAGAAAGAAAGAAAAAGAAAGGAAAGGAAGGAAGGAAGAGAGAAGAAAAGAAAGAAAGAAGGAAAGAAAGAAAGAAAGAAAGAAAGAAAGAAAGAAAGAAAGAAAGAAAGAAAAGAAAAGAAAAAGAAAGAAAGAAAGAAAGAAAGAGAAAGAAAGTAAAAGAAAGATTTTAAAGTTAGGTGGGTATGGTGGCATGTGTCTGTAGTCCCAGCTACTACTTGGGAGGCTAAGGCGGGAGGATCACTTGAGCAACGGGAGTTCAAGGTTGCAGTGAGCTATCATGGCAACACTGTACTCTAGCTTGGGTGACAGAGTGAGACCCTGTCTCAAACATAAATAAGTAAATAAAACAGATTCCAAAGTCTTCCCCATGGTCATTAAGGCCCCTTATAATTCCATGTGGCCTATTTGTCACGTTTTACTCACCAATCCCTTAAACCCCATTCTCTGCCCATGAGCCATTTTTGTACATATGGTGAAATAATTCTCTAACACAGTTTACTAAAAACCGGATATTTCCCTCTGATTTGTAGCATCTCTACTGTCACATATTGGGTTTCCAAATGGGTGGATCTGTTTCTGATCCATTGCTCTAACTGATCACTTCCCAGCACTAAATTACTTTAATATTATGGGTTTGAAATATGTCTTAATACATGATGGACTGAGATCCCTACAAAGATCTTCCTATTAAGAATATTTTGTGGGCATTTTTGTGTCTACGCAAATTTTAAATAGTTGGTCTAATTCTACCAAAACTCAGACTGGGATACCGATGGGAGTAATATTAAATATGTACATTAATTTTGAGGAAAATTAACATTTTTAAAATGTTGTCTTCCCATCTTCAAACATGTTCTGCTTCTTCATTTGTTTTAGCTATAATTTAATATCCTTCAGTAGAGTTTAAAACTTTTCTCCACAAATATTATGTGTATATTTTGTTAAGACTAGGACTCCACCCCCACCCCCAACCCTTGCCAGTCAAGTGAGTATGCTTAATGCTTTGCTTTCTTATTTACAGAATCTACATTTTTCTTCATATTCCTTATTTACTTAATTGATAATAAACTTGAAAATTTGTACTTGCCTAGTTGGCAATATCTCATTGCTTTCTCCTTGATTTGATTCTCTACGAATCAAGGAGAAACATTTAAACATTTCTCCAAAGTCCTTTCCAAATGAGTCTTTGAGTGATAAACATTTAGAGTTGTAGAATATCTAAAAATTGTCTTACCTCACATTTGCATTTAAATAAAAGCTCAGCTAAATTTTTTTTAAAAAGTATTCTAGGTTTGAATTATTTTCCTTTGCACTGTGAAACTATTATTCCATTTTTCTCTTTGTTAAATGTGGCTGTTGAAAGTCTGATATCAATATGATGCTTGCATTAGAAAAATACAGACAGACTATGGGGGGAAATGGGCAAGAGACCTGAACAAGCAACCTAGAAAAGATGATACCCAATGGTAAACAAACTTATGAAAATGGGCTCAATCTGTTTAGTTAATAGAATAATGCAAATTAGAACCATAATTTAATATTACAATAACACTCCACATACTCGATAATGGTTACGTTAAAAGACAGATGATGCAGAACTCTGTACAATGACAATCACTACTTATTTACAATCTACAGAAATGAGTACAGATGTGCAACAAAAGACACAAACATGAATGTGTCAGAATTACTTACAATAGCTCTGAGCTGGAAACTTGCACAAAGAACATCAACCACAGAACGGAACAATGTGACTATGGGACATTTCAACTGATAGAACACTACCCAGCACAATAAGGAAGGAATAATAAAAACAACAGTCACAAACATAATGTTAAGCAAAAGGAAAGACAAATATGAAAGTATTTGTAAAGTTCAAAAATAGACCTAAAGGCAAAACCTGATTATGCTTAGAACTTAGAATTGTGGTTCCTTGGGGGAAGGATTGGGGGCAGGAGGACTGCTCTACATACATTCTTTCTTGAACTTGGTGATTGTTTCAAGGTTGTTTTCTTTGTAAAAATATATTGAGCTCAACATTTATGAACATATTGTTCATTAAATTAATGTATAGCATCCATATATACATTGTTCATTTGTATAATTGTTCATTGAACAATCCTATATATGGATGTTGTACATTACTTTTAAAAACTTAGAAAAAATAAAAGATACTCCAAGGTTCCCAATAAATCTGAGGATGCAACTAAATTAATAATAACTTTAGTCTAAATATTGGATTTTAATTTTTTAAAAAGTTGTTAACCTGAAAAAGATAAAAAATAGAAGGTGAAATGTTCGCTAAAAAAAGTGATACTCAATTCTAGGCAAACTCTCTTTTCATTTTGAAATCTTAAATAGTCTCTTTGATTTGCATTTTCTTAAATTATTCTACATTGTGTTTTAAGTACATATTTTTCTTTTGTCTGTCTTACATAACACTCTGTATGATCTTTTAATGTGAGTTCTTGCATAATTTTTTAAATCCGAGAATTATTAGTCATTTTTTTAAGATTTTGTTTTTACGTTATCTGCTTTTGGAAGTATTGTTAATAATGTTGCTCATTTCATTCATCACCTTTCTTGCAGAGAACTTGAACTTCATACTTGTCTTGGAAGCATTTTGTGGCTGTTTTTATTACCTTGGGACTGTCATCTGCCTAAGTTTGTGGTGTCAGCCATGGTATTCTGGGTTTATAATCCTCAGGCTGAGTTTGAAGACAGGCTGGGGCACACCCTGCTCATTGTCATTATCTAAAAGTATCTTATTCATGTATTTGTTTTCTTGTTTATCGTATGCACCCCTCATTAGAAAGTAAACCCCATGAGAGAGTGAAATTTGTCTATCCCCAGTTAGAGGTATTATTCCAAAAGTAATGTCTGACATATGCTACACATTCAAGAAATATGTATTTTGTGAACGAATATGTAAATGATTCCCTGTACCAGCAAAAACAAGCTAGGTTATGCCGTAGAAACAGCCAACCTCAAAAATCTTCATAGCTTAACATACGCTTATCCTGGGGCCCCTTTGGGGCTCTGCTCCGCCCTTCACTCATGTGTATGGCCAGTGGAGCCCCTGCCACATAGAATGTTGTTATACAGAGTAGAACAGAAAGGTGCAAGGCCAGCTCGGAAAGGCAAACAGGCCAGATCAAGTGATCTTCAAAAGCCAAGGTATAGGCTTTGGAGTTGATTTTCAATGCGAGGGAATTTAACGGAGAATTTTAGAAATGGGAGTGAGAACGTCTGATTCAGTAAGTTACTCTGGCTACTGTGTGGAGAAGGGTTTCTCAGGGTGGTTGCAGGGTGGAGGGTGACAAGGGTAGAATCAGAGAGACCACTAAGAAGGCTCTAGCAACGTTGCAGCCGAGATGATGACGACTTAGAGACAAGGGTGGGAGTAGCAGATGATAGACAAAAGCAGGCAAGTTTGGGATGTGTCCTAAAAGTAGAGTTGACAAAACTTGGCGCGGATTGAAAATAGGAAGTGAGGGGAATAAAATGATTCAAGAAATACATCTAGCTTCTTGGCCTGAGCAACTGGGGGGATACTGGAATAGTGTGCTGGTGAGAGGCAGACTGGGAATACGTTTTTAGGAAGAAGTAGATAATTCTGTTTTGAACACCAGGGTGACAGCCTAGGAGTCATTTAAATGTAGAAGTCAGACAACCAGTGGAGGTCAAGACAGTAGTAATAGATTCAGGTTTCATTATCATATAGATGATACTTACAGCAATGAGACTTGTTAAGATTATCTAGGGAAGAAATGAAGGTATAGAAGAGAAGAAAGCTGGGGTTATGATTTGGATATTGAAAGAGGAAAAGGAGAGAACAAAGGAGACTAGGAAGAAGTAGCCATGAAAGTAGGAGGAAGAGAGTGGTGTCAAGAGCAGACGGCGTTTCATGAAACAGGAACCATTCAAGTGTTGTGAAAGATACTTAGAAGTCAAGTAAGAGAAGGAAAAAAAAAATGGCCATTAGTGACTTTGAAAAGAGCAGTTTCAGAGGATGATGATGAGGCCAGAAACCTGACTGGCGAGGGCTGACTGAGTGCTAGAATCATGTAAGACATAGAGATCTGTTATAGAAAATTCTTTCGAGGAGTGTTGCTGTAAAGGGAAAGGGAGGAATTGGACAGAAATGCTGAATGCACTTTCTTTTTTCCTGTTGTCACGGCAGAAATCAAGAGTTTGACTCAAGGGAAAGAATAGAGAAAAGAAAAAAATCAATACAACGTGAAATTTTCACAAAAATAGGCAAAAGTAATAAAATAGCCAGTTTTTCTTTTTTAGGTACAAATTTGTGGTTTATTGAGAAAAGAGTTTTTATCTGTGTTTAGCAAAAGAGCTGAAAAATGACTTATGTAACCAATCAGATTTGAGCATTCATTCATTATTTTCCATTGCTACTAAAATGCTGTAAGTAATTTTCAGTTATGCATAGAAAGACCTAGTGGGATGACGATAGTCTTGTAATTTAAAAATTATCACATGCCAATAAAACTATTAAATTATAATTTTAGGCCATGAAAATTAATAATTTAAAGGCTAAGAGGAAAGCTTTCACTTTAATAAGTTCATAAGGTGTCAAACTTTGCAATTTATTATAGATTCTCTAGCTAATTTGCTATAATTAATTTGAATGGAAAATATTTCATTGCCTAAATATCCTGTTTATATATTCCTTTCTAATGATGAAACAAAGGGCCTAATTTGTTAAAGATGTTCTTTAATTGATTCCAAAGGGAATACTTAGAATATAATTTGCTGTCTAGCTTTGTACAATTCCCGATTCCTACTACACAATGACGTCCATAATTTTATAATGACAAAACAGTATAATCATATAATGATGTGATTCCCAAGCACCAGAGTTCCCAGTTAATTTTCACTATCACTTCTATGGTTTCATAGAAAGAAACTGGTATTAAGGTATGTGTACTCTAGGACTTCCTTAGCCATTAAACAGTTGTACACCTTGGGTTTTTTTTTCTTTTTCGTTTGTTTAAAAACAAATGTTTAATTTCTAAAGGTGGAGTTAAGAACAGTTTCTTCTGGCAAGGTGGGCACTTCCACCAAGAACCCAGACCTAGGAATACACACACAACACACAACACACACACACACACACACACACACACACCGAGATATTTACAGCAAGATGTGTTGGCATTTACTGCCAAATACTGGACCATTTGGGGAGAGTGAAAGGTCCCCTGGTTCAAGGGAGAGGAAGGCTTACAGAGCTCTTCACTTGGTACCAAGAATGATGGACACTTTTAGGTATTAAGGGGACAGGACAGAGAGACTGAATTTGTCTGAAAAGGGGACAGACAGAAATTTTACAGGTGTCTTTTTGCATGGTGCCAGCTGAGTAGTGTCTTGTCCAGCCACTTGTTGGCTGTGCTGTACATGCATACACACACATGCACACACACACACACACACACACTTCATTGATCCTCTCATTCATATCCTTATTCAAAAATAGCAGTTGTGCCTACATTTCACCTACTACATTACAATTAAATTGCATTTTCTTATTAGTGATTTGGGGCTTATATACCTTAATAAGTTAGGAGAGAATCTGGAAGCAAAACAGGTCCAACAAGGGTTTCTTTAGTTTAGATTCGATTTGTAGAAGTTCACCACTTAAAATTTGCTTATGTAGATAAGTGACCATATCTGAACATTAGTTTGCTCAATGGTAAAACAATGATAGAATTAGGAACCACTTAACATCCTTGGCAGGATATTTGTGAGGCTGTCAAAGATAATGCCGACGGCCAGGCTCATGCCTGCAATCCCAGCTACTTGGGAGGCAGAGGCAGGTGAAGAGCTTGAGTCCAGGATTTTTAGACCACCCTAGGCAACATAGCAAGACCCGATCTCTAAAAAATAAATTAAAAAAAAAAAATTAACCAGGCATGGTGGCATGTACATGTAGTCCCAGATACTCAGGAGGCTGAGGCAGAATTACCTGAGCCCAAGAGTTGGGGGCACTCCAGCCTGAGCAACAGAGCAAGACCCTGTCTCTTAAACAAAAAGATAATGTCTATGAAGGTTCTTAGGTAAGTTCATACTAACTTACCAAGAGAAGGCAGCTTTAAGGCTGCTTCTTTTTTTATTTTTTGAGACAGAGCCTTGCTCTGTCACCAGGCTGGAGTGCAGTGGTGCGATCTCGGCTCACTGCAATCTCCGCCTCCCAGGTTCAAGCAATTTTCCTGTCTCAGCCTCCCGAGTAGCTGGCACTTGCTTGGATGGTTTCAATCTCATGTTATCTAATTTTTTTGTATTTTTAGTAGAGATGGGGTTTCACCGTATTGGCCAGGATGGTCTTGGTCTCCTGACCTTGTGATCCACCCACCTCAGCCTCCCAAAGTGCTGGGATTACAGGCGTGAGCCACTGCGCCCGGCCAAGGCTGCTTCTTTTTCAGTGTTCGAACATTAAAATTCTAATCATATCGGGTATTTGTTCCAATACAACCCCTGTGTAGTGTAATATCTCCTAAATTTTAGGCTCTCAAAGAGAAGTTTAGTGAGCTGTTCCTAGAGCCAAGACTTATCTGTAGCCCTGGAAGTCATGATAGACAGGACAAATGTGGGCCCATGACACGGTACTGACACTAGGAGGTAAACATCACATGATGTCACGTGTGCGGAATATAAAATGTGAAAGCCAAGTCATTTTTTAACCCTACCTGTCATATGTTAGGCCCTTTGTTAATGTGCTCTGCCAAGATGGGGTCTTTACTACTAAAGAGACATAGAAAATTTGGACTAGGTCCAGAGGAGAACATGACAATTATTAATGACTTAGCCAAAGGACCTCTGAAGAAAAGTCAGAGAAACTCAGAACTTTCCAGAGAAGACTTACATTTATCTTCACAGTTTAAAAGTGGGTAATTAAGCATTAAGAAATACAAAACCAAGACAAGCTGTCTAACTGTTAAAGTTGTCAAACATTAGAAGAAGTTTCCAAGGGATCGTGTGGAATCTTATCTAGAGGTGACTAAGGGTTTGATGGTCTTTTGCTTGGAAGGTTTCAATCTCATGTTATCTCAAGTCATGGGCTTAAACTCAGGGACCTCTTGAGGCCATTTGCAAAAAGAGTGGTCTGGTTTACCTAAAAGAGGTGTTCATTGCCTGTGTCAGGCTTAGAGCTGAAACCGGAATGATGGAAATTGAGATTCTAATTTTTTCATTCTGGTAGCCAAATTTTGATTCACTTAACATAACTTGTTGAAATAAAAACCCACCCAGTATAAAACAAAATCATTTGGCTATTCAATTTTGGTTTCTGTTTTCTTCTGAAAGATGCTCTATTCGATGCCCTACACATACTTGCTGTACTTACTCCGAATTTACCCCATACCTCCTTATATCTGAACCTTTTCTTATGTTCTCCTTTCCCCAGGAGATGACTTTGTTCACCCTTTCCACCTGTTGTTAAAATACTATGATTTTATTTTCTACTCCTCAAGGACAATTCGATTGGCATTTCCTCCAAGGAAACTTTCTTAATTCTCTACTTCCACTCTGTTGGGACTAATCTCACTCATTTGCATATATGGGAGTATGGCTTCGATAGCTCTTTGTATCTTTGTTTTACTTCTACTTTTAACAATAGATGCTCAATTATTTATTTTCCTTCTTGTCTAGGGAGAAAGTTCCTTGAGGACAAGAAAAAATGATTCATTTTTCTATTCCCCATAGGGCCATGCATTTAATAAATTCTCAGGAATTATTCTCCACAATGATTGACATTATAAGCCCTTGTACATTCTTTTATTCATAACTGGAATATTGTCTCTTATCCCAAGAAGAGTAATGTGTTTTTCTTCCTCAAAACTCTGCCCAGGACTTATACCTTCAATTATAATTTTCCAAATTAATCCTACTGAGACAATGATTCACATTATTCTAGACTCGAAACCAAAATCTGTATTGGTTAGCTATAGCCATATAACAAATTACCTCCAAAACTTTGTGACTTAAAATTCTTATGATCTCACAGTTTCTGTGGGTCAGGCATCTAGGCATGGCCTCACTGATTCTCTGCTTCATTGTCTCTCACAGGCTGCAATTCAGGTGCTAGCCCAGGGCTTGCAGTTTCATCGGAAGCCTCAACTAGGGAAGGATCACTATGTAGTTGTTAGCAGGATTCGGTCTCTGGAGGGCTTTTGGCTTGGCAGGTAGGTAGGCGTTCCCCACACCTTGCAACATGGGCCTCTCCAATATGGCAACTTGCCTCAACGAAACCACTATGAGAGAGGATCTCTAGAATCTAGAGGTTATACCATACCATTCCCATCCTATTGACTGGTTCTCAAAACACCTTGGATCATATATGATATTTGAGGCTGAGGAAAACCAATTCTTCTCCCTCTGTAATTCACAATTCCGTAATTCTGTAATTTTAATGCAGAAAGCATGTTTGACAAAAGTCAAGTAAGTTTGCGAAATGCAACAAATTATATATTCTTGGAGAAGTTGCACAAAATGAATGCATGTATTAAAAGCTTTGTAATTACATTTCCATGGCCAAAGTACCTGTTTAACTTTCTTTTCCAGGGTTTTTCAAATGTGCTTGGCAACGGATCCCTCTGACACCTTGCAAAACTAGTATTCTTCAGAATGCACTCACATAAATACAGTAATTATTAGGTTGGTGCAAAAGTAATCACGGTTTTGCCATTACTTTCAATGGCAAAAAAGCAATTACTTTTGCACCAACCTAATAACACGATGATAAGTAATCACTTCTTGGAAAGTACCCAAAACACAGAAAAGCTGAAGGTGCCTGGATGCCGTCTTCTTTCATGTAAGCTACCTAGGAGAACAGAACAGAAGACTGAGTGGGACACTTAGAAGCAGGCACTACTGTGCAAATTCCATAAAGGCAAGGATCTAGTATGAAGTGGTTTGTGTGAGTTCAACACACAGGTGAATCTAGGCAGGTACGAATCCAGCCAAGGAGCTACATTATGAGTCTTGTTCATGTAACTTACTTCAAATAGGTAAATCATTAACATGCCTCTTATAAACCTAGGTCATAACCCTATCACTCTCCTTCCCCCCTAGTCTTAGGAAGGTCAGTGGGTATTGACGGAGGGAGAGGAAAAAAGAAAGAAGTCAGATTGCAATTATACTACTGTTGCTTATTGTATAGAGAAGTGAAGATCAGGACTGTTTCTCTGATTCAAATAATCCCAAGATAAAACGGGGAAGGGGAGTTGAGTTGGGGGGAAATTTTGCCATCAAGCACTTCTAGCAGAGGACGGAAATGTGTTTCAGACAGCTATGAAACCTGCTGAGCTATGACCAACTGCCCAACAACCACCGATTTTATTCTCTAGTGAGACTTCATCTCTTATTTCTCCAAAGTACAGTATTAATAAATTGTTCTGGAAAACATCAAAGTTATTTGAAAAGGTCCATAATGGCATATTATTTCTTTATGCAAAATGGCTGTTTAACAAGATTGCCTCCTTGAACTTTTCACATGAATAGGAAAGCCAATCTCATTTGCTAATGGAGGCTTTACGGCAGATCCTTTCCTTGCCCTTGTCTCTCTTTACCATTATTTTATGGATAATAATTTACAATTTGTGTAAGCTACGGGGAAAAATACCCTAGAGCATAGGGTGACATTCTCAGAGCTGCCATATGGCGTGGGCATCCCAAAGGTACATTTTAAGGAAGCCAGCCCTGGTGTTGTTGGCAGTTTGAAGGGAGGTGGAGAAGGGCAGGTAATATTTGCTACTGAGGTGAGACCAGGGCTACTTCATCAGCTCCCAGCCTCTGCTCGAGAGATGCCAGTCGTAAGACAGTTTGCGTTGGTTCTTGTTAAGAAGGCAATGAATTCCTAAGGAAGCAATTGCACCCTTCGTACTCATGATTTCAGCACAGCGAGGATGATGTGGGTAATTAGGCTGTTGCTGCTATTGATTATTCAAGTGAATAGGAGAATAGGCCGGATGAGAGAATGAACAGTGGAAATATCTCAGTGAGAAGAAATGTGCCAGATGGGAGCTTGCACAGCACTCAGACACAACCCACCCAAGGATGGGCATCGGGCAAGAACCGGCTGCTCTTTCTGGAGTTTGGCCTCCTGTTGACATCATAGGAAATGTTGAATGTTCTCTATTTGGGGAATTCCTGTGCAATCTTATGTTAAATGGATGAATTCCCTCTGGGCAGCAAACAAACATGTTTTCAATTGCTTTTTGGAGGGGAAAGAGAAAGAGGTTGTAGGAGGCAGTCCAGGTTCCCTGGATAGGAAGAGAAAAAACAAAAGGAGAATTGAACTGCGCAGGCCATCATAAGACAGGAAAATAGAAGAACGCTAAGAGGTTATGGAACTTAATTTGTTTTCAAAAGTGATGTTATGAGTATTTAAATGATCTTTGGGATATAATTTTGGGGGAAGTATATAACACAAAAGATAAGTCATTTATTTTGGTTTTGGTTCTTCTAGGCACAAGTATAGAGTAACTAAAAACAACATTTGGACCCAAGGAAGGGGTTACACATTTATTAGTTTGTTAAGATTTTCATTAGGATAAGAAAGAGTAATTACTTCTGCTATAAAACTCACTTTTATTCATGAATGAGTACAAAGGTATTGGGGGAAAAAAACAATTTTAATGATGTTGACTGTGACTTTACCCACATTGGAATAATTGTTATTTAACCTCTCGCTTGCCAGACTCTATGTTCAATACAATCCTTTCCAGCAGAGACCACCCTGTGACTGTGAGGAATTGTAGGACTTCTGAGACTTCCCTGGGAAGGAGCCAAAGAGACAGAAGATGTTTCTTTGCCACAATTTATTTTAGAGGATTTGATACTTCTTCAAGATTAGCATGATGTAAGAATGCCAAATCAAAAAAAAAAAAATCAGAAAGCAAAAGATGACTTTCCTTATTCAATCAACCTTTATCCTTTGTCCTTGAATTAAGAATTAAAACAGAAAATGGGCAGGCTCAGGAAACCTTGAGTGGTGTGTATGTGTGTGTGCATGTGTGTGTGTATACAGCCAGAAGGAACTTTCTAGCAGACAGAAAAGACTGGATGTACCTAATGGTGATGAGGAAACCCATCAAAATGTCTGGTACCATCAAGTGATGATCAAGATGACTGTGTATCTGCATCAGAAAGGCTAATCTCCATGTGATTAACCAGGTAGATGAACGTTGACTGAGATTTATTCATCAAAACAACAAAATCGCCAGGCATGATTTTTGAACTGTGTTTTATCTATTCCTATCATCAAAAAGCACCAAATCACCCATCCTATTGGTCAGAACAATCATCCAAGTTAATTCAAATATTTATTCAGCACCTCCTATGTGCAAGGCTTTGTAATAACCAACCACTGTGAATAATGTAAAACTAAATAAGACCTACTTGCTTCTAGTTGCTAAAAATGTATGAATATTCTACCAGAGGAGAACTTTAAAATATTATTCCCATGGTGGGAGTACCTTGCATTACATGGTAGAGACAGCCCTGGAGAGTTTCTGTGAAAACGGTCACAAACAGGATGACATTTTGAATGTTCTAGAAAAGTCATCACTTTTAACAAAATCATAAGCTGTCTTGTATAAGGTAATGAAAAGAGGGGGCAGAAGAAAGAAAGAGAAAAGAAGAAAAAAGTTTTGTGAGTTCTAGTAGTCTGTGACTTGCAATTTTTGAATTTTGTACTTATTTAAAAGAGGGCACTCTTGCCATGCAGTGAAATACCATTTTTTAAACAAACAGCATAATATATCCACACTTTTTATAGAAAATATGTAATATAAACTTTGCCTTTTCACAAATGGCAAAAAACAAACAATCAAAAATGCCCCCTTACAGTGTTTACCACAAAGACACCTCATGAAAAGCAAAAAAGATTCCTCTTTATGGAAGATAATTTGTAGTGCATGGTGTTGTAAAGAAAATTTCCAATACTTTGCCCATTTAAAGAAAATGTCTTTTGTTCATTATGTTGGACAGTGCTTTCATCTGGTACGGTTAACAAGATAAAGACATCAGGATACATTTACAATCTTGTCTTAAGAAATGATATTTGTTTAAAAAATATTTTTTTCTCATAAAATAAATGTGGAAACATTAAAAATGTAATTTAAATGATCTTTCTTTGCAGTAATCTAATAATGTAGTTCCTTGACATAATGCTAATTTATATTGTTACAGGCTTTAAAAAAGACATAAAGAACAAGCAAACATTTATTGGCTTCAGTTGATGTATATGTATATAATGCAGTATACAGATATGAAGGTTCATGAAAAAGTTTTAATGGGAAAAAATATTAGAATGTTTTCTTTTCATTTATTCTGATGGGCTATGAAGGTCAAAGAGAGATCAATCCACAGAGGCCAGTAAAGTTAGGAGTAATTTAATTAGGGTTGTCTTGATCTGAAATATCATCTAATCCACTTATTGCTAGTGGGGAAATATGCGTATCTCTATTTGTCAAAAGTGATTATGTACTTCTATAACCTGCAAAGAATTATACCACGAACTCCATGAAGAAGACAGCCATGTAGAAAAATTAAGCTGTCCATATCTAATGTCATGCTCAGTATTTCTTAAAATAGTGGTGACATTTTTTCTTTCTCTGAAAAACTATATACCCTAACAACCACAAAAGGTCAGTGAAGAAGTATTTAGGTACCTTTCCTTGCCACTTAAAGGAAGCCAACTTATCACATCCACACAGATGATATTGTGTGGTCTTTGGGTCTCTCCAGGTAGCTTACATTTCAAGTGTCACTTGCTGTTGTCATAGGAACCACTATGCAGGAGAAAGGCCAACGTGATTCACCAACCCCAGTGACCCTACCCAGGGCAGTCCAAGAGATAAGAACTTATATCAAATGAAATGTATGGGATGCAAGGCTGAATGGAGAACTTGGGGCTCCCTGGAAGCTTGCTGGTGCACCACAGCAATCAGGCAAAGCAAAGCTCTCGTTTGCCATGTCCACAGGACCAAACGTGAGTGGCAGCCCTAAAGGACTGTGACAGTCACCTGGGTGTCTCAGCCCTGAGGCTATGCAACTATGGTGGACCAAATGCATCTGCCTGTTACTCCATCTGAGAGTCCCAAACGCTACTTGTAGCAGGGCACTGTGAAATGGCTTCTGATTTATGCTTCTCACAGAAGCCCTTATAATTTTTTCCCCTCAGCTTTCTTTGTAGACACCAAATCCACAGAGAAGCTGACAAGAGAAATTATAATTAACAGTTAATAAATAAGCCTCCTTCGCAAGGAAAATCCCTTATTCCCAAAGGCTTCTGGATGCTTTAGTGACTAATTACAGAAGCAGTCCTGTCACCTGTGACCTTGCACTGAGACCTCTCATTATAAGGAAGGCTTCACAAAGTTAAGTCAATTTGTTCCAGGAAAATGGAGTTTATGTAAAAATCTTGACTCTGCCTGTAAGAGTTTTCAAAGTGCAGGTATACGTTGCCTAGAGTTCAGCTCCAAATGAGGTTGGAGGTTTTTATTAAATTATCTCCATTTTATTGTTTTCCTAAAATTTGGAAACCTCTAACTGAATATAAGATTAGCCTTACCTTGTTTTTTTTGTTTGTTTGTTTGTTTTTGTTTTTTGTTTTTTCCAGCCCTATGTGGGGTAGAAAGGAAATGAGGGAAGGGAAATGAGGTCTGGGTTTATTGAATAACAACCCCTCCTTTTTTTTTTTTTTTTTTTTGGTGAGATGGAGTCTCACTCTGTCGCCCAGGCTGGAGTGCAGTGGTGCAGTCTTGGCTCACTGCAACCTCCACCTCTGGGGTTCAAGTGATTCTCCTGCCTCAGCCTCCTGAGTAGGTGGGATTACAGGCGCCCACCACCACACCTGGCTAATTTTTGTATTTTTAATAGAGATGGGGTTTTGCCATGTTGGCCAGGCTGGTCTCAAACTCCCAACCTCAGGTGATCCACCTGCCTCGGCCTCCCAAAGTGCTGGGATTACAGGCATGAGCCACAGTGCCCGGCCTGAACAACAAACAACCTTCTGAATGGATCTCACCAGAGACTTTTCTGACAGGTTGGTAGTATGGTCTAACTTCAAGTCTGCATTTCTTTCACAGTCCTGAGACCCAAAAGGCCAAGTTTTGTAAAAGTTTAGAAACCTTGTAAAGATGTAGAACTTAAGAAAAAAAAAATGAACAAAGAAGACAGTATTTAAATGGCAACAAAGAAGAGAAGCTGTTAAGCATTTCCCATGATTGGCTTCAAATGGAGCAACCAGAGCTGAACAGAATTTGGGGGTTTCATGTTGAGTTCCAGATTGCCATATGGGTTCAGATGCAAGTTAAAGTCAATGAGTTGGCTACTTTTCAAATCAGATACATGACAATTTGGTAGGAACACAGGGGTGGGTTTAAAAAATAGACTTTAATTAAAGATCACCGCATGTTTTCCACAGCTTTCCCGTGTTTAGGATTGGCAAGCCCACGATGAGTCCACACTAATGACCATGGACAGAAAGAAAAATACTTGTTTCTCATGTTTTTATAACACTATTTATAGACTTCTCTTAGGGTGCTTATAATTTTATGGTAAAAAGAGTTTGAGATTTGGCATCTAACAGACCCGGTTTTAAATCTCAGGCCTCTATTTACTGTGGGACATGGTCAAGCTGTTTAACATCTAAGCGTCCTTGGTGCTCCCGTTACCTATTGGCGCATAACAAAGAAACCACACCAAAACCTAGAGATAAGACAACAACGATTTCATTATGTTCATGGATTCTGAAGATCAGGAATTCAGTCAGACCATAGAGAGGATGGCTTGTCTCTGCTTCACAGTGTCTGGGGCCTCAGTTGGAGAGACGAAATATACAAGGTGTTGGAATCGCCTGCAGGCTTTACCTCTCACGTGTCTGGGACCTGGGTTGGGTTGAATTCAGTGGAAGGCTGGCTCAGCTAGCGCTGTCACCCGCAGCATCTAGAGATGCCCAGGCTCCCTCACACCATGACAGCCTCAGGGCATCCAGCCTCTCCCATGACGATTCAGGGTTCTAGGAGCAAATGGCCCAATGACCAACACAGAAGATGCATGGCCTTTTAAGACACCCTGGTGTTCACTTAGTGTCACATATGCTGTACTTGGCTGATATGCTGTACCTTATTGATCAAAGCAGTCACAAACCTGCCCAGATGAAACCGGAGAGAATACAGTCTCCACCTCTCAAAGGGAGTATCAAAAAATGTGTGTCCAGGTTTTAAAACCACCAATATGACAACCTTATAGGAATGCTGTGAGAATTAAATGGAAAAAAAAATCCGTAAAACACTATTGTAGGACCAGGGAATGTGGGAGGCACACTTAGCTAAACGTTTACTGGTCTGTTGTCAGTTACAGGCCTCAGATTATAAATTAATGTACTTTTGGGAATCTTATAGGGGGCAATAATCCCTAAGGTAGTTTATTAAGGAATATTGTTTATGCCCCAAAGCACTTAAAGAACGTGCCTTGGAATTGCTGACAAATTATAATTTGGACATTGATATTGATAAATGTGCCAAAGCAATGATTTAATCTCATGAATATATAACTGCACAATTCTCTTCTAAAGCACTGGGCTCTCTTATTGTTGCTTATCAGCATCATTTGCTTAGAGTCTTGAGATCACAACTTTTCCTTAAGTTTTTTTGGCCGTTCTTGTTAAATCCACACTGCCTGACATGGTGCAAACCAATGAAAGGAGAGGTTAGACATGGGAATGCTGCCGGCCAAAATGAGTTTGCACAGCTGTGAGCAATAAAATACAGCCTCCATGGCAACCCTCTCCTGCGTCCCGATAACACATCTGAAATGAGGTTATTAGAATTATTAATTCACATTAGTGGCTATTAAAATTACTACCTGCGGATCTGCCATCTGAAAACTCTTTTTGTGTGTGTCAGAAGAAGGCCCTGTCTCCAAAAGGATCTGGATACTTAAATAGATGCAATCTATTGTACGTAGGCATTCGAGGAAGACCAGCAGATAATAACGCTCATGGTGAGATCAGGGTAGCCATCTTGTGAAGAAAAAAAAAAAAAAAAGCAAATGTGACACTTTGTTCTTGTGCTGATGGCAAAAGACCAACCAGGCTCTGATGGCAGAAATGGTAACTGGACACCCCCGCGTTCCCTGGAAGATACTACTTAAAATTCAACCCAGTGTGGGCTGTTGCATGAAATTCTGAGTGGCCTGTAAAATATTCTACCTTTGTGAGACATAAACAAAATCAGGAGAAATCAGCCGAAAATGGAAGCCATTTGTAAGGAGGTTGTGGGGATTCTCAGAGAGCCCACGGAGACTTGGCTAACTCCCTTCCATCCCCCATTAACTCAACTCCAAAAGCAGATGCCTGCTGTTTTCAGCAAAAGAAGAAACCCCATTACAAAGAGGCCACGGCAGGAATTAATCAGGGGAGGCAGCTATACAGCTGAGAAAGAACATTTTATTTATGGAAATGAACAGGAAAACACACACATACACAAGGGAAAGAAAACATACAGGTATAGACAAGTAACTATGGCAGTGAGGCCGGAGCAGCCTCCCCTTCCTCCAGCCGACCAGTGCCATCTGTGGGTGGGGAGTGGGCATCCTCAAGAGCATTTTCTTGGGGACAACAGTCCCCCCATTTGTCTGGAGCAGGAAGGAACCTGATCTGTCACACACAGGGTCAAAGAAATAGAATGCACGTGTAAGAGGACTGCTGCCCATTTTGAATTTTATTCATGTAAGTAAGAGGAGGACACTCCTCATTTCTGCCTTTTTGAGCCAACTCCTCTGATTTCTTTACCCACTCAAAGGCAGTCAGCCATGGGCCCAGGCATGCCGGTCACCAGCCACCAGTCCCAGCTTTCCTGCACACTGCCAAAAAAAGGGAGTATTTTATCACCTCTGAGCAAAACACCAGTTACCAATTGCCAGGGTTCTAGCTAAGCCTGTGCTGAGTCCAGAGGAAGCAGGTGAGGGAGTTGAGATGACCCACGCAGAGCTCTGCTGTGCTATGGGCATCTCCAGCGACCTCATTCCCAACCAGAGCTTCACACACACCATCTACAGAGGGCTTGAGTGTCGCTTCCAAGTTCTCAGGGCAGGCTGAGTCATACTGTTCAGAAGTCAGAAATGCTGAAATTGCTGGAACATTCCTATGGTTTGTGGGAAGACTTGATAATATATTTGAAATCAAGTGTGGCTTAGAAAACCAGAAGGTATATTTGCCCAAAGAGGTCACACACAGAGACCTTCCCAAATAGGAGATGATCTTCAGGGAATCGTTACCTCCCACCCAAAGAGAAGAGCCTCCATGAGATTTTCTAGGAATAGATGCCAGATCTTTGCTCTCTGCAGAGTATATATCCCTATAATTCAACTCTATTTAAAATTCCACTCCACCCAGTAATTAGCTATTGAGTACTTTCTTCATCCCAGACCTATGCTACCTGTCATGGAGGAAAAAAATTTTTTTTTTAATAAATAGCAGTTGTTTTTAGTATTTTGAAATCATAATCCCTGAAAATCCTTACCTCCTGGCAAAAATGCCACACCTCGTATGGAACAACATTAAAAAAGATTTTTGAGAGGAATAGCTGCTGAAATATTTGGGCATTAAGATAGCTCGATCTTTCATTTGGCTTAATTTTCAAAGTTATCTGGCTTTCTTAATGACTTAAAAATAATGATTTTTCTTCCTGCTTACAAAGTAATTCAAATTTAAAATAAGGCCACAGCATGCAAGTAGAAAATGAACACCATTCAAGAAATCACCACCTGCTGGGACCCCCTTGAGTCTTTTTCCCCGTATATATGTGGAGAAGAGGGTGACGGAGAAAAGGGGGTGGAGGTTAATGGAGGTAAACAGATTTGTTTCTCTTGATGATCTTCAAATCTTGCTTTTCTCTCTGGATCAGTATCTGGGACATTTATTTAAATTCCAGCATCCCCAGGCCCCCACCATGAGACCCAAATGGTTATTTTCTTGAATCTCAGAAATGTTTGATGCCGCTTCAGCAATAGGCTTGCGCATCTGTGCCTCTTGAAGCTATCTATTATGTTCACTTCTAGATTATTGATCATTTTATTTATCAATTCCCTGCTCATATGAACCTCTAGTCCTAGTACACAAATCAGAATCAGGAACTTCCCTTCCTGTGGAATCTTCTTGCATCGATTCTGCCTTTAGCTGCTGATAAGAATAGGATAGGGGTTGCCTTTGTTTCTCCAGAAAAAGGAGAGGTGGCCCTGGCCATCTGGGTGTCATTTACTCCAAACATTTACCTCTGATTCTCTAGACATTTCGCCCATTTTCTTTTTCTTTCTTTCTTTCTTTCTTTCTTTCTTTCTTTCTTTCTTTCTTTCTTTCTTTCTTTCTCTTTCTTTCTCTCTCTCTCTTTCTTTCTTTCTCTCTCTCTCTTTCTTTTCTTTCTTTCTTTCTTTTCTTTCTTTCTTCTTTCTTTCTCTCTCTCTCTTTTTCTTTCTTTTTATTGGGTGGGAGAGGGGGCTGAGTCTCATTCTGTCACCCAGGCTGGAGAGCAGCGGTGTCATTTTGACTCACTGCAACTTTAGTCTCCTGGATTCAAGCGATTCTCCTGCCTTAGCCTCCCGAGTAGCTGGGACTACAGGCATATGCCACCATGCCCAACTAATTTTTGTATTTTTAGTAAACACGGGGTTTCACCATGTTGGCCAGGCTGGTCTCAAACTCCTGAACTCAAGTGATCCACCCACCTCGGCCTCCCTAAGTGCTGGGATTATAGGTGTGAACCACTGCTCCCAGCCTCCTCCATTTTCTTTGCAGCGCTTGTCTATTTCTTCTCATCCTTTCTTCCTCTGTCACACTGTTTTCACCACTTCCTCTGTACTTTCAAAATCAGCCCTCTGTTTGCCTTGCCCAAATCTTGTCTCCCTTCTATTCTGCCTTCCCTGTAGTTATTTGTAAAGTTTCATTCGTGTTGACATGTGAAAATTCTGACTTTTGTCCTATGTTGTATCTGTGAGCTCTCCTTATCCTCCCCATTATCTCCTTACTATAATCACCAAAGATTTATTCCTTTAATTTATAAAAAGCAGATTCTACAAGCCTCATGAATCAACCGAATGCTCTGGAAGGTACACAGGTGTAGAGGCACTGAAAACAAAATCTGGATGATACAGCCGTCTGCTAAACTCCCAGGTAATCGTACTCATGTTCTTCATGTTTTCACCTCCAGTGAAATTTGGCCCTGAAGACATTTCTTCTACATTTGTGGAGTAAACGGAGTCATCCCATGGGTATAGCAATCCCCTCTGCCCTCGATTTCCTAGACACATCCTCCCCTAAGTCTTGACTTTTAAATGTTTCTCCTCATACATCAAATAACCAACCTAAAAATGAACCCTGTTTGTTTCCTTTTTAAGACACCTTCTTTCCCTTCCTGACTGTCAATAACACCTCCCCGCCTCCCAAACCTGGGGGCTTGCAATCATCTATTATTCCTCCATTTCCTCCTCTGGCCACACTCATTCCCACGGGACCCTCACTCCACTTCCTGAACAGAAATCTTACAAACCGAGTGCTTTCTTTCTCACTTCCACTGTGTCTCTAGTTTAGGCTGAAATAATTTCCTGCTGAATCTGGATAGGACTCCAGCTTCCTCCTCCTAACTCTCCTGCTTATCTCTTCTCATTCTTAGGAATCTAAAAAGCTCACTATCAAAATTATTTTCTTTTCTCAGCCCCTGCCATACTCTTCACCCCCTCAGATGTATTCCATTCATGTGGGTTTTTTTTTTTCTCTTTTTGATTTCCAGATGGATTTTTCATCTCTCAATATAAAATTCAGCGTTTCACAATATTTGTGTGACCCTCCTTTTTATATAAAATGCTTTATATCACAGTATCTGGGTAACCTACCTTTTTATCTCATCTTCTGCTACTCTTTATCCTCCATACCCACCTTGCTATTAGCAACTGGCTCTCACAGACCTCCTATGACGGTGTCTTTAACTTCAAGATTCATTTCATTTTAATGCTTTTTTTTTTTTTTTTTTTTTAGATGGAGTCCCGCTTTGTCGCCCAGGCTGGAGTGCAGTGAGACGATCTCAGCTCACTGCAACCTCCACCTCCCAGGTTCACACCATTCTCCTACCTCTGCTCCCGAGTAGCTGGGACTACAGCCGCCCATCACCACACCAAGCTAATTTTTTATATATATATTTTTTAGTAGAGACGGGGTTTCACCATGTTAGCCAGGATGGTCTCGATCTCCTGACCTCATGATCTGCCCGCCTCGGCCTCCCGAAGTGCTGGGATTACAGGCGAGAGCCACCGTGCCCAGCCCATTTTAATGCATTTTAACTTAAGGCTTGAGCACTATGTTGTACAGATCCTATGCACTATACATCCCCTTCCGGAACAGTTTTGTTACAAATAACAAAGAAAGATGCGTTAGACTTTGTTACTACATGGCAAACGATTTCTAAACACTTCTTGTTTTGAATCACGACAAGCCTGGCCACAAGACATCATGGTTACAATTACATTAAGAATACTTTATGACCTTGGACATGAAATGGGAAGTGGGACAGCCCTAGAGTAGCCTTGAGGAAATGTTGTGTTCTGGAAACTGCTGTGGGGAAAACATGAAACATTTCCTAAGACCCAGGTAAAAGCAGAAACAAGAGAAAATCTGCCTCAGCTGTTTCCCAGGGAGTTTTCATGCACTGAAAACCATGAGTGTCTCTGTGCTCACTTAATGGAGAAGGTGCTTGGAGACCTTGGGATAATTTGTCTAACTTTGATGGAGTTGGATTGGTGCCTGATTGAAGCACAAGGACTGTGGGCCCGGCAGCCTGCTTTCTGAATTCTCTCCCTTGGTCTTGGATATTGTCTTGGTGGTGTTTGCAATAATACTTCAGCTGGAAGATCATTTTGGATCTTATAACTACAAAACCCTGTCTAACTTTAAAACTCTTGTATTCATAATAATCAATATGGTGCATTGACTTTCTCCCCACCTCTTAGGTATTATCGTGTCCTTTAATGCAAAGATGCATCAAAATGGCTGATGCTGTACATCCGTCACGATTTAATGCTCTTGTTTTAAATGTGACTTCCTGGAAGAGACTGTTCGAATGCTGCCCCAAGCTGGTCCCCCTCAGACCACTCCTGGGAACTCTGTCACAGTTGCTTGCACGGTTTTACCTCTTGGATTTTAATACATATTAGCAAAATCTAAATGAGATTTTTTCATTGAGCTAATTTCAATTTCTTCCTTAAGATAGGCAGGAAAAGCAGCATGAGGTTTTGCCAGCTGCAGCTTCAGCGCTTTGATGGAAGGATGCAAGCTCACTCTTTATCTCTTTATGGATCACAAAGGCCTGGACTAATTAGTACTTATTAGAAAGCCGATTAGAAATACATTTTATTTCTCCATGTGGTGTAAATGGAACATGCCGAGGCTGGCTGTGGACGGAGATGTAGTCTACAGTACTATTGCAGACGTGGGGCCTGCAGAGCTCCACATGTACAGTTGGGGACGTTCACCAGATAGCTCTGGGAGCATGAGATTCTCTTTCTTTAACCCTAACAGGATCCAATGCTATGCAAGTGCTAGTATCTACATGCTTTGGACAATGAATACCTTTTCCTAATTTTGATCTACTATTCCTTCTATATTTGATCTAATTTCTTTTCTATTGCATTTCCTTTTCATTCTCATTTTCTTCATTCTCAACCTGGTACATTCTGGATTTTGTTTAATTGATGACAGACACCAACACTTATACACATGCATCATCTATTTTTGAGAACCCTCCATCTTCTTCTCTAAGAATCTCCCTATTCGGTTATCCAAAAGTACACAATTAAGGTTGATATATCTCCCCTACCCCTTTAGACATTCCATCCTATACTGACCTTAGCTGTGCTCCTAATTTTTTCCCAAAGAGTCTGCTGACAATTAACTTAGCTGATGAATGCAAAGAATGTAGGTACATATTCCTCTACAAATTTTCCGTTCACCCAATAGATATTAGAATGCTAATGACTATTAAATATACAATTTATTATATATCCTAAGTATGCATGTATGTATCCATCCATCTGTCCATGCATCCATCCATCCATCGATCATCCATCCATCATCCATCCATCCATCCACCATCCATCCATTCATCCGTCATCCATCCATCCATCCTTTATCCATCTATCCATCATCCATCCAACTAGCCACTATCCGTTTTTTCTCCTATATACAAATTGTAATAGCAACCTATCTCCTTATTTGGCTTGGGAGATTGAGAGTGAGATGCCTTTTCCCGTGAAATACTTTCTTTTGATTCAGACTCAAGTACGTAAGCCATTTCTGGCCCTCCACTCATGACAGGAATCTGCAGGCATTTATATATGTGCCACCTCTCTTGTTATTAGACTAAATGCTTCTTACTAGCCAGCACTGTGCCCATTTTGAAATGGTTATCATAAGCTCAGTAATCTCCATGTGGACAAAAGATAGTTGCTAATTGTCCAAAGTACTTGCTCAGGAACTCAATTCTGTGCCACTGTTACTGCTGAGCTGACTAAGCCATTTGCTCACCTACTTTTTTATATTGTACAGTTTGGGGCCTCCCCTGAGTTATTCTGAAAGCCACAACTGCAACTCCTTGAATTGCTTTCACTGCTCATATTCTGTATGGCTTTGTCTTATTTTAGAATCTTACATCATTAGCCTTCACCTGCCTGTGAGCTTACGCAAAATTGGCCTAGTTTTCTGGGTCCCCATTTATGGTTATCCAAAATCAAAAGAAACCTTTAGCACAGAAAAGTCTAATAAAGACACTACATTTACATTTTATCCTGTATTATGGCTCCCTTAGTGTGTGTGTGTGCAGTAGGGCAGAATTTCAAGGCTTGTGACTAAATAAAAATGCCCAAGAAATTTCATTACCCATAAAGTACAAAATAAACAAATGTCCAGAGAAAGGGAACATTCCTTATGCTTCTAACATTGCCTTCAATGCACTGGCTACTTGGGTGACATTTACACTGCTATTTTCTTCTAGTTTTTCCACGAGATTTGCTTCATCCCCTCTTTTAATGGGCATCTCCCTGGTATCAATTTGTTATTATAAGTAGAGCTCCATTACAGATTTCTTTCTGTAAAAGGAGCCAAGCGAACACAGGGAACTTCGTGTGTCCCTAAAATCAACTCCTCCTTTTCATACCAGAGCATTATGGTGTGCTTTTATCCCCCGTATATGTCTTCCTTTTGACAACTAAGGTTTTGTGTCCATCCGGTGTGGTTCATGAATCTTTGATTCATTGAAAGAAAAAAAGCTGGGACTAGATTTTTTTAAATATAATTTCAACTTCTATTTAGATTCAGGGAATACATGTGCAGGTTTGTTGCATGAGCATATTTTGTGATGCTGAGATTTGGAAGATGAATGATTCCGTCACTCAGGTAGTGAGCATGGTACCCAATAGTTGGCTTTTCAACCTTTGTCTACCTCTCTCTCTCCCTTCTTTAGAAGTCCCTAGTGTCTATTATTTCCATCTTTATGTCCACGAGTACCCAATTTTTAGCTTCCACTTAAACATGAGAACATGCAGTGTTTGGTTTTCTGTTCCTCAGTTAATTTACTTGGGATAACGGCCTCCAGCTGCATCAACGTTGCTGCAAAGGTCATGATTTCATTCTTTTTTCTGACTGTGTAGTATTCCATGGTGTATATGCACCACATTTTCTTTATCTAATCCACTGTTGATGGGCACCTAGATTGATTCTATGTCTTTGATATTGAGTAGTGCTGCAGTGAGCATATGAGTGCAGGTGTCTTTTTGGTCAAATGATTTATTTTCTTGTGGATATATACCCAGTAATGGGATTGCTGGGTTGAATAGCAGTTCTGTTTTAAGGTCTTTGAGAAATCTTCAAACTGCTCTCCACAGTGGCTGAACTAATTTACATTCCTGCCAGCCATATATAAGCATTCCCTTGGATCTGCAGCCTCACCAGTATCTGTTGTTTTTTGACTCTTTCAGAATAGCCATTCTGGCTGGTGTGAGATCGGATCTCATTGTGGTTTTGATTTGCATTTCTCTGATGGTAAGTAATGTTGAGCATTTTTCCATGTTTGTTAGTGTTTGTAGGTCTTCTTTTAAGAAGTGTCTGTTCATGTCTTTTGCCTCCTTTTTATGGGGTTATTTGTTTATTTGTATCTTTGTTTTTTCTGTCACCCAGGCTGGAGTCCAGTGGTGTGATCACAGCTCACTGCAGCCTTGCACCCCTGGGCTTAAACAAGCCTCCCACCTCAGTCTCCTGAGTAGCTGGGACTATAGGTGCCTGCCACTACACCTGGCTAATTTTTTATTTTTTGTAAAGACAGGGTCTCGCCATGTTGCACAGGCTGGCCTCAAACTCCTGGCCTCAAGCAATCCACCTGCCTCGGCATCCCAGAGCACTGAGATTACAGGTGTGAGCCACTGCACTTGGCCTGGGACTAGATTTCTGAGTCACTCCTGAACCAAGGGTGTTTCTAGCATTCCCCTAGTCTCAAAACCATATAGACAATGTTTCAATAGAATCTAGATGTGTTTGCCACAGATCAAAAGTGCAATTCTTTGTGTTCTGAAAGACTCCAAGGCCTTTCAGCACTGAAATGCTCAACAGTAAGGTACCCAAGTGTACAACATAATTCATGTCATCCTTGAACATTAGATATTATTCATTCATTATTACTTTATTCCCAGCCAGGTTCCTTGTTGTTATACAGTTTGCTGATGCTATACTTTCCACACATATGTCTTTTTTCTTTTTCTTTTTCTTTTTTTTTTTTTTTTTTGAGACGGAGTCTCGCTCTGTCGCCCAGGCTGGAGTGTAGTGGCACGATCTCAGCTCATTGCAACCTCTGCCTCCTGGGTTCAAGCAATTCTCCTGCCTCAGCCTCCTGAGTAGCTGGGATTACAGGAGTGCACCACCATGCCTGGCTAATTTTTGTATTTTTAGTAGAGACAGGGTTTCACCATGTTGGCCAGGCTGATCTTGAACTCCTGACCTCAAGCAATCCGCCTGCCTCAGCCTCCCAAAGTGCTGGGATTTCAGGCGTGAGCCACCACGTCTGGCCCCCACACATATTTCTCCAGCCACATCTTCAGCTTTTGTCTAGTACTTTAAACTACCTCCTACCTCCATTTTAGTCAGTTCTGTGTCTATACAGTTGACTCTCTTTCCTATCTCTCATGCTTCAAGAAAGATCTGCAAATGTAATGCCTGTTCTCTTCTCACTGTCCTCTGTGGGGCGATTGCAGAGGGTATCCCAGGATTGGTAACCCAGCTCTTCCAGGAGCCTGCCTGGACCACAGAGGTTCACATTACCTCTGCTGTCTGGAGGAGAGGTAGCTCCTGAGATAACTCTGGCACTCACATTTGCACAGATTGTCTGAAAGCAGGGGTGGATTGTTAGAGACTTGTACAGCCTCCTGGAAACGGGTGCACTATCATTTTCTGAGTAACTAAAAATGTATTTTTGTTATTTATCAGATATCTAGCATGATTTAAATGTCTCCAGTTATAGGTTTGCTATCAAGAAGTTATGCATGTATGTCAATGCATTTTTAAAATGTTAATGGATGTGCACTTTTTAGAATTTGAAAATGGTAAGGAAGGGAGGTAATGTCTCAGAAAGATCACTTTGAGTTGTTTTTCCTGTCACCACTTCCTTCCTCACATTCCTGTTCTCTTCTGACCGTGGCCAACAGAAGTAAGTTCAGCTTCCCTGCCACATGGAGTCACAAACACCACTTCCCTATGGATACCATGTTAAACATGTGAGTCTGAGACAATTAATGATAAAATCTTCCCTAAATGTGCATGGTGTTGGTGTGCAGTTGTGCAACCTATCTGGAGCTATTTCTCCTTCCTTCCCTAAAAATAATTTCAAAAAAAAAATATTTATTCCAGCTTTCCTTTGTCATACACTTTCACAATTTCACCCTCCCCCTGCCCCCATCAGTTCAGTAATTTACAACAAAACCTCCTTCCTGTCCATCCAGCTGGATTACCTCTGGTCAATGCAATTACTCAGTAACATGCTAACAGCTTTTCTCCTTGGCCTCCTTATCAGTATTACTGCCAAGTTAACCCTCCTCTTACCATCCAGAATATGTCAGAAACTTTTCCACTTCTAAAGCTTACTCTATACCCTCTCAGCTGTGGAATCTGAATCACAACTAAAATGTTCATGATTCATTGGCAGGGTTTTGACATAGAAAGTTCCCATGACGGATGCGCCAGTGTGGGCAGCCACTGACTTCTCCCTTGAACCTCGTCCTAATGATGAATCAGCTTTCAGCTGCCTTGTGATGGGCGCTCTTCCTTCTCGTTGATCCTTCACTGAGCTGCTCTTCCCTCCATCAGCCAGTTTCTCCCTCTGAAACCTTAGAGGAATTAACTGATTAATTCAACTCACACCAGAGACTTCAACTTCTGAAATCAAATGTTTTCCCATCCTTGTTAGTTCTCCTTTTTCCTTCAAGCAGTACTTACCCTCCTGGAGTCTCTGGTACATCTTTTTCCTGGCATTTACTGGCTTATCCTGATAATAGCAGCAACGCCCATTCTGTTGGTGTCTGCACTCTTTCATGACATTCTTTACAAGCCCCAACCTCTCTGTGACTCTCCTGCAACCTTCTC
Source organism: Homo sapiens (assembly GCF_000001405.40). NCBI lineage: Eukaryota > Metazoa > Chordata > Mammalia > Primates > Hominidae > Homo > Homo sapiens. The sequence goes on along the minus strand of NC_000010.11, from coordinate 33,412,376 downwards.
TTACTCAACCCACCATGACTGTCTGCACTTGTTGTAGGAGCTGTCCCTCTCTTTTCCTCTTCCTTGCAGAGAGTGGCCATCCAGGTTCAGCCCAAGCACCTCTCAGATGTGCAGAAACTTGTGCAGAAGTATAAAACCTCAATATCATATCTGGACTTTGGAGGGAATGATATTTCTCATCCATCCAGAACCATTCACTTCTAAAATAGGCAGAGAAACTAAAAAGTAGTAAATATGAGTGACAAAAATATTCAGGACAAAATAAAAATAAAATCCCGTAAATACTACTTTAGAATGGGGGAGCAGAGTAGCAGTGAGCTGAGAACCATCTTTCTTCAGGAGAATGGGCAGGCCAGTGCTCTAACCACCTTCCTGCCTTCACCCTCACAGATGCTGGAATCTTCTGGCCATGTACTAAGGAAATTCCCCTAGTTTCTTTCCTGACAAATTTTTGCATTGCCAGTTATTTTTTTTTTCTTTTTTCTTTTTTTTTTTTTTTTTTTTTTGAGGCGGAGTTTCTCCCTTATCGCCCAGGCTAGAGTGCAATGGCGCCATCTCCGCTCACTGAAACCTCTGCCTCCTGAGTTTAAGCAGTTCTCCTGCCTTAGCCTCCCAAGTAGCTGGGATTACAGGCACCCTCCACCACGTCCAGCTAATTTTTGTATTTTTAGTAGACACGGGGTTTCACCATGTTGGCCAGGCTGCTCTCGAACTCCTGACCTCAGATGATCTGCCTGCCTCCGCCTCCCAAGCATTGCCAGTTCTTTAAGTGAAGGTGAATATGAGTGTCTGCCTCCATCACTATTCACAATAACAAAGACATGGAATCAAACCAAATGCCCATCAATGATAGACCAGATAAAGAAAATGTAGTACATATACACCATGGAAACTATGCAGCCATAAAAAGAAATGAGATCATGTCCTTTGCAGAGACATGGAAGAAGCTGGAAGCCATTATCCTCAGCACACTAATGCAGGAACAGAAAACCAAACACCGCATGTTCTCACTTATAAATGGGAGCTGAGCAATGTGAACACATGAAGGGGAATAACACACACTGGGACCTGTCAGGGGAGGGTGGGGGGAGGGAGAGTATTAAGAGAAATAGCTAACGCGTGAGGGGCTTAATACCTAGGTGATGGGTTGACAGGTGCAGCAAACCACCATGGCACACATTTACCTATGTCACAAACCTGCACATCCTACACATGTACCCTGGAACTTTAAAAAAAAGAGTATCTACCTCCTCAGGGCATTAGAGGACACCCCAGAGACATGAGGAGAAGGCAGCATGGCAACCAAGAGACTGGCTCTCTGCCTCTCCTCCCACCAACAGCTGCCTGTGTTCCATCTCAGAACAGTCATCTCATGGATGTTACCCAAAACTCAGTAAATCAAAAACTAAGTATGTCAAATGAACCCGAAAGCCAGCTTGCTTTCGAGCCATCATTCCCTTCTCTGCTCACGGTACCACCGTTCTCCAGTTGGGATTACTCTCTCTTCCTTATCCTTGATATTCAGTTATTCAGTTCACGTCTGTTGTTTTGATTCCCCTTCCCCTTTGATCACTTCATCTCTTGCCACCCTAGATCAAGGTCTTATTAACCGACTCTTAAATCACCACGCCGATCTTGCCAGTGCGAATCTCTGTACCTAGCGTTTCCTCACTCCTGCCTTTATTGCTTAGGTCATCAGATTAACCCTCCCTAAATTCTGCTCTTACACATCCTGTCTTGCTCAAGGACACATCACAGCTCCATTTTATTCATTCTGCCAAAAGCAAACTACTTCTTTTTTTTTTTTTTAGAGTCAGGATTTCACTCCATCACCCAGATTGGAGTACAGTGGTGCAATCATGGCTCACTGAAGCCTCCAACTCCTTGGCTTAAATGATCCTCTCGCATCAGCCTCCTGAGTAGCTGGGACTACAGGTGTGCAACACCAAGCTTGGATAATTTAAAAGAATTTTTGGTAGAGACAGGGTGTCACTGTGTTGCACAGGCTGGTCTTGAACTCCTGAGCTCAAGCAAAATTCTGGCCTTGGCCTCCCCAAGTGCTGGGATTACAGGGATGAGTCACCACGCCTGGCTGCAGATGAATCTTCCTGAATGCCAAGGTGTATAGTTTTATTTCCATCAGTCTTTGCGTTTTCTCTTTCAAGGCTACTTTCTCAGAGGTATACAAGTGTGTGATTGTTCTGATTCCTTTGCTCTTTTAAGTATTATGCAACGTTCTTTTTTTGTTTCTATTAATGCTTCTGCTTAAATTCTAATTTGTCTGATAATATTACCAAACGAAGTTTCTTTTGGTGAATATATTCATGGTTTATCTTTTTACTTCTCTTCATCCTTAATCTTTCTGTGTAGCTTTAGGTGGTCTCTTAAGCAACATATACCTAGATTTGTATTCTATTATCAAATCTATCCAATCTAATAATCTCTCTTTCTCTCTCAATAGATAAGTTGAATTAGCTACATTTATTAAGATCAACCACATATTTGGACTAATTTTTACCATCCTTTTTGACTTTTTTTACACCTTTGCCTTTTCTTCTGATGAAATATTTCCACATTTCTGTTTGTATGTTTTTCTTTCTCTGTGGCTTTGATAATTGTAGGTTGTGCTTGTAGTCTTTTAGTGACAACGCTGAATTTTTTTTAAAAAAAATACATATTTTATCTTTCAATACTTATATCCTCCTCTTGACCATGACAAACGTGTCAGTCAGTATGGTTTAAAAACCCACTGAAGAATGACCCCTTCTTCTTATTTTACAGTTCTTGTTTAAATTCTGTTTTGTACTTTTTAAAGTCACTTTATGGTAAAAAAAAAAAAAAAAAAAAAAAAAATTACTATCCTTTAATCAAATTCCATTTTATAATTGCTTTTATCTTATTCATTGCATTTATTCTTCCCCAGAGTGCATTATTTGTTTTACTACGGTTCTTAGTTTTTATGTGTTTTTAAATGTCTTTATTTTGATTTTACTCTTGAATTATACTTTGGCTGGTTTTAAAAAAATCACATTACTATCCTTCAGCTTTTTGGTTAGCAGCCATTCTGTTCTGGATAATCTATCTTTTCTGTGTTCTGGGATTTTGAATGTACTCTTTATCTTTGATATCTGCAGGTTTACTATGAAGTGAATAGATATGGATTTGTTTTTATCTCTTTTTATAGGCACACAGAATCCACATTCCATCTAGGTACAGTATTGATGTCACTCCTTTTTCCTGCCCATTCCTCCTCTCTCTTCTCCTAGAGCTCTCATTAGATATATGTTGGTGCTCTTTAACTATCTCCCATGTCTCTTAACTGCTCTTTTGCATATAGATAGATAGATAGATAGATAGATAGATAGATAGATGATAGATAGATAGATAGATGATAGATAGATAGATAGATAGATAGATAGATAGATAGATAGATAGACAGAGAGAGAAAGACAGGTTCTTGCTCTGTTGTCCCAGCTAGAGTGCAGCGGTGTAATCATAGCTCACTGCACCCTTGAACACTTGGGCTCAAGTGACCCTTCTATGTCAGCCTCCTGAGTAGGTAGAACTAAGGCACACCACCATGCCCAGCTAATTTTTATATTTTCTGTCTCACTATGTTGCCCAGGCTTGTCTCTAGTTCCCAGCCTCAAGCAGTCCTCCTGCCTCAGCCTCCCAAGTTGCAGACATGAACCACCACATATATTTTTAATCTCTCTCTCATCTCCTGTCTCTATCTTCATCTTTCTATCTCTCACTGCTTGCCGAGCATTTTCTTAGTGATAGCTTCACATTCTCTGATATGCTCTCCCACAGGATTGAGTCTAGAGTTTATCCTGTATTTTGAATATTTCATTTTTATTTCAATTACTATATTTCTCAATTTCAAAATTTTGCACTTGTTTTTTTTCTCATATCTATCCACTCTAGTTTTGTTTCTACCTTCTTTTGCTTCATTGTTGCTGTTCACAGCTGTATTCTTTCATTTATCTCTTTTCAGCATCCTCAGTGTAGGTCTCTGTCCGGACTTCATTCATGTGATGTCTTGTCCTGATGGTTTATTTTGTTGGCTGCCTCTCTTAGCAGTAGGTTTCTCCATGTGTTTTGGAATTTTGTTTTGCTGGTTCTTCTTGTTTGATGGATTTTTTTCTCTCTTTTCTGTCCTTTTGCTTTTGTGAGTCTTTTAAGGATCAGCCTAACTCCCTCCTTCTGTTCTCTCAATGCTCCAGCCCACACTTGCTCAATCTTCCTCTCCTCGATATCCTCACCCTTCCTGGTGCAATAATTTTCCAGCTGCCTCTTCGGGGCACCTGGGTTCCAAGTTTGGAAACAGACCTTCTCATGGTCATTTGGAGCTCTGGTACTTTGGGGAAAGGGGGCTATCACAGATGGAGTGATGACACTGGTGGATGGATGGTCAGTTCCTACTCTTCACACTGTGCTTCTACTTTCCTACCTCCATGAATCTCCAGTTGCCATAATCTGTAGCCTCCAGGCAGCAGTTGACAATAATTTTTTTTCAGCGTCCTTTTAAGAGCATGGAGGGTGCCCTCCACCACTGTCTCTGGTCACCATCTCCTCTGGAATGTTATTTTCTCCCTTTTATCCCATATGAGTTTAATTCCAGATGCCCTTGCCTGCTGCCTGACCTAGACTCTGTCCCATCCATGGCTTTGACACTTCTTACCATTTTGTATTTTTAATTTTTGGTTCATGGAAATGGTTACTAGAACTTCAGCTTGACTCTTTTAATTTCCTCTTTTAATGTTTAATCTCTTGGCTGGGCATGGTGGCTCACTCCTGTAATGTCAGCACTCTGAGAGAATGAGGTGGGAGGATCACTCAAGACCAGGAGTTCAAGAGCAACTGGGGCAACATAGCAAGACCCTGCCTCTCCAAAAATATAAATAAAATTTTTAAAAAATGTAATCTCTCATTTCTAGATGTTTGGAATTTACCTACTGTACTTGCCTGACCACTGTTCAACTGCCATTCCAGCTACTCACCAAAATGCCACCTTTGGTCCTTTTAGGAAGCTCAACTGTGTCATTGCCATCTGCTGCCAGACCTTTGCCTCTGCTGTGCCCTGTACTGGAACACTCTCCTTTCGCCTTTGTGAGTCGTTTAAGGCTCAGCCCAGCTCCCTCCTGTTCTCTCAATGCTCCAGCCCACACTCACTCAGTTCTCCTTGGAACTTCTCAAGCACTGTAGATCCTCTGCAAATGGAAATTGAACATTATGGCTTAGTCTTTTTATGAACCATTTAGAAGGTCCAGGGATTATAGTAACTTGTGATTTGGTGGAGGCACAACTTAACGAGTTAGTAAAATCAGATGGCCCCTAATGTATTAGTCTGTTCTCATGCTGCTAATAAAGACATACCTGAGACTGGGTAATTGATAAAGGTAAGAGGTTTAATGGACTCACAGTTCCACATGGCTGAGGAAGCCTTGCAATCATGGCAAAAGATGAAGGAAGAGCAAAGGAACGTCTTACATGGCAGCAGGCAAGAAAGAGAGTGTGCAGGGGAACTCCCCTTTATGAAACCATCAGATCTTGTGAGACCTATTCACTACAGGGATGAGAACAATATGGGGGATACCACACCCATGATTCAATCTGGGGGAAACCACACCCATGATTCAATTATCTCCACCTGGCCCTGCCCTTGACACATGGGGATTATTACAATTCAAGGTGAGATTTAGGCGGGGACACAGCCAAACCATATCACATGATAATGCTGATTATTTGGTTATTTATTTATCACTTAGTCAGTTACTATCAGAAAGTGACAAAAAAGTCCTCTCAGATTTAGTTCATAAGTATTCATAATTATTGCTATTACACACTTATACATGTAATATGGCAGAGTTCATTTTAGTTGCAGGATTAATTTGAATAACATTGTATAGTTTTTGGTTCTGCACTTACATAGTTTTAAGTTTTAAATGAGACCCTCGTGCTTTTCAATTATATTTTATAGAATTTTAGAACAGAGAGGAGATACATTTTATAAGGAGTATTTTCAAATCGGGGAGATTTATGAAGATCTAGAAACATAATTCGACCATGTTAAAAGTCTACTTATAAGATGCTCTATTCAGAACCCAGAGCTTAGCTTTTAAAAAATTAAAATCTGATAGTTTCACCCATGTTTTTGGTCCTTTCTAGCTAGATCTCTTGGTAGATCTTGCAAAGAATGTTCTGCAGAGTCTTGAAAACAAGGACCCTGCTCTATTCATCTGCAGGAACCCAAGGCTTAGCACACAGAAAGAACTCAATACATGTTTTGTTTATTTGTTTTGCTCTACTGCTCAATCCATTTTTTATTTTCTTCAGTCTTACCTATAGTAGCTAATGTACAACAACTGAGTGACAAATACCTGTTATTTACGGATAGCTTTGTTCAATTGGGTGCATAAATGACAAGCAGGAGTGGAAGCTTAGAACACAGAGACCATGATGATATTTTGAGCCACTATTATTTAGATTGTTGCAGGGAGCTTTTTGTTTATCTTAAAATCCCTTCAGGCACAGAATTTTGTATTCTACTTATTTTTGTATCTCGCTTAGTGTCTAATATGGTAATGCATACCTATTTAGATAGTTAACAAATTCTTATTGCATGCATTCCATTTTCAGAGTTTCCTATATGGTGAATCTGAGAGCTCAAATAGCTCCCTGGAGAAGTCAGCCTAAAACAGGATGGGGGAAACTGACATCAGTGCAGGGTGATACTTTATTATCAGGCTTTGGACTCTGAGACATGCTACTTTTTGCCAGTTGGATTAGCGATGTGGCAAATCCCATTTCCAGAGCTAATATTAAATTCTCTATCTTTATGAGCATCCCTTCCCCAGGTCCCCTAAGTCCAATAGTTTGGCAGTTTGGAGTAATGCAAAACAATGCTAGTGCTTGGTCTTTGTCTGATTTGTGACTAGTTTCTCTTGGTTATTTTTGTACTTCAGCATTTCATTTACCTCCTGAGACTTTGATGCTGGGCACATATTCTATTTATCTGAATTTTAAAATGCTACCATCCTGTGTGAGAAAAGATAAGTTAGCGTTCTTTTTTTGTTCTATCTGTGGAGCTGTTCTTTGTTTTACTAGTAATGCGTATGCTAGAGAACAATTTGAATGAAATCTGTTCTGAGTATCTGAAGGACATATGCAGATTGGAATTCATTCTTTAAGTGAATTTTCCTAAGTCTGGGAAGATCTCGCCATCCTAGCTATACATATCCATGCTTTAGCCTTTGCGTGCTATAGTAGGCTGAATGTAAAGTCCCACAAAGATGTCCATGTCCTAATTCCTGAGACCTGTCAATGTCACCTTACATGGTAAAAGGGATTTGCAGATGTGATGAAGTCAAGGATCTTGAGATGGAGATATTATCCTGGATTATGTGGGTGGGCTTAATGCCATCACAAGAATCCTTCTAAAAGGCAGGCAAAGGGAGACCTGTCTACAGAGGAGGAGAAGGTGATATGATGCTGGAGCAACACACTATGAAGATGTGTGAAGGCACCACAAGCTAAGGAATACAGGTAGCCTCTAGAAACGGAAAAAGGCAAGGGCAAATTCTTCCCCCAGAGCCTACAGAAAGAAACAGCTCTGCAGACACCTTGATTTAGCCCAGTGAAAGTGGACTTCTGACTCCCAGAACTGTAAGAGCATAGATTGTGCTGTCTTAAGCCTCTGGATCTATGGCAATTTGTTACGGCAGCAATAAGAAGCTAATACACATGCCATGTAGTGTAAATATCCAGCTCACTTATAAAAGGACAGCAGATCTGAGAAGCTCTCCTTTAAACCGGGCCTTGAAGGCTGAGGGGTTCAACAGCCCAGGCAATGTTTGACTCCCCTTTACAATATTCATGGCAGTGATCTCCAGGTGGAGGGAGAATTATCCACCCAGCACACGGTCCATTTCACCTCTGAAAGCTCCATCAGGGGAAAACATATTACAGAATAGTTTTCCCCAAGTGAACCTGAATGCAATGGAAAGAGAGAGTCAGGCAGATAGGTTTGAAACCTAAAGGCACCTGAGGATGCGCATCTATACAATGAGGTTAAAAGCATGCACCTCTCAGGGTTGTTGAAAGGATTCGATTATCTCAGTATAATATGACAGCACGTATTAGTCACTCACCGAATGATAGGCACAATAATTTTTATTGTGAACCAAGTCAGTTTTTCCTATAGTTTCCCTCAATTGGACAATGCATACTTTACAACCATACAGAAAAAATCTAATCCTGTCTGTTACGTATAAAACCCTTCAAATATTTAGAAACAGCAGTGTCACCTGTGAGACTTCATCTGTTCCAGCTACATCTTCCCAGATACCTCAGCCAGCGCTCATAAGTCATGGTGTAAAGCTCTTGCATTATTTTCCAATCTCAAACTCTATCCCACCCCGAGTGTAGAAATCAGATGCATGGATGAGGATAGGATTCATCTGAGGGATTCGCGGCAGCTGTGAAAAGGAGGACAAGACATCAGCACTCATATTCTCCAACTTCCCCACCTCACTGCTGTGCTCCAGGTGCGAGGCATGGACCCATCGGTGGAAACATGCCCTGTGATAACATCTGTCCACTGGCATTTCAAAGATGGTCTGTCTGTAGCCCTGTACCCAGAAAATGGACTGGGCTCAGGAGGAGCAATTTGATAGTAAAAAAAAAATATATATATATATATATATATATTACACACACACACACACACACACACATACATATATATATAGGCCAGGCATAGTGGCTCATACGTGTAATCCCAGCACTTTGGGAGGTTTGAGACCAGCCTGAGCAACACAGCGAGACCCCATCCCTCCAAAAAATAGAGAAATTAGCTGAGTATGACTAATTAGCCTGTAGTCCCAGCTACTCAGGAGGCTGAGGCAGGAGGATTGCTTGAGCCCAGGAATTTGAGGCTGCAGTGAGCTATGATTGTGCCACTATACTCCAGCCTAGGTGATAGGGTGAGACAGGGTTAAGTAATTCAAGCCCCCTAAATAAATAAATAAATAAATAAACACACATACTTTTAATAAGCTCCCAAAATAAATAAATAAATAAACATACATACATTTACAAACAGTCTCTGAAATGCAATGCAGTGGCCTCCCCAGTCTTCCCTTCTAGGAAAGCAAGTGGATGGTGGAATGTGGCAAAAGTTGCCCCTCATTCTGCCTTTCTCATTATGTCATTGCCCTGCATCCAACCCATCAATAACATCTTCAGTTGGCTCAGGCCCACCTCTGCAGCCCTCACCTCCTGCCCCCTGCCACAAACCACTGTTAGCTTTGCAAGAGCCACTTGCACTCTCTCGCACCTGCACCTGTCTTGCATAATCTGCCCCCTCACTATGTCTGCTGAGCACATTCCTATTTCACCATCAAAACCCATCTCAGAATTCACCGCATTCAGAAGCGCTTCCTTCACCCCTCCCACCCCATTACCACCACCGGGATGAAGCAGACCTCCTCTGCACTGGAGTAATACCATGTACTTGCTGCCATCATAAGCCTTACTTGTGTCCTATTGTAGTTGATGGTTATTAATCTCTCTCCCATGTGAGTTTTTACGAGCAGGGATTTTTCATTCCTGTATTGCAGACGTAGTGCAGAGCTAGACTGTGGAAGACACTCAATGAATACATGCTGAATGAAAAGAGAGATACTCCCGAGTTTTTCAGCATTAGATGTGCCTTTACCTAGCCTCTCTCGAACAGAGCATCTGTCATTATGCCACCAAGAGGGCTTCTCACACATGCATCCCACATGGTGTTCATGAGTGCTCAGCGCAGGATGTTAGGAGACTAGCCTGCTCCAGGTGCTGGACCCATTCCAGGACAGCTTCACTAGTGAACAAATGCCCACATAGACCCAGCAACCCTAGAGCTTCCAAAGCCAGAAATGACTGACCTGGGAGAAACAACCCAGAAAAATCCTTTGAGCTCTCTATACCAGCTTGTAGCTCACAAGCTAGAATTCAGCCTCTGATTGATGCTGGGGGCTTGAATTACTTAACCCTGTCTCCCCTTTAATCAATTAATCACTTACAAAGAAGGTGAAATAATACAAATGATTATTTATTTATTGCTTTGATTCCCTTCTTCAAGCATTCTCTAGACTAGTCCATATTTCAGTGCGTGTCAGCTCTCTTAAATCATTTCTTTTGACACAAGCTGATTTCTGAATTTGGTATTTATTGCAACCCACTTCATGCATTGCTCTGTGGGGTATTTTTTACTATAGCATTTTAAAATATGTGTTTATTCTTCCACAAGACTTGTTACTAATTTGCAATGTATATAATGTATATTTATTTGATTATTTTTGTTTAAAAAAATAAGTAGGCAAAGCATGGTGGCTCACACCTGTAATCCCAGCACTTTGGGAGGCTGAGGCAGGTGGATTACTGGAGGTCAGGAGTTCGAGACCACCCTGGCCAGCATGGAGAAACCCCGTATCTACTAAAAATACAAAAATTAGCCAGGTGTGGTGGTGCATGCTGGTAATCTCAGCTACTTGGGAGGCTGAGGTGGGATGATTGCTTGAACCAGGGAGGCAGAAGTTGCAGTGAGCCAAGATCACACCACTGCACTCCTGCCTGGGCAACAGAGCGTGACCCCCCAAAAAAAGTAGCAAAGCCTTATACAATTCTTTAGGTTATAGGTTATATCCTGTGCTTGGAAGGAAACCAGTGCAAAGGGGGAAAGGGAGGTTACTATAAGTTAGCATGGAAAAGCAGAAAAAAAATTATCGTATAATTTCTAGCAAGAGTCCAGTAATTCTTCCTGTTTCCCTAAATTAACTAATTACTAAGGCTTGATTGTATTGTTGTTTAACATTTTGTAGAAATGCTGAATCAGCAGTTATGATTTATTAGCGAGGGATACAATAAATGCCTGCCTCTTGAACTCATTAAATAAAAAACACAATTAGCAAATCTAGGACATGTTTAACAGAAAACACCAGAGGAGATCAGCAGTACCAGGAGCTGAAAGCTGCTCTTTTTTTTTCTGAGTGAGAAGGTTTTGCTGGTTACAAATCAAACACAGACAACTGTACAACTATACTATTGTGGTCCCTACCTGCCATGCTACCTAAGCGCTTGGCCAACTGTTTCTTTTAGAGATGTACAAACAACAAACTTTAGTGGGGCTTAACACTAAGCTTTTTTGCATAAGCACAGGACGTGTAAGATCAGCTTAAGCAAATCATTCCTCTTTAGCCCCTGTAAGGTATCACAAGAGACTAGGAAATAATCAGTGACTTTGAGAAAAAAACTATTGGGCAGGACCAATTCTATTTGCTTTCCTGATAAAATGATTTATCACGCAGAGTATGAGTACGCTATCTAAAAATGTATTGGAGATTTAATAAGACTTTTCATTCTCTTCCATAGAAAAATCTCTTAAATACAAGGTAAGATTTAGGTTACTTTATAGGAAGATGAATAAACAAGAGACTAGGAATGAAAAACTGCTAGAATATAACAACCAAATTAGAAAATGGGCAAAAGACATACACAGGCACTTCACTCAAGAGGATATATAAATGGCAAATAAGTACATAAAAAGTACACCCCACATCTTTAGTCATTAAAGAAATGCAAATTAAAGCCACATTAGATATCACTACACACCTATTTGAATGGCAGAAATTAAAAATATCAAATGCTGACAAGGATGCTGAGAAACTGGATACCTCCTACATTGCCAATGGGAATATAAAATGGCACAGCCAATCTGGAAAAGTGTAGGCTGGTTTGTTATAAAACTAAACACATGCTCATCCCAAGATCCAGCAATTATGCTCCTGGATATTTATTCCAGAGAAATCAAGAGTTCTGTCCACAAAATAACCTGTGTATAAATGTTTGTTGCTGCTTTATTCCTAACAGCTAAAACCTGGGAATGGCCCAGATGTTTCTGAGTGGGTGAATGGTGAAATAGACTGTGGTACATCTATACTGTGAATTACCACTCAGCAAGAAAAAGGAGCTTTAAACCACAGATACACACAACTTGGTTGGATTTCAAGGGAGTTATTCAAAAAAAGGAGAGCCAATATCAAAAGGTTATAAGCTGCATGATTTTATTTATAAGACATTTTTGAAAAAAACAAATTATAGAAATGAAGAACATGTAGTAGTTAGTTGCCAGGGACTAGGGAGTGGGAAGGGAAGGGAAATGGCTGTGGCTATCAAAGGTAGCCTAATGTGTCCTTGTGATGGACCTGTTCTATATCTTGACTGTAGTGATGGTCACACAAGTCTACACATAAGAAAATATGGCACAGAATTAAATACACATATGCATAAATATGTGCATGTAAAAGTGGAGAAATCAGAATAAGATTGGCAGAGTGGGATGGGCATGAATCTATAATCCCAGTACTTTGGGAGGCCAGGACGGGAGGATCACTTGAACTCAGCAGTTTGAGACCATCCTGGGCAATGTGGTGAAACCCCGTTTCTAACAAGAAATACAAAAGTTAGCAGGCATGGTTGTGCATGTCTGTGGTCCCTACCTGGGAGACTGAGGCAGGAGGATAGCTTGAGCCTGGGAGGTTGAGGCTGCAGTAAGCTGACATTGCACTACTGCACTCTAGCCTTGGCAACAGAGCGAGACCCTGTCTCTCTCTCTCTCTCTCCTCTCTCTCTCTCTTTCTTTCTGTGTGTATATATATATTATATATACATATATCACAAGTAAGAAATTGATATTGATACACTCTGATTATATATATATCAAAAGTAAGAAATTGATATTGCTACACTCTGCATATATAAATATATAATATATAATATATAAATACATATGCAGAGTGTAGCAATATCAATTTCTCTTTCTATAAATATATCTATTTATATAGTATATATTTATTTATATATACATATGCTGAGTGTATCAATATCAATTTCTTACTTGTAATATTTTAGTATAGTTATATGAGATGTTAACATGAGGCAGAACCAAATAAAAGGTAAACAGGATCTCTCTGTATTATTTCTTACAACTACAATTATTTCAAAATAAAAAGTTTAAAAACTTTAACTTTACAACAACACTTGTAGGCTATTGATTTAAGGGACTGAGAAAAAAGTGGGGTAAGGGAGGATTCACTCTCTTTCTGTCAGACTGTTTTTGAGCTGTGTCGTTGGTCTCCTGCACTTAGACTGGAATTTACACCCTCAGCTTTTCTGGTTCTCAGGCCTTCAGAGTAGAACTGGAATTGTACCACCAGCTCTTCTGAGTCTCCAGCTGGCAGACAGCAGGTGACGGGACTTCTTAGCCTCCATGGTCATGTGAGTCAATTTCTTATAATAAATCTCTCTTTCTGTGTGTGTGTGCGTGTATGTGTGTGCATGCATGTGCTTGTGTATACTCAGCTGGCCTTGTGATTTGCTTTGGCAAATAGAATAGGGCAGAAGCGAGCATGTTGGTTCTGACTCTAGGCCTTGAGAGGCCTCATGTGCTTCCACTTCCTCTCTTGGGGCTCTGCGCAGCCACTACGTGAAGGAGCCAGGCTGGCCTATGGAGGCCAAGAGACCACATGAAGGAGAGCCCAGCTCTCCTTGTGAGGCCATGACAGATAAGCCCACAGTGAGTCAACACCCAAGAGAGGTCAGAATAATTCAATCTGATGTGAAGTTAACATCAGATACATAGTTGAGCCAATCACACCCAGAAGGACCACCCAACTGACCTGTAGGCTCATGAAAAAAAACTAAATGATTATTATTGCATGCCACTGAAGTTTGTTTTTTAATAAACAACATGATTTTGGTAATAAAGAATGATCCTGATCCTGAAATTGGTACCAGAAATGGAATGCTGACATAACCAAGATTGAAAATGTGCAGCATTGATTTTAGAACCAGTCAGAGGGTGGAGGATGGAGAGGCCATAAGCACATTATCAGCAAAGGCTGGAGAAATGGTGAGGAAATTGTTTTTAAAGCTAAAAAAATGGCAACCTGCTTTATGTAACGGCAAAAGGACTTGTAAAACTGTTGGCCCTGCACATTATGCTAACTGACAGAAGCTAGTCACAAAAGCCCATAGATTGTAAATCTTCATTTATATGAAATGGTCAGAATAGGCTAATCAATAGAAACAGAAATTAGATAAATATTTGTCAGAGGCCCAAGGAAGGGAGTAGTGTGGAGTGACTACCAATGGGTACAGAATTCGTTTTTGGAAAAACAAAAATTTTATGAAGTTAGATAGTGGTGATGGTTGGACAACCACTGAATTGTACAATTTAAACAGTGAATTTTATAGTATATGAAATATTTCTCAATAATGCTGTTATTTCAAAGATAATTCTCACCTGCAGCAAGATATATAGATATTTCAATACAGAGATAGAGATATAAGATAGGAAGATAAAAATATGCCTAACAAATGTTTGCATTTGGCTAAGGAGATTCCAGGCAAAATGTTGAAAGTGTTAGCTGGTTGCTTCTTGCTGCATATGACAACGAACACCAAGGAAAGATGAGATAAAGAAAGAACTGGCCAATTTGTAAATAGAATGACTTGCTGGATTAGAAAATATAACAGTTACTCATTTGTAGTCTCTTCAGCCAGCAGAAGATTCTCAAAGTAAAATATAGACTAAGACATAGATCAAATCAAGGGTGTGGCTGTATGATCTCTTGTTGAGGCCTCAAAAATAATTAAAGTAGACCATCTGGTCTGGACCAAAGACTTCTAGAATATTAATGTCATAATTTCACAAAAACCTAGTCTCAATGTAGCAGTAGGTAAATCTAGAGAGCCAGGTCAAGAAAACAATTGTGGTGTTGGCTTCTGCCCCATTGAAGTGGGTAAAATAATCAGATTAGTAAGAAACCCACTACATTGTTTAGGAAATTGTACAGGAAAAACATGTGGCCAGCTTGGACTAAAAGGGGCTGAAATTGTTCAAAATGTACAAAGGGCTTTGGGCTTCCCACTTTCAATAGGCATAAGTAAGTTAAGACAGACATTTATCTGCTAACATGGGCTATTTATTTAAATGTAGCCAAGAAGAGTGATGAGAAAAGAAAACCATCTCAGGGGGCACAACTAGGAAACCACAAGGTGGAAGAAGAAATTTGTAGAAAAATAGACCAAAGAACCACTTCCAAGGATCAGAAGCAAGGTTTAATTAGGGAACCAACACTCCCTTTTTCCCACTCCCACAGTTGGGGGATCTGGTGACATTTACCCAGTGGGATTTCAGAATTGCTATGGACCAGTTACTGCTAGTGTCTCCTATTCCTCCTCATTTTTAATGGGAGTATTTACCACACTTGTCCTGTGCCTTGTGTCATCATTATATGTTGGGTCTTTCTGAACAAGTACTAACTTGACTCTATATTTCACAGGCCCCAGATCAAGACGCATCACATCCAAGGAACCATGTGCAGAATTGATATGGAGTTTGATGCCATGATTGAATGAGAGTTTGAGGGTCTTGGGAGGGTGCGAGCATATTTTGCATGTAGAAGGGATGTGAATAATTAAGACCAGAGGACAGACTGAGACAAATTAATTACACCTGTTGAACCTGTGCCCACATCCTTTGCAATGTGACTTTGTTGCTCTTCCCTTGGATTTGGTTGAATTTGCTAATTGCTTTTACCAATATCATATGGAGGGAGTAATGCTATGCCAGTTCTGTGCTTAGGACTTGAGACCTTTCACACTTCTACTTTCTCTTGGAATCCTGCCTCCTCTATGAGAACAAAGTTGACAAGTATGCTAGAGTATGAGAGACAAATGACTTAGTTGTCACTGTCACCCCATAGCTATGACCGTAGAAATCCACTAACCCTGAAAGCAGAGCCACCTAGCCAACCTGTAGCTAACTGCAGACATATACTGGAGCACAACCAAGACCAGACGAACCACACAGCTAAGCCCAGGCTAAATTGCCAGCCTGAAGAATTGTGAACTAAATAAATGTTTGTTGTTTTAAGCTACCGAGTTAAGGGTGGTTTCTTATGTAGCAATAGTTATCTGATATAATAGCTAGCAGAAACTGAGCACTTAATATTAGGCATTGTTTTATGCATTTTGCAGGTATTAGCTCATATATTCCTTATAACAATCCTATAAAGTTGATGTTATTGTCATTGCTGTTTTACAGAGAATGAAACAAAGAGAAGTGAATTGATTTGCTAAGGTCACCAACTAGCTAGTAGTAGAGCCAAGATTCAAAAGCAGACATTCTGGATCTAGAGTCCAAGCTTTTAAACAATATAATGATTGCTTTGAGCAAGAAGCTTAAGGACAAAGACTGGTTTATTTACCTTTGTTTTCCCAATGCTTGGCATCAAATAGGAGCTCAAGAAATATTGAATTTTCCATTTGTATCAAAATGCATGGGCATGTCCTCAATTTCTGTATGTTACTAACCACCAGGAGCTACTACCTGCAGAATAAAATTCAAATCCTTTAACATCTATCTACAATGTAGCCAACAATGTAACTCCCACTACTATTTCTCATACATACCTTGGCAATTCTCTCAGCCGTGTCCTCTGGTCATAATGTTCATGTATTCAGAAAACATTGATTAAGTAATTACAATGAGGTAGGTAGTGGGTCTGGTGTTTTTTATGGATCAGAGAGGGCTCAGTTCTTACGATTGTATGAAGTAAGTATTATACCCCGATTTTTAAATGTGCACAAGTATATTATTACTTAGGATACAAGTGCAGTTATATAGAGGGAGCCAAAATGCCAGTGACTTAAATTTAAAAAAAAAAGTATTTCTCTCATTTAATAGTCCAAATACAGGCAAGGTTGGAAGCCCCACAAGGTAGCAGATTCAGGCAATTTCTGTCTTTTTTCTACATTAGCCTCAACCCACCACTTCTGTTGCCTGGTCCAAGATTGCTGAATCAGTTCCAGCCATCCATGTGGGTTCTGGCCATCAGGAAGGGGAAACATAAAGGAAGAACAGAAACTTGCCCATATCCCTTTATTTCATCTCCCATAAGCCAGAACTTTGTCACATGCCCACATCTATCATCAAGGGAGGCTGGGAATTATCATCTTAGCAGAGCAGTCATGTGCCTAGTTTAAAGAATGTGTGTTTCCAAGGTCAGGAGATAGAGACCATCCTGGCCAACATGGTAAAACCCCGTCTCTACTAAAAATACAAACATTAGCTCAGTGTGGTGGTGCGCACCAGTAATCCCAGCTACTTGGGAGGCTGAGGCAGGAGAATCACTTGAACCCCAGAGGCAGAGATTGCAGTGAGCTGAGATCATGTCACTGCACTCCAGCCTGGCAACAGAGCAAGACTCTGTCAAAAAAAAAAAAAAAAAAAAAAAGAATGTGTATTTGACTGATCATGGTGGCTCATACCTGTAATCCTAGCACTTTGGGAGGCTGAGGTGGGAAGATCACTTGAGCTCAGGCATTCAAGACCAGCCTGGGCAACATAGCAAGACTCCATCTCTACAAAAAATTAACCAGGTATGATAGCTCCCATATGAATATCCTACTTACCTACTCATTTCACAGCTCAGAAAAATGGCATTTAGCAAGATTAGGTAGCTTGCCCAACACCATGCAACTAGCAAGAGTCCAAATTGAGATTTGAATCTGGACCCTGCTTCTAAAGCCCTTCTGCTCTGTCCATCCTAGACAACTCAGCCACAGAGTCATGATTTGCATACAGCCCTCCCATGCACACAGTCAGCCACTTAATTATGCCACTGAAACAATACCTTTGGGAATTATAAATAAGAATTATTTTCTTGTCCTCATTCTCCAGGATTTTCTGGGCTATTTGACTCCATTGACATCCTTTTTAAGATTCACTCTTCTCTTAGCCTTATGCAAGAGTTTCCTCTCTGCAGATCCTCCTCTTCCCCCTGGAAGCCCCTTTCTCTCTGTCCTTTAAAGGCAGGTACCCTGTGAGCCTATTCTCTGATCTCTGCTCACCCCTCCTTGTTCCTTCTCTCTTAAAGACCTCATCTACTTCTTGGAAGCTCCTTTCTGGGCAAATTTCTGCAGCATCTTTGTCTTGGTCCCTACCTTTCCCTCAAGTTCCCTGGGGTGTATTCACCTGCCTATCAGACACTTCGTCCAAGTAACTTCTCCCAACGCAGACTTGTTATGTCCAAAATGAAACATCGTATCTTTGCCCCTCCTCCAACCCTACCTACAAAGCTAAAATTGTAACAGAAATAAAACGACTTCTGCTTCGTTTCGTTTTTATATTAGAGTGTCGTCTTTTTCTGTATCACCCAAGTCCCAAATGCAATAATTGTCTTTGCTTTATTTTTCTTTCCAGTCCACAGACTTCCCTTCCTTGCTTTTATGGTTCCGTTCTTTCCCACTCCATTGCTACCCCTGCGTCACACCCAGACGCCCGTGCCAGGGCATTGACATTTCCCAGGTCTCTCTGCTGCCCCAAAGGCCAGCTTGACAGCATGCAGCCACTACAGTCACAGGTGACCTCAAACTCAGGCATTTGGGGTTTAATGCTTTGTGATCACTGCCTTGGAATCCTGAACAATTTTACCTTGACCTTGTGCTTTGTGACTGAAGTCTGGTGGGACACTGGAGCATGCACTGGGACTTGGAGCCTCAGCTCACATGCAACCCTGCCTCCCTGCAGCTTTCTGTCTCCTCTCATGGGTTGCTGGACCCCTGTGCTTGGTTTTCTGCATTCCACTGACCTCCTCTTCCTTGCTTCTGCAGCAATAGCCACTGCCCTCCTCTCTCAGCGGGGGTAGGCACAGGCTTCGGGAAGGACACGTGCCCTACGGAGTCTCAGGGCTTCTGCCATCCCTGACCTGGGCTGCCTGTATCACAGAGCCCTGGACAGGCAACTTGGCAGGGGTAAGCCTTTTACTAGACCCAATCCAAGTACCCAGCACATCCAAGTGCAACACCCTTGAGGTCACTCATCTGCCATGGGTTGCAGCAGCACACCTTGGGGAGGGAAGATGCCTGGCTCAACTTCCCCATGGTCGGCCAGGACAAAGCACACTGGACTAGGGCAGGGTGGGGTCCCCAGGTACCCATGGGAGACTGCACTTTTCCTGCAAGCGTCTTGTGCCCAAGGAAATTGACATTAAATAGGGAAACAAAACAAAACCAACAACAAAGTGATAGGTGGAGAGAGACTGCAGAAGAAAAAAGATATTGACTTTCTATTTTAGGAACTTAATGGAAATTTTTTCCCTCCTTTTTGAAGAAGGGACCCTGTTTTTCATGTTTCACTGGGTCCTGTAAATTATTCCTAAAACACCCCTTCATTCTAGCAACTCCCTTTCACTTACTACGTAACCTAGCAAAATGTAAAAATGCTAGTCCATTAGCCCTGCAAGTAAGTTACTCACTGCTCCAGACACCTGAACCTCTCTAACGCCATCTCTCCCAATCTCTTTTCTTCATCCTTCCTGCCTACCTATGCTGCTTCGAGCTCCTGCGGGAAATGCCAGCCCACATCCCCAGCCCTATCTGATTCTACCTACCTGAATCCTGCTTTGCCTTCAGGGCTTAGTTCAATTCACCTCCATGAAGTCTCCTTGACTTCCCAGGTGATAATGTCTCTCTTCTGAATTTCTGTCTCACTCCCGCACATTTGGAGATTTTATGTGTCTGTTTCTAGTTATCTCTTATACATTTGGTTTTTTATCCTTTTAAGGGGATTTTCAACATCTTAAGGGAAGTGCCTGGGTCTTGGAGATCTCTGAATTCTCTAAATGTCAAGCAGAATGTCTTGCACAGAGCATATAGTGAATAGTTGTTGATTGTTAGAATTCATCCGAAGGCATGGGGAATAGATGGTCTAGGTGAGGCAAACAGTATTCAAAGGCATGGAGGTGAGAATGAGGATGAGGAAGAGGGGAGAGTCAAAGGGAGGAAATAGAAGCTCAGAGAGGTGATTTCTTGGCAAGAGCTGGGGGTTCTGGTGGAGAAATGGCAAATTTTTTTTTTTTTAAATCACATTTCAGCGTCTCTAACAGCCATGTCAGAACGGTTCTTGAATCCTCAGCACAATTTTGCATTTCCACTCCAGCAGCCTCAGGTGCTGTTTTCATACATTGATCTTCCTAATTGTATCTCCCTGCTCCTTTGAAAATGCAATTTGCAAATCCAGCCCATGCCTTCGGAGTCCAAGTCCTACCGACTGCCTGTTACTGACAGAGACAGGAGGCTATGAGGACCCTCTCCTTCCTCCTGCCTTGCTGATATTTGCTGCAAGATCTGTCTCTTGGGAAGGGCCTTTGTAGCACTGTTTTATAATAATATTTTGGATAAAATATTCAGTTTCCTCTTTGTGATTCTAGTCAGACAGAGAAGATCTGAGCTCAGTGTGCGAGAAACAGCAAAGGATCTGTCATTTTCCTTAAAACTGTTCTTGGCCAGAGCCCTTGTCTAATTTGTATAATGCATTGCTCCACGATGTTACAAAACACCATGCTGGTCTACAAGGCTAATTTATGGAAATTACAAGCATGGATGGATTGGATTCTTTTTTATATTACAAAATGGCTTGACGGTTTGAATTTTTGTCATCTTTTTAAGTCTCTGAGGGATGAGTGAGCCCAGAAACTTCCTAACATTCCTGTACATCAGAATCTTGCTAATCTTTTGGTGGTCTGTGAGTCCAAAGGCAGAAAGCCTTTGAAAATGCCTCCTGCATTCCGTTCCACATTGCATTTCAAAGCTCCTCTTTGATGATTTTATTTTGGTGAGACCTTCTGAATACTGCTTGCAAGTTGGCTATTTTGCTCACCTTGCTTGATATTTTCCTAACATCTCAATAGCACTTTCAGCCAAAAGTATCCTCAACTTGTACATCAATGAAATCCTTAATAAAAAAAGTACATTAAAATCAACCTTCGGGGTCCAACTTAAATCACTCAAAACACATTTACACTGTAAAAAATTTTAATTGAAAGGATTTTCTTTTTTCCTAAAATATATGTAGCCAACTGATCTTGAGGTTTAAATACATTCAACACCACCAAATCCAAGGTTACCTCTGTAACGAAACAAAGAGTTACTGATTTGCTTAGCTTTGATGATAAATTCCACTTTCTCTGGATACAATATAAATTACTAAGGATTTGTCTATTAGGAAGGAAGGATACTGCAGTGGGTTTGTTTTGATTTAATATCTAAGTAACTGATACTTGAGATAATGTTTAAATGCATCCTAGATACTCCTTTTATTTCAAGAAAGGTAGCCTCTCATCAGTTTTTGTCCAAATCAAGAAGATTACTAAATAATAAAAGTACATTTTTGTCCTTTTAATAAATTCCTTCTCCAATCTTAGAAATCATAAAAACAAGAAACAAAATCAAAAGTGTTTCTTAAAATCATCTATTACGGTCATCATCGTCTTAAAAACTTCAACCAAATCCTTTCCTGAAATCTTCCTGTAATTAATGTGTGGAATATCTCCTTTTTATTCATTCATTCATACAACAGATATTTTCTCTAAGAATTCTCATTTCTCCATTCCAATTTTGGCTTTGCAAGCAAGCCTGTTATTTATTTCTGGGACCGATCGATGTGTCTCAATTTAATCCTCAAATAATTATATTCAAACACCCAAAGAACATAAATGTAGCAGCCTAACTATTTAACTCAAATTTGAAATCACTAGTTATTCATGTTAATGGTTGTAATGAGTTTTTAAAGCATACATTATCATTATTTAACACGCCAGAAAGGGGGTTCAGCATTTCTCTTCATCACTAAATTTCAAAAATTGCTGAGATTAAAATCACACCAGACTTTTTTGGTTGACCTGTGGGTGTTACAGGGCAGTTTTCTGCCTGTTTACCACCTTTCTCTTTTAATAATATCTCATGTAGAGTAAACAGCACCAGAGAAGGAAATGAACTGTGCATTTTTTCCATTTTTCTCCTACCTTGCCCATGCATTTATGCAGGTTTAATTGGCAAGATAATAAACGTGATGATTTTCTGGGAGGAGAGCTCGTGACGGTGTAAATATGACTCTCCAGTGTCTTCACACACACTGGAGGCACCATTCTAGCTCCCCAATCTCACACCCTTGTGAAGTTGCCCCCAGCTGTTCATGCTGGAAAAACCAAGGCTATCCATGAGTTTACTCTGCAGTGAGTCAGCTCAATTCAGACAATGGAAGATTGGAAGGAAGGACTTCATATTTGGCTTTTGTGCTCCTCCCTCGAAAGAAAGCAAATAGTAGCCCTGTCTCCAGATTCTGTGCCTGTCCCACAATCCTGTCTCCCTTTTTCTGCCTCATCCAGGTCACTGCCAAGCCCAAGCTCTCAGAACGCAAAGTAGAGGTGCCATGAACACAGGGGGTTGGCTCAGACCAGCAGTGGAGCAGAGCACTCACTCCACAAGGGCTTGGAACCCTAACATTGCTTTTCCCACTGCCTCTTGGGTTCCCAGCCAGGGTTCCTGCATCCTGGCCTGGTAGGGCCAAATCGCTGATTTTCTTTTTTTGACTTTTCTTTATTTATTTTGAGACAGAGTCTGGCTCTGTCACCCAGGCTGGAGTGCAGTGATGCAATCTCGAACTCCTGGGCTCAAGTCATCCTCCTGCCTCAGCCTCCTGAGTAGCTGGGACTACAGATGCATGTCACCCCACACCTGGCCAATTTTTTTTTGTATAGATGGGGTCCCAAACTCCTGAGCTCAAGCAATCCTCCTGCCTCAGCCTCCAAAAGCCATAGGATTACAGGCGTGATCCATTGTGCAGGGCCTGATTTTCTTCTGTTGCCTGGCACCTGTCCCATCTCCTGCTTCAGGAAGCTCTCTCACTTCCTTTCCATGAAGAAGCCCAGAAGAGGCTACTGGAGGTTCACCCTAATTCAGCATCTTCTCCCAAACTGCTGCAGTGCAGTGTGGTAACTACACCCATGGCTCTGCAAAGAATTTCCTTGCCAGGTGTAGCAGTGTTAACTTTCATTTGCAGACAATCATAATGGAAGGCTGTTTGGTAAAGTGGCATTTGCGAGGACTATCTAGCTATGACATCTCAGCTTTCTGGCCATGTGGGTGTCCCCCTCTCTCTGACTCCAGCCCAACAAGCCAAAAAGAACAATCTTCCTATTACCAATTCTTCCATCAAAGCTGACTGGATTAACAGCCGACTGGACAAATATTCAGGCTTTGGCCATAATAGGCTTTCCCTCTGACTTAAGTTGTCTTCTAAAACATGTTACCTAGGTTGAACATTATAAATGAGATTTCTACTCATTCAGAATGAGCTGCCCTGCCTGCCTGGCCACCAAGGATTCAGTCAGAGGTTCTCTCCATCAACGTCAGAAGGTCTTGGAGATGTTCTTTGGCTGTTTCCAATGTCATTCCAAACAGCACTCCTTCGGCACTGTAATAGAGACCAGATTTGGTATTCAACGGCACAAAGACTTCCTTTTCTTTCTTGCCAACTTGAGGCATCTCTATAGCTGCAAAGGACAAGAAGATTCAGTAACTGCCAAGACTAAGTGAATGAATCCCCAAAAGCCGTAGTAAAAATTATGAAGGAAATAACAGGCCAAGAACATCCAGTGCAGAAACAATGGTCATTTTAAATCTAAATGTCACAGCTTTTATGTTACAAAAGAAACAAGCAAATTAATAGAGACATGAGCCCCAAAGAAATTAGTTTGGAATTTAGAAAGAAAGTGTGACAAATAAACTTAAAGATTTTAATGAAAATTGACATTTTTATCTAAAGCACAGTCTTGCATTTCATCAAACTTCTCCTTAGAAGATCATAAAATGCTCCATTATGAATATAGTGGAAACTTGATGAACTATTGTTCTTGGCTTGTTTGCAAGAAAGCAATAAAGTTGCCTTTTCTTGGCTGTTATCTAGATTGTTGTCATTATCCGTGACATTGCATGAACCTGTATTATCTTTAATTTTGTTTTTGCAAACTGATAGTCATAAAAAAATCTCCTCTTTTCCACTTAGTGAATTACTTTATTTTCAATCTTTCCTTGGATATGATCTAAGCTCTGGGGGAAAAGGCACTGAGAAACTCTTAGAAGCTTGACAAGGACCAGGGGTGGAAGTCAGTGAGAGAGGCATGAAAAAACCCTGGTCATAAATATACAGAAAGCATGTTTTGCAATTGTGTGATCACCTTTATCGCTCAAAATCTGCCGTAATATAAATGCTAGTTATGAATGATAGAATTCCAAATTGGTGGACAGTTGAGTGGGCACTTCTCTTTCTCTGGTCACCCAGCCATGCCTAGGAAACTGAAGAAGCCCACATACTCAACTATTGGATCCAACTGATGTTTGATGGCTGGGCTGTCATATGAAGAGAAGGGTTTCAGCCAGAGTGGCTAAATTGGCTCTCATTAAGACAGCAAAGCTGAGCATGATGGTTCATTCCCGGATTTCCAGCACTTTGGGAGGGCCAGGCAGGAGACTTGCTTGAGGCCAGGAGCTCGAGACCAGCCTGGGCAATGTAGTGAGACCCATCTCTACAAAACTAAATAAAATCAGCTGAGTGCGGTAGCACATGCCTGTAGTCCCAGCTACTCGGGAGGCTGAGGCGAGAGGATCACTTAAGCCTAAGAGATGGAGACTGTAGTGAGCTATGATCATGCCACTGCACTCCACCCTGGGTGACAGAGAGAGATCCTGTTTTAAATAATTTAAAATTTAGATTAGAAAAATAAATAAAAGAAAGCCAGGTGCGGTGGCTCACGCCTGTAATCCCAGCACTTTGTGAGGCTGAGGTGGGCGGATCACGAGGTCAGGAGATCGAGACCATCCTGGCTAACACGGTGAAACCTTGTCTCTACTAAAAATACAAAACATTAGCCAGGCTTGGTGGTGGGCACGTGTAGTCCCAGCTACTCGGGAGGCTGAGGCAGGAGAATGGTGTGAATTCGGGAGGTGGAGCTTGCAGTGAGCCGAGATCACGCCACTGCACTCCAGCCTGGGTGACAGAGCAAGACTCCGTCTCAAAAAAAAAAAAAAAGAAAAGAAAGAAAAAGAAAAAGAAATAAAAGAAAAAAGAAAAAGTTGGTAATGTAGGGAATGAAACCAACCACTCAGTGTTTTAATACTGGCCTCAGAGTGGCAAGGCCAGGCCAGCCACCCCAGAGCCTTGCCTCACTGCCTGCTGCTTGGGGGATGTCAGTCTCAGAATTAGGTGGAGCTCATAGTGGCAACAAAAGAAGTTAACAAAAACATGTCAAGAATTCTCATCTCTTGCAAGATTAGATGATAGCTGCAAAGCAAGCAAAAGGGGAAAGCTTCAAGTTTGTCAGCCAAAAGCATGCTGATGGAGTAGGAATGTGGAAAGCTTAACAAAGATAAGGCAAGAAAAAAAAAAAAAAAAAAAGACCAGGGTGGTGTTGCCTAACAAGGAAAGAGACAGGAACAAGAATGTGGGAAAATATACTAACGCACGTATTGAGTGGCCTGAGCCCTCCAGGCCCCTCCAGGTTGAAGAGCACTGTTCCCCCATCCCATCCCATCTTCCCTCTGCCTGTCAGGAACCTTAGTTGAGACTTTAAAACATCTACAATAAAACCGAGAGACCCACAGTGGAAAAGTTCCACCTGCAAACAAGACCCCCACCCCTTCATGCCAAGAAAGGGAGTGGTAGGAACCTAGAAATTAAGATGAGGCTGGGCACAGTGGATTACGCCTGTAATCCCAGCACTTTGGGAGGCCGAGACGGGAGGATCACCTGAGGTCAGGAGTTCGAGAGAACCCTGGCCAACATGGCGAAACCCCGTCTCTACTAAAAATACAAAAATTAGCTGGGTGTGGTGGCGGGCACTTGTAATCCCAGCTACTCAGGAGGCTGAGGCAGGAGAATCACTTAAACCAGGGAGGCGGAGGTTGCAGTGAGCTGAGATCGCACCACTGCGCTCCAGCCTGGGCAACAAGAGTGAAACTCCGTCTAAAAATAAAATAAAATAAAAATGAAAAAAGAAAGAAATTGAGATGAGAACTGAGAGTGGGGAGGGGATTTTATCTGAAATAGACCCTAGAGTGAAGATGGAAGTATCCCACAAATTATGCAATTTAGGTCTCATTTTACAAATCAAGAGAGAAGGGGTTTTGTTCAAGATCACAGAGTTACTGGTGGACTCCGAGTCTTCCGACTCCTTCTATGACATGGCATTAGCTCTCCGGGACTGAGATGCCTAAGGAATAATGAGGCTAATGGAATTAGATAACCCATAACCCGATTTCTCATTTCTCAATGAGATCAGGAAAGGAAATATGAAGTTAGGATGTGCGTGACAAGAAGACAGGGCAGTTTGGAGGAGACCAAAGGTAGACAGAGATTTGTGCTGATATCTGTCAGGGAAGTGACTTCTGTCCAGGCTCTGGAAGTCTGCGGAGGTGAGCAGGAAGAGCTGAGCATTCCAGGCAGGTGTGCAGGGGAGGACTCAAAGATCAACAACAGGAGGCAAGACCAACCTGTTTAAAAATGGGGCAAAGAAATGGGCTATGGACTCATCCTAGGTCAAAGACTCTTGCCTCTCCAGTTTTATAAGGTTCCTGCTGTGTAGAAACACAAAAGACTGCCTAAATTGCGGTTCACCCCAGAGAGAGACTGCCTCACAGGCACTGATAATGCTGTTCACAACAAATACTGGGTTTAGGCTTCTATGAATGAGGCTTTGAAAAGTCTAGGAGACTTCACCAGAATCACCAGTTAAACTAGGTTTAACTACTGAAAAGAATGGATGTATGTTATTAGTTGGGTTTCTGGATACAAAACAAAGCTAATTAGAGCTACTTTTCATCCAAAAAAAGGGCAAAAAGGAAATTCACTATGAGTATACAAGCTCCCTTATGGAACCCTCAGCTTTCAGCAAGGGATGGCAACTGCCAGAAGTCTCCACTTGCTCTGTCCGCTCTGGTCTGGAGACGGCTTTATTCCTCTCTCTCTGCCTTCTGGCTGTCTCTGCCCAGCCCTCCACACTGGGCAGGAGGCAGTCACTCCCAGGGTCCCCAAATCCGCAGGTCACAGAGCAGCTGTAAGCAGATTCCAAATGGCAGGTCCTCAGGCCTAGCACCAAATACCTGGAAAAAAGCAGGTGCTCCGTCCAGCTAGGATCTGGGGTCTAACTCTGGCCTAGATGACTATCTCCAGGGAATGTTGTGCTGCAGTGAGACGGAGATGCGGGTTGTGCAAACAGTTTTCAGAAGAGAGGCGGTGGTAGAGCCCTAGGGCATCTACTGTATATTCATTTATGGAATTGAAGGCTTCTGGAACTTAAGATGGACCTTGGAGAGCCTCCAAGCCAAATCAGCCATTTTGTAAAGAATGAATCTGAGGCTCCAAGAAGGGAAATGCTGGCCTGAGCTTATAAAACTTGTAAATTTCAGAGCAAGGATTATTTGGAAGTCTTCCTGTTCCACCATTCATTCGTTCACCTCAAAATGACCTATGACTTGTCACCTTGCTGAAAATATGACTGAGTTCCAACCAGACAGGATCTGCACCTTCTTGGAGTGTACAGATGTGGGGGAAAGATCCTACAAATACATATAAAATTATAACCTTGATTAATGCCAAGAAAGCCAATTCCCACTTTGTTGTTTAGTGTCATCAGGCAGGTCAAATGAGTAGGTCCCAGCACTGGGCACTAAGAAAAAAGAGAAATTGCATCTAAAATAAACATTGACATTTTCTAATTTTGTCCATCAACACAACTTATGTAGATACAGTATGCCATTTTAGTTTGAAAACATCCACAACTGTGGTACAGTCCTCAAAGTATGTGATTGTTCACTAGCTAACAGCATTTTATCAATACATATGATATGGTTTGGCTATGTCCTCACCCAAATCTCATCTTGAATTGTAGCTCCCATAATTCCCACGTGTTGTGGGAGGGACCCAGTGGGAGATAATTGAATCATGGGGGTGGTTTCCCCCATACTGTTTTCACAATGGTGAATAAGTCTCATGAGATCCGATAGTTTCATAAAGGGAAACCCCTTTCACTTGGCTCTCATTTCTCTCTCTTGCCTGCTGCCACGTAAATTGCATTTTGCCTTCTGCCATGATTGTGAGGCCTTTCTAGCCACATGGAACTGTGAGTCCATTAAACCTCTTTTTCCTTATAAATTACCCAGTCTTGGGTATGTCTTTATCAGCAGCATAAAAATGAACTAATACAACATACATCTTTATTTTGTTTAATTGGCATTGGCTGAACATTTGAAAACAGTGGAGATACAATGTCAATTCAAAACATACTGACTTTTTCAAAGATTTTCACAGTGCAACCATCCTTGCGACTTCTTTTTCAGACATTTGTGATTCCTCAACCAAGATGTTGTCATCAAAAATGTAAAAGCCTATGAAAAATTAAAATGACTTTGGTTTGGCTAAGGCCTTCAGCTGGAAAAATATCATCACATGTCTTCACTTCTCTTGCATGTATGGAATTGTATATTTTGGAGATCTTTCTTTTCTTCTTTTTGACTAAAACTATGTCAATTTCAAAGGCTCCAGCTGCCTTTCTTCTGAAGGAAGTACTCCTGATTTTTGTGTGTCATTGTTCTCTTCTGTTATAATGTGGCTCCTTCTCTAAACCAGAGGCATTCCTCATCTTTTCTTCCATTCCATGAAACACAAACTAAACTGGAAAAAAAAAGTCCAAAATAGCATCCTCCTATTTTGGCAGTTTTATATGATTATAACATGCTAGAAATGTCACTATAATTATAGCAACAAATTATTTCAACAATCCTCACAAGTGATGCTATTTATAGACAATCAGAAATGTATATAGAGGATGAATCCACCCTAGCAGAAAAACCTGCTAATGGTTGTCTTGAGCCTGGGGCTGGGGCCACCTGGCACTGCGTGATTAAATGCGAAAACAAGGGTTTCCATGAGTCTTCATTCAAACACAGAACATGAGAAATGAAATAAATAAAGAAGGACATTTAAATGATTATAGCTTGGCATTTACTCTGCATTCCTAATGTGTTAGATACTATGTATAAAAAATTACAATCACGGCTTAACTGTCTTTCAAGATTTACAAGTGATTGTCATATCAGAGAGAGCAGCAGGTTCAGAAGAGGTGACTGTTAGGAGAGCAATGTTTAGGTCAGGGGAATAAATTAGGATATGTACATATCCCTTATCTGTGATCATTTGTAGACTATTAAGGCTGGGAAAATTACCATTAGTTGTTACATACCATGCTCACTTTCTTCATTTCATCTTGAGCAGAGGAAAAAGAGTTGGCTGGAATTGCTTGTTTGTTATTGGTTTTTCCATTTTTATTTTTAGCCTCTTTCTTTTTATGGTTTTTATATAGTTTTGCCTAACAAAGCTGTAAATTCAGGGATGAAATAAATTTCACAGTGACTCTTTAACCTCCACTGCTAGGATGCATTTGCAGAAACTTCAATTTAGCTCAGAGAATTCGGCTTGGGATGGATAGGGCTCAGAAAGGAGGGAAAATCATTTAACCAAAAGTAATCCCTCAGTAAATCAATTTGCTCCAAATTTCATCTATATTTTTTGCATACTGGTTAATGCTGCTGTCTCCCTGGGTCACTGAGTAGAGCTGACATCACTGTCATTCTGAGGGTAATGGGTCAGTAGTTTACCATCTCTGCCCAGGAGCCTGACCATGCCACTCTGGGACGCCTCCCAAGGATGTGTGAGCACCAGCTGCAGTAGCTGATAATGACAACCCTATGTTTGACTTTTTTTCGCTTACAAAAAAATATGTCCTAATTTCTTAACCTCTTTGTGAATGTCTGCCTTTGTGTCATTAAATGTTTACCTGCCATATTTTAGATTCAATCAAAAATTGCTTTTTTCCCCATCTGTGTTTTTCTGGTGTGCACTATTGCCTTGAGTCTGTAAGGCTACATTTGTCACTACTTGGCTGTCATTACACTGTGGGAGCATGCATACAGAGTGACACTTAAAGCAGGGCACAAAACTGACCTTCTAGCGGCCATTGCCTGCCATCCAGAAAGTGATCTGGGGACACACCTCATGGAGAAACGGCAAGGGTACAAAGGTTCCTCAAAGGCAGTAAACAAAGATTTCAGGAGTTCATTGCTGGTTGCTTCTGATCCATGTGAAGAATCAACCTAGAGAGGAAAAATAATAACAACAATTTAAAAAATCCCCAATAACATGTGTGCAGCAGGGACTGCAGCCGTGGCTCCATTTGGAATGAATAAACATGTGTTAATCGTTAGACTTTGAAACTGATCCCAGAGTATGTTGCATTATAGCTACAGACTTGCAAAATGAAGCATTGCACAGACAATAGCTATGCATGCCTAGGATGGCAACAAAGCCACCCCTCAGTGCAGAGCTCAGGATGGGCTGGGGAGGACAATGTGATGTCATGGGTCACATTTAAGAAAAAAAAAGGAGATGAATTTTCTTCCGAGGCAGCAAGATGTTCTCTGGCACGCAACCTACCGGCTTTGTAAAAGAGCTCCAGATGGATGCTGAGAATAAGATACTAAACACAGCAACAACATGCGAGTTGGACAGCTACCTGACAGCATGGGAAGAAGCCTGCAGAAAGGGTCCCTTCATTAAGCTAATAATACACCTGCTTATGTGGTTAACTGAAGCCAAGGGCTGGGGATAATTCTACAAAAAGAAAAAAAAAATTAGCTGCCATGGTAACCTGGACAACGACAGATCTTCTGGATGTGACAAGATTCCAGTCTGAATTACACAAAGTCACCATAAGCCCAGAAAGCAAAGTGGATTTAATTAGTTGGTTAAGTCTGCGGCACAGGAAGGAAGGCAACACTTGTCCTTTATTCTCTCTCCAAACTAACAACGCGTCACTAGCATGAGCGATCCTCGAAAAGGAGAATTTTTAGCTAAGCACATGATTGCAAAGTGATGCTTCACATGGGAAATCCCCAAATTTAAATTCCCTCAAAATTCCCCATCCAAATTAGCTGGGACCACTTGAAGGATGCATAGAGAAGAGGCTTCATTATATGTCACATCTGAACATCGAGGCTTCAGATGTTCCTCCCCACAGCCACAGAGGTCAAAATTGACACTTTCTAATTTTAGCAGTCAAGAGAACTTTAGCACGAGAACCTTCTTCGTCTTATTAATAAAAACATATTTGGTAAGTACACACGGCATTGTATTGAGTATTAAATAAAGCAAATTTTAACAGAGCAAATTCCCATAGACCAGGAATTTACTACCCAAGATAATATCCATGTGATCATAGACAGATATGGGGAAGCATATTAAAGGCACTGAAAACTTCTGAAATGAAAGGATTTATAGGGCTGTTGAGCATTGATTTTTTTCTATAATCCTCATTTTCGTGGACTCGACTGTGTTTTTTACTATTATCAACAGCTACTTTTTTATATTTTTCTGTAACCCCCATCTTTGACCACTCTTGGTCTCATTCCTAACTCCCCTTCACTGAGTCCTCTTCCTTTTCCTCTCTAAGGTTAGTGCAGGCATCTAAGCTCATCTTTCTCTAATTTACCATTTGATGTTCACATGTTTCCCAAAGACTTCTCATGTATTTAAAAATTGAATTCTTCTCTATTCATTCATTTCCCTAGCTTTATATCAATATTACCACCTTTCTTCTGGGGCTTCCAAGCTTGCAACTTCAGATTTGCTTTATCTCTGTGTGCCATTTCTAATCAGTCACTAAGTCTTTTTGGTTCTTCCTTCAGCTTTTCCTCCAACCCCACCCACCTATTTCATACCTGTCAATAACAAGGGGATTATAGCTCTGTCAACAGATCACAGTCTCTCGGGTCTTTATGCCTTGGAATACATGCTTTATTCAACATCACTGGGTAATAAGCAATTGAAACACAAAATAGTTGACAATAAGGGATATTGATTATCAAGACTCAGATAAACTTCATGGACCTCAAGACGGGAAGCAAAATCCAGCTCGCAAGAGTAGAGCTGAGAAAAGTGTCAGAAAGCAAGATGGCGTTTCTCCTTACCCAGGGGAGCCTTTCTTCTCTCGCTTTGCTTGGAAGCCCACGCTTTGTTTATTCATTAGCATGCAGATGACCACCAGGCATCAAGATCTCCCAGCTCCACTTCCGGTCACCACTGCTATGGCAACATGCCTGGATCTTTTGGTTCAAATTCTCCAGGGAAACAGTAGACAGGACCAACTCACCTGTTTAACCAAGACTACACATGCGCATGGCTGCTGGAGCACTGATCAGGGATGGCTGTGTAGCAGGGACCAGAGGCCCTCCTCAAGACTATCAGCTCAGGAAGTAGGAGAGTAAACATGGCTGCTGTTTTAAGAGCCTGTGAGTGGACATGGACTTTAAGGGGCCCCAGAGAAGACAGGGAATGCAACAATTCTTGTCGAAAGTGCTGTTTCCCAGAACACCCTTTCCCCACCCATCCACTCAGGACGTTCCTCCTACACATTCTTTGAAACTCAGAAAAGGTCATTCTTTTTATTCCACGTTTCACTCATTTTGCCCAGTGCTCCCAATGAAAACAATCACACCCTGTCTGTGCTGTCCCTCTTTCTTGAGGTCGTACCCATGACTGCATATAAATCACTAAACTGTAATTATTTATTTCCATGATAGTGTCTCCTACTGGACTGACAGTCCCCTAAGTTTAGGTTTTAAACTTTACTCATTTCAGTATTCTCAACATTAAACACAGTGTCTGGTAGTAAGTGCTTAACAAATGTTTTGTTGACTGAATTGCTTTTAATATGTTAATTGATTAATTAATATTTATGAGTGATGTCTCCCGAGTCTGCCCCTTGCTTTAGGGAATTAATTGTATGTAATTGAAAGGGCAGAAGTTGGAGTTAGAAGCAATGGATTAGAAGCATCCATAGAAATATGTATGAGTCTTTAAAAAAATAGTCCTTCGTGAAAAAAAAGTAAAGGAGGAAGATACATAATTAATATCACTTACATAAATTAACAATATATGCACACAAAATAATAATACTCATTTTTCAAGAACACATATAAAATAACAAATACACATCAAACACACTGAATTTTTTGGCTGTGAAAAGAGAGGAATGAAAACAGGGCATAGGAATTTTTTTAAAAGGATAAAAATAAATAAATAAAACTTCCAAAGGGGCCCTGCACACATCAAAGATGATAATGTGTCTTGAACTGAGGAAAATAATTAACTCAACCATCTGCTTTTGACCTAAAAATAAAGAATAAAGAAGGGGATGTACTTTAACATTATAAAGGTTTAGTTTTATACCCCAGCTCTTACTTGCTAGTGAATTGAGACTGGGAAAGTTACTTAAATCTCATCGTGCCTTAGTTTGCGTGTTTATAAAATTGAGATATTATTATCAACCTAATTGGGTTGTCTTAAAATTAAATTGGAAATAATACATAGAGCACACATCACATAGGAACACAAGAAATGTTCATATAAATGGATTCTTTCCAGGCGGATCACCTGAGGTCAGGAGTCCAAGACCAGCCTGGCCAACATGTTGAAACCCTGTCTCTACTAAAAAATACAAAAATTAGCTGGGTGTGGTGGTGGGCACCTGTAATCCCAGCTACTCGGGAGGCTGCGGCCAGAGAATCACTTGAACCTGGGAGGTGGAGGTTGCAGTAAGCCTAGATCGTGACACTGCACTCCAGCCTGGGTGACAGAGTGAGACTCCATCTCAAAAAAATAATAATAAATAAAATAAATAAATGGATTCCTTCACAGACCCCTTGCCTACATTTACCTATAGATCCTTCCAGTTCAAATATACTCACTAAATCCATCTTTCAAAGACACTGTGCCTTGCTCAAAGCCTTTCTATTGTTTCCTGCTTCCTGTGTTATGTATATTCCAATTTATTGGGAATTGAGTAGAGGTGGTGGTGACAAAGTAGGAGTTTAAGAAATGATGTGTTAAATCTTGTTATCTGTGAATTTGATCCAGTGGGGGCAGAGAGATGGCATAGGACGGGGAAGGACAGCCCCATACTGTAGGGTTAGACGATGGAGCTGGCTCCTGGAACACATTTCCTGCTTCTGTAATATGAGGAACGGCCTCAGCTGTCACCTGATGATCCACTGTTCAATGCTTAGTGATTCCAGGCCTTACCAACTTCCTTTCATAAACCTTTAGCTCTAGATATACCAATTTTGTTTTCATCTTCTCAGTAGGAGCCTTGAGATTTCCAAGTCTATGAAGATATTCTACATTTGGAATCTCGTGTCTTCTTGTCTCCTATTTTAATATTATTCATTCTTCAGGGACCAGCTAAAACCTCAACTTCTGAATAAACTTCCCTAGAGCACCCTGAGTTTTGTGTAATTTCTCCTTTCAAGATGGTCACACTGGCTGGGCACGGTGGCTTATGCCTGTAATCCTAGCATAAGGCATGGAGGATTCCTTGAGGACAGGAGTTGGAGACCAGCCTGAGCAACACAGCAAGATCCTGTCTCTGCTAACAATTAAAAAAAAAAAAAGCCGGGCGTGGTGGTGCATAACTGTGGTAGCAGTTACTCAGGAGATTGAGGTAGGAGGATCACTTGAGCCCAGGAGGTCAAGGCTGCAGTGAGTGGAGATCGCACCACTGCACTCCAGCCTAGGTAACAGAGTGAGATCCTTTCAAAAAAAAAAAAAAAAAAAGATGGTCACACTTATTTGTCATTGTCATTATATACCACCTTCTCATAAGACTGAGTCATCTACGCAATCTGAATTCTATCCATATGGAGTGTAGAATGCTTTATCTTTATGGTATTTTTCATTGTACCTGGACAGTGACATATATAGTAAACTCTCAAAAAATACTATTTAATGAAGAAGGTGGTTCAATAGTTTAAAATAATGTCATGTTCCGATGAGTTAATTGAGGACAAAAACTGCAACTTATTCAATCAGTCAAGAAAGCGTGGGTAGAGGAAATAACTATCATAACTATGAGTCAGCAAATCTGTGAGTCAAATTTGTTCTTTTGAATTTTTAGTTTCCCTCTGTCTTTTTCCTCATCCATAGAGGTTTATGTGTATATTACTTTGGGATAAGTCACAACCACAATATCGGCTTCAGTTTTGCCATTTGCGAAATGAAAGTGCTTGACTACAACTTTCTTCCATTGGAATCTTACATGGAAATTCAATCAATAACACATAGAAATGTAGCTGCTGCAATTGAAGTTGGGGAGGAGATAGGATCCCCATCTTCTCATCTGTGCCTCATTCTCCAGTCCCTTTGAAGCTGAGCTTGAAACCCCAGGATGAAATAGCCCCAAAGGCTCTCAGATGTCAGTTGCTGACTCTGTTCATGCAGGAAACTGAACACCCTCTTGCTTCTTTTGCACTACCTGTCCATTAGGCTGGCTTTCAGGGTGGCACAAATTACCTAGCAGGCCATTCAAAAAAGTAGGCACATCACTATCCTCCCATGTTTCTATAAAGATCAAATAAAATAACATAGGTCAAAGTGTTTACCTACAGTGAGTCTTACCAGAAAGGCATAATGGCATTATTCATATTCAGCTGTTAATTATTATATTACTACTTTGTGACACCATTTAGAGACAGTATCTTAGTTTCATGAAAGATGAGGAAACAGAGGCTCAAAGAAGTTAAATAAGTATCTCAAATCAGGCCAATCCGTAGTAACAGAACACAACAAATTGCAGACATTTGTTTTTACTCCAAAGTCCACGATGTTTTCAAAATACTGTGTGGCCTCAAGCTGACTTGGAAAAGACTGCCTTTGATAGAAGATGACTCTTGAGAAATACTCTTAAAGTAAACTTATAGGCCCTGCATCATGCTAACCTTGACTGACATCCCTGAAGAGCTTAGGGTAAATCCTGTTTGATTCTCAGAACAACCCTGAAACACAGGTGATGTTGAGGGTGATGGGATGAGAGCCTGTCCATGAGCTTGGGCTGCAATAAAATATGTCAGAGAGGAGCAAAGACCAAGCAGTGGGATTTACTGGTAGCCAGGGGTTACTGCTCCTGGTGTGGGTAAGCTCTATTCTGGGGCTATTTCTCTGGTTCCTGATCATCTTTCACTCTTGGTGACGGTTTGACACATTTCCATGCTTGGTTTCTAGGCACTCCCTTTTTAGAGATCTCAGACTAACACCTCTCATGGTACAGATAAGACCCACTCACAACACACGTCCACATATTTACTGACTACTTTCTGGTATTAAAGATGTACACTTGTTTTTTATTGTCAGCTCAGGGGCCATCAGTCGTGATGGTGGGCCGATGATGCCACCTACACTACTGAGATAAAGTAACTTATCTAAGATCATGCAGACAGTGACAAATTCAGTGTCCAAACCCCAAATCCGTGGCATGGTTTTTGGATGAAGCATGAAGAACTGGGCTGCGTGTTACTATATTGCCATCTGATCCCATTAGTGGCATATGGGTTGTGTAAAATTCAGTATTTTCTTCCCCAGGAAGCTATTTGATTCTCATATAACCAAACACTGAAAACATTATGTTTCATGTCCTCACAATGTGTACTGTGATGGAAATGGAGCATGAGAGCTTGTTCTGTTTTAAGAAATTTCTCCATGAGGGGTGGAAGTGAGCAGGAGTTACCTTTTCCAGGTTGAGCATCCCAAATCCAAAACTCTGAAATCCACAATGCTTCTAAATTCAAAACTTTTTGAGCATAGACATGCTACTTAAAGGAAATGCTTATTGGAGCATTTTTTATTTCAAATTTTCAAATTTGGGGTGCTACATATATCCAAATATTCCAAAATCCCTAAAAATCCAAGACTGAAACACTTCTGGTCCCAAGATTTTGGATAAGGGATACTCAACCTGTATTCGTCTTTTTGACCCTTCTGTTTCTTTTCTTTTGCAAGTTCTTTTTAAACAATCATGACCAAGAAATTAGCTTTTTTTTTTTTAATTTTATTTTTCTTCTCTCCTCTGTGTCCATAGCTCCCTGTGGACTCCTAAGTACATCCATTCAAAGAAAAGAACGCCAGAGACTTAGAGAGGGCTGGCTTTGGGGAAGGCCTTCAAAACACGCCTTCTCATAGGTGCCCAGAGATTCATTAACCTTGCTTCTAAAAACTGCTGGGACTAGAATTTAAACCCAGAGCAGAAAGTCCAAAACCTTTGATTACAATTTCTGGCCTACTTCCAGTAAATCTGGGTCTTCCATCTAAGGTTTCATTCTTGGCCTCAACACTTCACAGAAAGATACGTTTTAATATAATTCACAAAAGCCAGCT
Organism: Homo sapiens; assembly: GCF_000001405.40. NCBI lineage: Eukaryota > Metazoa > Chordata > Mammalia > Primates > Hominidae > Homo > Homo sapiens. The sequence continues at coordinate 33,375,169 of NC_000010.11, read as the reverse complement.
ATATTTGATAAATTATTAATAAAAATTAAATTAACTTCAACAAAATTTGAACCCAATATCATTAGGTGATTTCCATTTAGAATTTCTATTAATTACTCTGATTTAGTCTAAAATAAATACAAAATATACTTAACAATTCAACACATTTTAAATCTTGCATTTTAATTTCATAGGAGAAACAGGGAATGAAGAAAGAAATAAAATTATTACAATTCGAAATATACAAAACTGTTCAACCCTCGTTTGTTTTATTTGAAAAAAGAAAAGAAAAAAAACCTTGGTTTTCAATTTATTCAAATCAGTGTAGGCACTGCAAATAAAATTTTAGAATGTAGACAGAAGGTCTGTGAAGCATAAATTATAGGTGTTTTCCCAACTGGTTTGTGTGACGGATTTGCTAGATCATAAAAGTTTAATTCACTAGAACTTGGTTCTTCTGAAAAATAAACTAACTGGGCTTGAAAAATCGCATTCATTCATTTAAGGAATTTATATTGCTGTCCACAACACTTGGCAACATGGAAGACAGAGAGAGAGACAGAGAACAATTTCTGACATTAACAGGTACATAGCCTAGAAAGTTGGTTGCAATTACTTGAAGAAAAGGAAGAAAAGTACAGAAACATACATTTGCTATGCTGGAAATCTCAGGAAATCTCGTTTTGGTAAACATGGATTACATGTTGAATTCCCTTGCCCCATTTTGGTTGTCTGTAGCTTGCTTATAAAAAAAAAAAATTGTCCAGTGTTTAAGCATGAGTGAACATACAATGATGAATAACCCATAATCCTTGTCCTCAAGGAATTGCTGATCTTATAATCACTGATAACTAAGTGGTTTTTAATAAGAAGGGAAATCTCCTCTCCCCCAAAACAAGAATAGATAGTTTTGAATAAAATAATTAGAGAGACAAAAGAACCAAATAGTTGGAATTTGTAGAAAGGGGATTATGTTAAGATTGACAACTGACTTTTCAGTGACAAGCTCAACATAGAAGAAAAACAGACTTCAGGGAGCAAATTTGAATTTCTGGGCCAAAAACCGGTTGTGGTTTGGGAAGATAATGCAGACCCAAAGAAATCTGTGAGAATGGCCTCTCTATCTACACAAAGCTGGATACTTGTCTACACTGGATACTTAAATGTTTCTTTTTCCTTTTTGTTATTTATTTATTTATTTATTTATTTTTTGAGATGGAGTCTTGCTCTATTACCCAGGCTGGAGTGCAGTGGTACCATCTTAGCTCACTGCAGTGTTTGCCTCTCAGGTTCAAGTGATTCTCCTGGCTCAGCCTTCCAAGCAGCTGCGACTACAGGTGTGAACCACCACGCCCAGCTACTTTTTGTATTTTTAGTAGACATAGGGTTTCACCATGTAGGACAGGCTGGTCTTGAACTCCTGACCTCAAGTGATCTGCCCGCCTCAGCCTCCCAAAGTGCTGTGAGTCATTGCGCCCAGCCTGTTAGGGAGGAATTGGGACTGCCTTCTACCTATAGTAAGTGGTGACCCCTGGCCCAAAAAAGAGTTTCAAAGGTGGAAGATTGAATGTCAGAAGCAGAAACTGCAGGATGCACACCCTGCACACCCCGCACACCTCCTCCTGCCTCCCACTTCAAGTCCCATGACCTTCGCCCTACCTCTCAGCACCAAAAGCAGCAAAGCTAGGCCACCAGAAGGGCTACATCATCATCAACAGTAATTTAGACCCTTAGCAACAACCAATTTAGACCTTAATGACTCTCATTCTGCACTTTTTCACTCTGCAGAATATAGATAAAATAACAAGCACATCAGAAATGAGGTAAGTGAGAAACTGAAATTGTAAACTTGGACTTGAAGTCTGTACTTCAGTGCAACTTTTAAACTTCAGTCTTAGAGATTGTCTGTTCATAATATGAAACTAAGACTCAAGTAAACCTTTTAAAAATCTGGATCAGCCTGTAATCCCAGCACTTTGGGAGGCCAAGGCGGGCAGATCATGAGGTCAGGAAATCAAGACCATCCCGGCCAACATGGTGAAACCTCGTTTCCATTAAGATACAAAAATTAGCCAGGCATGGTGGTGTGTGCCTGTAATCCCAGCTACTTGGGAGGCTGAGGCAGAATTGCTTGAACACGGGAGACAGTGGTTGCAGTGAGCTGAGATCGTGCCACTACACTCCAGCCTGAGCAACAGAGCAAGACTCTGTCTCAAAAAAAAAAAAAGAAAAAAATCTGGATTAAAAAAAACCTTTTTTTGTGTTCAGTAGAATTGGCAGATTTGAAACAGAATCTATGACAGTATCTACCTGAAAACCCTTGAATTACTTGAAAAAAGAATCTCACAGAACCACGGAAACTCAAGTTGGCGAGAACTTGGAGAGTAATCTCCAAAACCAAGGAATAGATTTTCCGGGGAATTCTCTACTTGGAAGTACCTAAGGTATTGGCAATTCTGTACTGGAAGCTACTAGGGTTTGGATGTTTGTCTCCTCCAAAACTGATGTTGAAACTTAATCCCCAATGTGTCAGTATTGAGAGGTGGGGCCTTCAAGAGATGATTGGATCATGAGGGCTCTTCCCTCTTGAATGGATTAATCCAGTCGTGGATTCACGGTTATCATGGGAGGGGAACTGGTGGCTTTATAGGAAGAGGAAGAGAGACCTGAGCTAGCCCATCAACACGCTTAGCCCCCTTGCCATGCTATACCTTGAGCTGACGTGGACCCTACCATGAAGAAGGCTCTCACCAGATGCAGCTCCTCAACCCTGGACTCTTGGCCTCCATAACTGTAAGAAATACCTTCCTTTTCTTGTAAATTACCGACTTTCAGGTATTCTGTTATAAGCTACAGAAAATGGGCTAACACAGAGACTAAGGACTACTTATCCTTCAATATTCCTCCCACATCATCCTTGACAAAGTCTGCCTATGTGAGAAGCTATGCTACTCACATTTCTGAAACTAATTGGTAAATAAGACTATATGCTTGCCTCCAAAAACAGGACAAAGTAATTTTGACAACTACAACAAAATAATTTGAACTAGGAAACACATAAGGGAATCTTGCCATTCAAAGCAGTAAAACGAGGCCAGGTATGGTGGCTCATGCCTGTAATTCCAGCACTTTGGGAGGCTGAGGCGGGTGGATCACCTGAGGTCAGGAGTTTGAGACCAGCCTGGCCAACATGGCAAAACTCCATCTCTACTAGAAATACAAAAGTTAGCCAGGCATGGTGGCAGGTGTCTATAATCCCAGCTACTCAGGAGTCTGAGGCAAGAGAATCTCTTGAACCTGGGGGAGCAGAGGTTCCAGTAAGCCGAGATTGTGCCACTTCATTCCTGGCTGGGCAAAACAGTGAAACTCCATCTCAAAAATAAATAAATAAATAAAATCAGCAGTAAAAAGAGTTAGGGAAAGGAAGACTTCTCATTCCCGCAATTTTTTTCTCAAAAACTCGAACTTCTAGAAGGACCTGTTCATTTTTTCATTTTTCAAAGTCCTTTTCCATTGATGCCCTCATCTCCTTAGATAAAGCCAAACATGGAATTATTTTTAAGTCATAACTTTTAAAGAGAAATAAAATTTGAAGGGTAGTATACACAAAAATCCATCCTGCATTTCATAAATTATAAACCTGAGGCATAAGGAACTTAATGACTTGCTGAAGGTCGTATAGTGAATATATCAAAAAACCAGGGCCCTATCTTCTAGGAAGATTAGAGTCAGATAAGCGTTGACTCTAGGGACAAAACAATAATGAGGTAATGTTTATAAAGCACTTAGCTACAAACCTGGAATATAGTAAACACCTAATAAAGGTCATCATAATATGTTTCTGTCTTCAGCAATCTCTGGATGATAAGTATGATGAAGGAAATAGGTGGGGAAGGACGTGCTGAGTAATGAAGAACTGCTAATTTCATACAAGGGGAATCCTATTTAAATTCGTAGTAACCATACCTCCTGCCCCCTTGACATAGACTCCTTTTAGCCTGGCTCTTTGATTTAAGATAAATTTCAGCCTATTTCTTTTGCCTTCTCTACCTCTCTGAACACTAAATTTTGAGTGCCCATTAACATTAAAAATACCAGCCTGATACACATCAATTTGGATTGGAAAATAAAGAAAGCTTAAAAACAACAACCAAAAATACCAGCAGTGTACTCAATAAAGTGGGAAATGAATGACAGGACTACAAAAATTTACTTCAACAGACTTCAGAGAATGTAACTTAATTTTTGTCAAATGCAAAAGGCATATTTTCAAGCTTCAACAAGGAAACCTAAATATTCAAAATGCCTAAACTTTGTTGAAGATTCATTCAACAAATGCTCACAGATCTTTCATTTGTCTGGGTAGACCTCTTGATGGTAAAATCTATCCAAACTAGCTATGGTCCTTCTATGATTTGGATCTGGTTTGTATGACTCAGCCAAGTCTCAAGTTGAAATATGATCCCCAGTGTTGGAGGTAGGGCCTGGTGAGAGGTGTTTGGACCCTGGGGTAGATCTATTCATGGCCAAGGCTAAGGGGTGCCAGCATGTGCAGATCATATGGGCAACAGAGGAAACAAGAGAGGGGAGGGAGGTGCCCTGCTCTTTTTAACAACCAGTTCACATGCTGGTTCCCCTTCCCCTTCCGCCATGAGTGGAAGCAGCCTGAAACCCTTACCAGATGCACATGCTGGCTCCATGCTTCTTACACAGCTTGTAGAACGGTTAGCAAAATAAACCTCTATTCTTTATAAATTATGCAGCCTTAGGTATTCCTTTATAACAACACAAAAGGACTAAGACAGGTCCCTGCAACTGTATTTTCAAAGAAGCAATTCCACCAAACCTAAAATGGCTTGACTGTGTTCCCACCCAAATCTCATCTTGAATTGTAGTTCCCATAATTCCCAAATGTCGTCTTGAATTGTAGCTCCCATAATTCCCAAATGTCATGGGTGGGACCAGGTGGAGGTAACTGAATCATGAGGGCAGTTTCCCCCATGCTGTTTTCATGATAATGAGCAAGTCTCACAAGATCTGATGGTTTTATAAGCATCTGGCATTTCTCCTGCTGGCACTCATTTTCTCTCTATTCCCGCCCTGTGAAGGGGTGCCTTCACCGTAATTGTAAGTTCCCTGAGGCTCTCCAGCTATGTGGAACTGTGAGTAAATTAAACTCTTTTCTTTATAAACTACCCAGTCTCAGGTATTTATTCAAAACAGGGTGAGAACAGACTAATACAAAACCCTTCTGCCGGTGCCTCATTCCTCTATCTTATTCTCTTGAGTGTTTATCGAATGTGATCCTCCCTCCACAAAAAAATTAGAGTCAGAGTATCTAAATAACTTTCTCCGAAATCTTAAAGCATTTGACATTTATCAGCAAACTAATTTCACCTGTAGGATGAAACTAATAAAGTGCAGTACCTCCCCCCTCCCGGCCCCGCCCCTGCTTTCACCATGTGAACTGCCTGCCACCACTTCGCCTTCTGCCATGAATAAAAGTTTCTTGAGGCCTCCCCAGAAGCAGATGCTGGCACCATGCTTCCTGTACAGTCTGCAGAACCATAAGTCAATTAAGCCTGTTTTCTTATAAATTATCCAGTCCCAGTATTCCTTTAAAGCAATGCAAAAATGGCCTAATAAATGTCTTTTTTTTTTTTTTTTGAGATGGAGTCCCACTCTGTTGCCCAGACTGGAGTGCAATAGTGCTATCTCAGCTCACTGCAAGCTCCGCCTCCCAGGTTCATGCCATTCTCCTGCCTCAGCCTCCCGAGTGGCTGAGACTACAGGCGCCCACCACTGTGCCTGGCTAATTTTTTGTAATTTTAGTAGAGACGCGGTTTCACCGTGTTAGCCAGGATGGTCTCGATCTCCTGACCTCATGATCTGCCCACCTCAGCCTCCCAAAGTGCTGGGATTACAGAAAGTGTTTTTTAAAAAAAGAAATTCCTTCATTTTCCCAGATCCCAATTTCTTTGTCTATAAAATGATGGGATTATGTCAGTTGCTGGATTTTCAGCTTTAGAATTTTGTGAGGCAATGTCATTGATTTCATTTTCTAAATATGTCCGCTATCTTCTATGTTGCATTCTACCCTGACCCAGCCAATGCGATCTCTCTCGTAATAGAAACACCACTCACCAAGGTGGTCAGACAATAACCTAGAAGGCATCCTTCATGCCTTTCTCTCATAACCCACATTCAATCCATTTTAAGTACCGTGAGCCCTGATTTCAAAACATATGCTGAGTTTGTCTCTTTCTCACCATCTGCGCTGTTATAATTGCATTCCAAGCCACCTCACTCTCTCTTTTCTCCTAACTTCTTTTCCTGCTTCCACTTTTGCTCTTATAAGGTTTATTCTCTACACAGAAGCCAGAGTGATCCTTTTAAAACATAAATCAAATTCTTCCCTTTTCTACAACGAGCATGTGCAGGTTTCCTTCCATCTTAGAACACCTTGTGAAGTCCTTACCGTGGTCTGCAAGAGCCTACAAGGTTCCACCACTATGATAACATTCTCCCTTGGCTTACTGCCCTCCAGCCACACTGGCTCCCTGTTGTTCCCACTCAGGGCATTTGCACATGCTAACCCTCTGGCTGGAACACTCTCTTGGTACCTCCACTTGACCCCCTACCCTACTTCACAGGTCTCTGTTTCAATGTTCTCTCCTCAAAGAGAGTCATCTTGATCTCCTTATCTAAAATAACTGCCCCATCACTCTCCGTTGATTCCCTCATTCTTTAGTTTGCTTCCTGCCTCTTATTACCAATGTGTTAGATTGTTTCTCTACTGGTCGGTAATGAATCATGCATTCTCATATCCATGCCCCTAGCTTTGTGACTTTCTCTGGCCTGTGGGGCATTAGCAAACATGACACACACAGAAACTCAATAAGCACTTGCTCTTTGGTACTTGTTCCCATGGAACCCTAAGACCACCCAGAGACAAAACATGATGTGGTCAGAAGGGCCTGGCCACCCAGTGCGCCCAGCCAAGCCCAGCCAAGCCCAGCCACCAGCTGACCTTCCGGTTCAAAGGAGCCACAAGTGTGAGTCCAGGTGAGGGCAGCAAATGACCCACCCTCTTGCCCACAAAATAGTGGGAAATCATGAACAACTCTTGCTTTAAGATACTTAGTTTGAGGGGTTTTTTCAACAAACTAAAATATAACCAATGCAGCTCTCATGGCTTATTATGTTTTCTTATTGTTATATTATTATTCTTATTCCATTGAAATGTAAACTCCATGAGTAAAGGGGCTTGGTTTGTCATTATTGTTAATTCCACCACATAGAACAACTCATTGAGTATATATTCAATGGTGTTGAGGATACTCTTAATAAATATGTATCAACTTAATGACTGTATGGATGAATGAATGAGCAATTTCATAGTTTACAGACAAATATGCTACTTAGCCAAAGCAAACTTTCTCAGGACCATTCTGTATTTTTAGGTTATAAGAAGAGGCATAAAGGTGGCATTTCAGGTTGTTTCTCATAATTCACCCTGTTTGAAAATGGAAGTTTTCCTCCCAAAATCATTTGAAACCTGTAATTTAAACCTCCCAACCTCAGTCCTGATATTTGCACTACACTCTGCTGTCCATCAGTGACTCCTGTAGGAGAAGTCACTTCAAAGTGTGTGGCTGTCAATAGCTGGTTAACACCAAAGTGCAACAAGCACTTTGCCAGAAAACTCTTCACCATTCATCCTAAGTGATGGAGAAGTACCAGAGAGAATAGGAAAGGTATCTGACAAGATGAACCTAACCTGAACAAGTGCAGGGCAATTTGAAATGTCTTACAATGTTTCTGTTCCTTTACACAGTAGGTGCCCATGGCCCAAACCACTGCAGTGCCTACCCCATCTTTCTGTTAAATCTGAATCCCTGTGAGCTTGTGATGCATGAGCTGAATGTTTGGCTGACTACTTTATTGATTTTTAAATGTACCCATCGCTGAGCCTTCAGATCCATGTACAAAGAACGATACACCTTTTAAGTAACAGTTATTTTCTGGAGGGTATAATTATAGTTATAAAACTGCCATTCCTCCCACCATGTTAGAAAAAATGTCTCCCTGCTCACCAGCAGCCTCTGGCCCTGATGAATGAAGAAGGACCTGTACATGAGGAAGCTCAATAAATTCTATGGGTGACAGAGGAATGCAGAGCAAGAGGCCAGATCTAACATCCCGTCCCCTGCATGGTACACTGGCTCTGCTTCTTCCCAGTCAGACCAAGACTGGGAAACCAAATTGACAAATGAGGCACCAAAAAATAAAACCTTAAATGGAGCCACAAAGCCAGTTGAATATAAGCAGACATTAGACTGCAGAGATCAAGTTGTCTAGGGCCATTAGCCTTAGGGACAGCCTGGTGTCACAGAAGGCAGACAGACCTATGAACTGGGTGCTGGCCTGCTTGGGACTGTATCCCACTGGTTTCATAGCCTGGAGTCTCTTCAGCTGTCTGGAATGCAGTGTTTTTATCTGCAAAATGAGAAAATTGTACTAGATGAGCTCTAAGGCCCTTTTAGGCTTAGAATGTTATGGACCTAAATCAGCAATATCAAAAACATGCTGTTTTACCCTATCTCAAGAGGTGAGCCATGAAATCAGTATTTTTAGCAATTGCTAAGCGTAAATTAATAACCCTACAAAGCAAATTGTTTTTATAAAACTGCCTCCTTGATGTTGCATTATATTTGTCTCTAAAGCAAACAATATGAATTGATTTATTCTGCAAGTATGTATTGAATGCTACTGTTAGAGAAGCAGCAAGTTCATATGCCCACTGTGCAGTAAGAGACCAATACAATGAGACAGCAGGACTTGCAGCAGAGAAAGAGTTCAATGATCACAAGGCAGCAGAGTGAGGAGATGGGAGGAGCCCCTTCAAAACCATCTCCCCTAGGAATTCTGGGCTGGAGTTTTTAAGGGAGACATGGAGGGTGAGGGGCTGGAAAATTGGGGTTGTTCATTTTTCAGGGTAAGGGGGATGAAATCATCAGGATGTGGAAACTGTATTCTTTGGTGAATCACCTCCTGTGGGGTTCTTCAGACCAGCTGAGTCACTAGTAGTTTTATTGGTATGCAGGAACTGAGAGAATATCTCAAAGGGAAAACAATTCTTTGTAATGTTCAAGTTATCTGTAGATCAGTAAAGGGGAACTTTTATCTTGTAACAGGGTCTACATGATTCTGAGGCAACAGGCAGCAAACCACTATGAGGAAGCAGGCTGACCTCATGACTAATGCAGAGTGTGCTTCAAGCTTGGCTTATTTTTATTTCTCCCCCTTCCTTCTCCCCTGATTAACTCTACAGTTTATACACTTTATAGTTTTCATCAGGGGAGAAGGAAGGGGGATGGTTTCACTACTGTATGTTGGATTGTCTAGCACAGAGGACAAGATAGATGAGGACTCTGCCCCCAATACCCCATGGAAGGCTGTGGACATGTTATAAAGGATCTTCCATTCCAGGCCAAAGAGTCTGGATCTGAATCTATAGGGAATGAGTTCCTGAAGACTTTAAAGGAAGGAGTTACAGGTCACTGTGGTTCAAAGTGGGATTATTCTGGCAGCAGAGCTTCTGAAAGGGGAAGGAGCAGGAGTTAGAGAGGCCAACAAGAAGGCTGCTCTCATACTGTGAGTAAAAAATGATGGGGCCTCTCTGCTTCTGCTACTGACGTCTAACTGTTGTAACAAATAGACCCAACCATGTCATAGCTCAACACAAGAGGCATTGCTCTGGGCAGTCACTCAGGACTGTGGGGTAGCTGTCCTCTGGCATGTTCACTCAGAGACCCAGGCTCTGCCATGTGCAGTTCCACCTCCCACAGGGCCTTGTAACTGGCAACATTCAGCCAGTAGAAGATGAAATGGCAGGAAGAATGTGAATGGCAGGTTCCTAGGGGCCAAGCCTGCAAGGGGCATGTGCCATTTTATTTATCTTTCCATTGGCATGGCCAGGTAGATACCAGGGAGCCTTAGAAAACCATGTCCTCTCTCAAGTGCCCAGGATGACAAGGACAATGGATTGTGGATAACTTTTGGAAGTTTCTTCTATAAGACATGAGCAAAGAGAAACTGGCTGGAAGGATGAAGATGCGGGGATGAAATGAGGAGATCCTTTCTGCAGTATGATCACAGGATATGGTGACAATTTGGAAGGAAGCTAGAAAATGAAAGGGAGAGGCTTGGTGATGACCCAGAAGTTTCTAGCTTGGAAAATTGAAATGAAAAATATTGCAAATAAGATGTAATCTTTTTAGGAGGGCAATATGGTGTTATCCATCAAAATTTCAAATGGAGCATACCTTTCACACAAACATTCTACTTTAAGAACTTATCCTACGGAAAAATTAACACAATCTATATGCAAAGACATTCACTGAGTATTACTTGAATTAGCCAAAAAAAGGAAAATTATGTAAATGTCCACAAAGAGGATGAGTTAAAATAAATTATAGGCATATAAGTATGCAACTATTAAAAATAGCAAGATTAATCTATATGTATTGATATAAAAAGATGTCTGAATTGCACTGTCACATTTAAAAAGCAAGTTGCAGAATGACATATACAACTGTGTTTTGGGATAAAAATATATGTATGTATATTCATTGAAGAAAAACTCTAAGAATATACCAAAACCATTAGTGTTTATTTTGAGAGTGGTATATTGTTTAAATGTATTTTTTCTACAGACTGCCTGTTTACACTTGCATAATAAAAAACATATATAATTTTGGTTTTCAAAGTTATTATTATCATTTTATAGATTAGATAAAGCCATGCATGCATAGGCTTAAAGGAAGGAGCAGGAGGTGAGTTCCGGGTATGTATGTGTGCACGTGTGGATATGTGTGCTGTTGTTTTTGTTGTTCCTCCAAAGCACTTTGTAACATCAGCAGTTTTCTTATTTTAGAATAGAGAAAACAGAGGCTCAAAGAAACTAATGGCTTCCTGAAGATCACACACATCTGAAGGATCTTTACTCAGGCTTTATGTAAAAGATTGTCAAGCCCTTCTCTGCCGGGGCTCTATTCTACACAAGCCCCCAGCAGGCAGACATGAGTGGTGGCCTGATGGGCCCACAGGGGTGAGCAGAGAGAGCAGACAGACAAAGGCAATGAGCAAAATAACATGGGATATGCCTTTTATTGGAAGAACAAGTGAAATGCCAACTAAAATAACCCTTTTGTCTATTTTCACCTTGCCCAATTCCTCCTATTTCTCTTTCCTCTTCTTGCTCCTTCCCTCTTTTTGGATTCTGCCACTTTTCTTTTCTTTCCTCTCTCTACTAAAAAGAAAAAAAAACTGAGGTGAGGAGACAGGGGAGGAAAAAGGGAGATACAAATCTTTCCATTGTTTTCTGTATTGTCCAAATGTAGCCATAGGGCTTTTCGTTTGTTTGCATTGTATATGTTTTTATTTTAGTTTGTAATCATAGGCACTTGAAAGACACGGGCAGTGCAATTTGGGGTATTTGGTATTCTGCCTTCTACAGGGAAACAGTCCTATCCATAAACCTCTATTATTAACCTCTTGATCATAGGTACCATTGAAGAAATAAGTGGCAATTGTTGATTTGCTAAAATTATACTTTGATCTTAGCAATTAAGTTCTGTGTGTCTATCCTTTCTTAATCGATCTAGTCATCTTGGTCAAATGAGTTCCATGAAACAAATAACAAGGGCATACATTTAGTTTTAAATTCTTTGTGTTGTTTTTGATGAATCATAAATGAATGTATAGTAAAGATTATAAAAGAGATTTTATCTGTAAGGTATTTCATAGTGAACCTAACCATCACACATACTTGTATGAGCTCACAGAAGCCTATTTCCACATAATAAGACACTCCATAATCTACACTTGAAATCTGATGGTTAGCTTTACAGTCACTACATACAGAGAGACAGAGAAAGAGAGAGAGAGAAACTTGGCTTGGCAAATATCACTAATAGCCAATACTGTTGCAACTTCATCTCTATTGCTTTACTCTTAAAAATGATAAGCAGAAGAGGGGTTCTTGCATTTAATGTAACAATGCAATTGTTATTGTACAGATAATCCTAAAATGCAGATGGTGATATCTAAATAAAGTTAGTAACAGTTACTGAAAATAGTTTGTTATATTCTTTTTTAATAAATGAAAATAATAAGCTTCACCATGCAGATTTGCTTTGAATATAACAATTCAGACAACTTCAAAGTTATTGCAGTGTATTCAGATGACAACAAAAGGTGTAATATTTTTATTTGTAATAAAAATTCACATAAGACGCTTTTCAAAAAATACAATTGTGTGTGAATGTCTTAAATTGTTATCATTTCTAGAAATCTTCTTCAGCTTTCTCTGCTCTCAAGAAAACCAAATAAATTAGATGAGACTGAGCATTAATTGGTTGCCAAGATTCATTTTTGTCAAAATCATTTTGGAGTTGTAGATGTTCATAAGAAGACTAATTGCAAAGTGGTTTAAATTATTTTTATTACAATTTAATTGTTCCAAACAATTTTCCCTTAGGATTATTTTTTCGAAGTCATTTGTTTCACTTTATCAAATGACCTTTTAAGAAGTTCTATAATCTGCATACGTTGTCAAGACAAAATAGAAAATATGCAGATACACCGGCACTGCCAGTTTCTTTTCTTCTCTTCTTTCTTCTCTCTTCTCTCTTTCTTTCTGAAAGCCATGTATCTTCTTATTAAAATAATTCAAACAAGAAAGACACATATAAGTAAAAATCAAAAAGCCCTGCCTAAATTTAATCAGCCTAATTTAGCTTTTGTGAAAAGTGAAAATATTTTAAAATAGTATACTCAATATTTGATATGAAAAAGAATATGAAAACATTCAAACAGATGCTGTTTATAATATTGTATTAGTCCATTCTCACATCACTGTAAAGAAATACCCGAGATGGGGTAATTTATAAAGAAAAGAGGTTTAATTAGCTCATGGTTCTGCAGACTGTGCAAGAAGCACAGCAGCTTCTGCTTTTGGGGAGGCCTCAGGAAGCTTACAATCATGGCGGATGGTGAAGGGGAAGCAGGCATGTCTTACGTGGCTGGAGCAGGAAGCCTAGAGAAAAGGGAGGTGCTACACACATTTAAACAACCAGGTCACATGAAAACTCACTCATTATCATGAGAAGAGCACTGAGGGGATGGTGCTGACCCATTCATAATTAACCAGCACCATGATCCAATCACCCCCCACCAGGCCCCACCTCCAAAATTGGGGATTACAATTCAACATGAGATTTGGTAGGGACACAGATCCAAACCATATCAAATATTAATATATCATCTAGAATATATAATAAAAATATAATACGAATATATCTATATCTTTGTTTCTTTTTCACAAATCTGAATTTTCAATTAAGTGTTGCATTTTGTCTTTAAAGTTTTTTGTATGGGAATCTTTGAAAACCCTAAAAGTTGTTTCTTTCCAGGAGTACAATCTTGTACATTTTCCTTTCTGTGTGCTGACCGATACCAAAGTGTGTCAGTCATCAAAATACATACAGATACATACAACCTAGTATATTTGCATTTGCCTAATATGAAAGTTACATTATTTGACATCTGAGTCCACAAGATAGAGAGGAAGCTTGGAGACTGACAGTCTGACTGATGGTCCCCTTTCTATTCATACATTGAGCAAGTTTCCATGGGGTCGATATGAAGATTTGGACTGTCTGCCCTTCCAGTCTTGCGACGACACAAGAAAAGTAATAAAGGTGGAAAACAGAATGGGATTCATCTACAAATGATCAAACAAACACAACATTATTTAACGGCTAAAAGCTGGGTGTATTTAATATGTAATTTACTCTCAATAATAATGTCAGTCTCATCTATATGTACTTATCTATATGATGGTACTTGGAGATGGGGCATTTGGGAGGTAATCAGGTCACAGGGTGCAGGCTGCATGATGGGATTAGTGACCTTATAAGAAGAGATAAGAAAGAGCTTGCTTTCTCTCTCTTCTCCCTCTACCGGGTAAAGTACACAATGAGAAGATGGCAGTCTGCAAACCAGGAAGAGGGTCTTCAACAAGAACCCCAACCATGCTGCCACCCTGATCTCACAGTTCCAGCCTCCAGAACTGTGAAAAATAAGTATTTGTTGTTTAAGCTACCCTGCCTATGGAATTTATTGTATCAACACAAGCTGACTAAGACACATGCATTAATATGTGGCCATGGGGTGAATATGGAAAAAACCAAGAAGTGGAAACATACACAGATTAAAGAGTTTTGTTATGGATTGAATTGTGTACCCCTCAAATTCACATGTTGATGCTCTAACCCATGATGCGACTTTATTTGGAGACAGGGCCTTTAGGGAGATAATTAAGGTTAAATGATGCCGGGCCCAGTGGCTCACACCTGTTATCCCAGCACTTTGGGAGGCCAAGGCAAGCAGATCACCTAAGGTCAGGAGGTCCAGACCAGCCTGGCCAATATGATGAAACACCATCTCTACTAAAAACACAAAAATTAGCCAGGTATGGTGATGCACACCCACAATCCCAGCTACTAAGTAGGTTGAGGCAGGAGAATTGCTTGAACCTGGAAGGTGGAAGTGGCAGTGAGCCGAGATTGTGCCACTGCACTCCAGCCTGGGCGAGAGAGAGACTCCGACTCAAAAAAAAAAAAAGAAGATTAAATGAGGTCTTAAGGGTGGGGCCCTAACATATCCTTATAAGAAGAGGAAAGGACATTGGCTATCTCTCTCATCTGGACCCTCACATGTGAGGCCATGTGAGGACTCAGCAAGAAGGCTTCAGTCTACAAGACAGCAAGTGAGGCCTTGCTAGACACAAACCCTTAATCTTAGCCTTCTAGTCCTCAGAATGGAGAGAAAATAAATGTATGTTATTTCAGCCACCCAGCCTATGATATTTTGTTACAGTTGCCTGAGTAAACCCATTTTAATACGGGTTTAAAATGTGTGTTCATCCATTTGCTAATGAAAGGTGAATGGAAAAGGAAAGATGGAAGATATAGGAGAGGTGCAATAACTGGTGGAACAACGTACCAGAGGAGACTTGAGGTGATGGTATCCAGAACACAGGCAACTTTCACTGAATAGAGCAATTGTTCCAGAATTTTCTAGATAGGGACTTTGAGAACTTCATGAGCATTCTGACTTCTGGCACGTACAGTATTTTAAGAAACGTTTCAAAGTTGTACCCGTTCCCCTTTAGCTCAGAGGAAATGATCCCTCTTCCAAAAGTAAGCCCTACCTATGCCTAGGGTTTCAAAACTTCCCACAACCTGGAGATCTCTTGGACTGGTTTCTTCCTCACCTTTCTGCAGTAACTCTCCTTGACCTCTATCTCCTGATATGGTTTCACTGTGTCCCCACCCAAATCTCATCTTGAACTGTAGCTCCATAATTCCCACATGCTGTGGGAGGGACCTGGTAGAAGATAATTGAATCATGGGGGCAGGTCTTTCCCATGCTGTTCTCGTGATAGTGAATAAGTCTCAAGAGATCTGATGGTTTTATAAAGGGGAGTTCCCCTGCACAAGCTCTCTTCTCTTGTCTGCCACCATACAAGACATGCCTTTCACCTTCTGCCACGATTGAGAGGCCTCCCCAGCCATGTGGAACTGTGAGTCCATTAAACCTCTTTTTCCTTATAAATTACCCAGTCACAGGTATGTCTTTATCAGCAGCGTGAAAACAGACTGATACACTCCCCCATTACCCAGATCCAGGTACCCAGTGCACTAGTCCAGCATTTTCCTCTCTCTGTGACTCATGAACCCTTTTCATAATAATTCACCAACAATTTCCTTTAAAATTTTCCATGGTATGAAGCAAAGTAATTTTAAGTTGAAAAGGGTTTTAAATTTCTTTAGATCAGTGCATTATTTAAGACCATATTACAAAATTCATTTAATAAAAATTTCTATAATATCTGTTCCATGTGTTAAAAATCATAGCTTTTTCCCATTTATTATATGACACATACTGTTTGATTTACTTTAATTATGTAAGAAAAAAGGATGGTTGAGTTATAAATTTTAAAATGACACTGTATGTGATTTAATATACTATTGTATATTAAAAATGTAGATTAAAATTTAATTACATGTTACATCATCAAGATATGACTACTTTAGTAGCTGATATTTAGAATGTCTGCATTTTGTAATGTAAAAATCAATTGGCTCATTTTTATAATTGTTAAGTTCTAAAGATGATATGAAAGAAATTTTTAGGCTATTTACAAGCACTTTCCAAATAACACATTTTTATTAGACGAAAGCCAAACTAGATATGATTATTACTATATTTTTCTCTTTTTTCTGTTTATTTTTTAAGCATTTGAGACATCTTGATAAGCTTTATAAGAATTTTGCCATCTGACTTGTGGATCTGACTTGTGAAAATTATCTTGAGCTAAATTTGCAGAAATATTACTATCATTTGCTTCTCAACAGCTTATATTCTAACACTAGTTTTCCTTACATTGTGTTTTTAAAAATTCCACCTTTTCAGCCCCAATATGTAGCTGAAAAAAAATCAATTAAAAACTCCAGGAGTCTGAGACCAGCCTGGCTAACATGGTGAGATCCCGCCTCTATAGAATAAGGAAAAAAGTTAGCCAGGCATGGTGGCTCTCACCGGTAGTCCCAGCTATAGAGAAAGCTGAGGTGGGAGGATTGCTTGAGCCCAGGGGCCCATGGCTGCAGTGAGCCATGATCATGCCACTGCACTCCAACCTGAGTGACAGAGTGAAACCCTGTCTCAAAAAACCAAACCAAACCACAACAACAACAATAACAAAACAACAACAAAAAGCCACCCAAATTCTATGAAGGTTGAAACCAGTGGTATTCCACCAAGTCACAACAGCACTGACTCTGACCCCACACACGATTGCCCTTGCCTATTGGGTGAGGGGCGGTGGTGGGGGGGTTGACTCTTGACTTGCTCTGTCATTGTCACCACATGAATCCCTCTGCAACTCTCTGGAGGTTCGTGGGTCCCCAGTGAGAACACAGTGCCCTAGCCCAGTGGTTCTCAAACTTCGGTGAGCAACAGAATCAACCAGAGGATTGTTAAGACACAGATTACTAGGATTTTATGATTCAGTAAATCTGGTCAGGGGTCCAAAGATTTTCATCTCTAACAATCATCAGGCCAGATGCTGATGCTGCTGGGCCCATGACCATGCTTTGAGAACCACTGCTCCACCATCAGACGGTTCATGCTCTCCATTCATTTTCCTGGCTTCTTGCCTTTACTTGTGTCCTTCCTGGAATGCCTCCTACCTCTCCATTTCCTGAATTGTACCTGCTGAAATCTTACCGGCCCTTCAAGGCAAAATTCATTGCCACTTCCTCAGGCTGTTTTCTGTTCTCTCTAGAGTGCCCCTTCTTTCCTCTAGGAGACAGCTAGGCAGGTCACGGTTTGGTGTGTACACATTGTACACAAGCTATGGGGTAGGCTCTGTATTAGTCCATTTTCTCGCTGCTCATAGAGACATACCAAAGTCTGGATAATTTATAAAGAAAAAGAGGTTTAATGGACTCACAGTTCCATGTGGCTTGGGAGGCCTCACAATCATGGCAGAAGGCAAGGAAGAAAAAGTCACATCACTGGGCACGGTGGCTCATGCCTGTAATCCCAGCACTTTGGGAGCCTGAGGCAGGCGGATTGCCTGAGCTCAGGAGTTCGAGACCAGCCTGGGCAACATGGTGAAACCCTGGCTCTACTAAAAATACAAAAAAAAATTAGCCAGATGTGATGGTGCGCACCTATAATCCCAGCTACTCGGGAGGCTGAGGCATGAGAATCACTTGAACTGGGGATCAGTGAGCCGAGATTGTGCCACTGCACTTCAGCCTGGGTGACACAGTAAGACTCTGTCAAAAAAAAACAAACAAACCCTCACTTCTTACATGATGACAGGGAAGACAGAATGAGAACCAAGTGAAAGAGGTTTCCCCTTATAAAACCATCAGATCTCATGAGACTTATTCTCTACCATGAGAACAGTATGGAGGAAACTGCCCCGATGATTCAATTATATCC